>NC_000014.9:51126864-51429894 GCF_000001405.40 Homo sapiens
TATTATTTCTTTCAGGAGTGTTTTGTAGTTTTCCTTATAGAGGTCTTTCACCTCCTTGGTTAGGTATAGTCCTAAGTATTTTATTTTACTTTATTTATTTTTTTGCAGCTATTGTAAAAAGGGTTGAGTTATTGATTTGATTCTCAGCTTGGTCGCTGTTGGTGTATAGCAGAGCTACAGATTTGTGTACATTAATTTTATATCTTGAAACTTTGCTGAATTCATTTACCAGCTCTAAGAGCTTTCTGGATGAGTCTTTAGGGTTTTCTAGGTATATGATGATAATCATCAGCAAACAGTGACAGTTTGACTTTCTCTTTACTAGTTGGGATGCCCTTTATTTCTTTCTCTTGTCTGATTGCTCTGGCTAGGACATACAGTACTATGTTGAATAGAGGTGGTGAAAGTGGGCATCCTTGTCTTGTTCCAGTTTTCAGGGGGAATGCTTTCAACTTTTCCCCATTCAGTATAATGTTGGCTGTGAGTTTGTCATAGATGGCTTTTATTACCTTAAGGTATGTCCCTTCTATGCCAATTTTGCTGAGGGTTTTAATCATAAAGAGATGCTGGATTTTGTTGAATGTTTTTTCTACTTCTATTGAGATAACCATGTAATTTTTGTTTTTAATTATGTTTATGTGGTGTATCACATTTATAGACTTGCAAATGTTAAGCCATCCCGGCATCCCTGGTATGAAACCTACTTGATCATGGTGGATTATCTTTTTGATATGCTGTTGGATTTGGTTAGCCAGTATTTTATTGAGGGTTTTTGCATCGATGTTCTTCAAGGATATTGGTTTGTAGTTTTCTTTTTTTGTTATGTCCCTTCCTGGTTTTGGTATCAGCATGATACTGGCTTCATAGAATGATTTAGGGAGGATTCCCTCTTTCTCTATCCTGTGGAATAGTGTCAACAGGATTGATACCAGTTCTTCTTTGAATATCTGGTGGAATTCAGCTGTGAATCCATCTGGTCCTGGACTCTTTTTTGTTGGCAAATTTTTAATTACCATTTCAATCTCACTGCTTGTTATTGGTCTGTTCAGAGTTTCTATATCTTCCTGGTTTAATCTAGGAGGGTTGTATATTTCCAGGAATTTATCCATCTTCTCTAGGTTTTCTAGTTTATGTTTGGACTTTTAATTGCTTTCATTATGACCTTTATTTACTTTCATGTTTTTCATAGATATTTTATAATATTTTTCCTCTTTACTTCCAACTAAGTAATCTATTGGTTTTATACTATGTAAATTGCTTTATTTTATTCCTTTTAATTTTCTTATTTTGTAATTATCCTTTTGGTTTTAATGTCTTCTCCACCTATCTTTGAACTTTTATTATTTGAGCCTGGGCACAGAAGCACAGGCTGGAGGCTGCCTCTCTGCAGTGGCCCTGTTTTCACCTCTTTTCCACCTTACTGAATCTCTTATCTGTTTATCTTCATCTTAGCTGCCTCAGAAAACTAAATAACTCACTTGGCCCAGGAGAACTCCTATTTTTGCTTGTATGGATGGTGCTCTTGTTATACTGAAATGGTGATAATCTTGATAATTTGCACTATCCAGAAACTATTTCCAAAGATTACTCATGAGAAGTAGAACAAGGTGATTGTGAACAAGAAAAGACATAGAGAATCTTTACTTAATACTTATACCTATCTGTACTGTTTGGAATGTTTCCATAGTCGTATAGTACTTTTATAAAATACACAAGTGAAAACTAGCAAGTTTTGTGTTCGCCATCATTTATAGGCAATGGCTATGGGACAAATTGTATCAACAACATGCCGAAGGTGAGATGGGAAGTCGTTACCCTGCTCTGGCATTGGTGAGGAAGCTGTTGATAAACAGTCCCAGGATAGCAACACAGAATGTCTATATCCAGGTCGTGGCCAGCAGTGGACAGACTCTAAGGTTACTCCCAATGACCCCTGCCTTCTAATATTCAAATCCCCTTCCTTTGAGTGTGAGTAGGATCTGCAACCTACTTCTTTTTTTTTTTTTTTTTTTTTGAGACAGAGTCTCGCTCTGTCGCCCAGGCTGGAGTGCAGTGGCGCAATCTCAGCTCGCTGCAAGCTCCACCTCCTGGGTTCACACCATTCTCCTGCCTCAGCCTCCTGAGTAGCTGGGATTACAGGTGCCTGCCACTATGCCCGGCTAAGTTTTTGTATTTTTAGTACAGATGGGGTTTCACTGTGTTAGCCAGGATGGTCTCAATCTCCTGACCTCGTGATCCGCCTGCCTCGGCCTCCCAAAGTGCTGGGATTACAGGTGTGAGCCACCGCGCCCGGCTGGATCTGCAACCTACTTCTAACCAAAAGCATATGGCAAAGGTGATGGGATATCACCCCTATGATTATGTCATAATACATTAAAGAAGACTCCATGCTACTGGCACTCACTGTTGCTCTCCTACTGGCTCTGTAGAAGCAAGTGGCCATGATGTGACCTGGATATGAAGAGGGCTGTGTGCTGGGAGCTGCAGGCAGCCTCTAGCGGCTGAGGGTGGTCTTTACCCAATACAGCAAGAAACCAAAGCCCTCAGATCTACAGATGCAAGAAGGTGAATTCTGCTAACAACCTGAGTGAGATTGGAAGCAAATTTTCCCTAACTGAGCCTCCAGATGAGAACATAGCCCAGATGACACCTTGATTGCAACCATTTGAGAGCAGAGGACCCAGCTGAATGGTTCCTAGAATCATGACCCATGGAAACTGTGACAGGATAATGTGTGTATGTATGTGTTAGTGTGCATGTTTAATTGCTTTATTGAGGTATAATTTGTATGCTATATAATTCACCTATTTAAAATGTACAATTCAATGAATTTTAGTGTATTCACTGAGTTTGTAAGCATTACCACAATCTTCGAACATTTCATCTCCTCCCAAAAAACCTCCACACACATTAGCAGTTACTCCCCAACTCCTCAGCCCTACACAATTACTAAACTACTGACTGTCTCTATAAATTTGCCTTTTCAAGACATTTCATGTGAATGAACTTGCATAATATGTGGTCTTTTTTGATTGACTTCTTTCACTTAGTCTTGTATTAAGCCCCTAAATATGTGGTAATTTGTTACACAGCATAGAAAACTAATACACATTCACAACAGTTTAACTCTAATATTTATTTCTCAATTGCTCCTCTTCCCTTCTAATCAGGGTCAAAAGAATCCTCCTCATCCATTGTGTCCCTCGTGAGAGCTGCTCATTTGTTAGAACTTTTATTTATCATTCAGGATTCACATAAAAGGTAAGATCCCAAACAGGAGGGAAGCACTCTTCACTTCCATATCATGGATCTTTGTTCCTTTTGAGAAAGTGCTTCAAGGGTTTAGGCTGTGGCTGAGGATCCTATAATGTTTGTTTGGTTTCCCCAAGGACAAATAGAATGTTTACTATGATATTCAAATCTAAACCTTGGTTTTTGTCTGCTTGAACTATCAGTAACAGAGAGGTGTGTTACAGTCTCACTATGATTGTGGATTTCTTGATTCCTCCTTGTAAGCTTCCCCTTACCCTTCACTATCCATCTGCATCCCTTATCCCTGAACTACCCTGGCCTATGGTTTCAGGTCACCTCTGTGGTTTCCAGTGACCCATTTTCTGGCACTTGGAGATGTTCCTGTTTTAAGAATGTATGAATTTGGCTTTGCATTTAAAATAATTTGTATTATATTTTATAAATCCTTTCTAGGCATTGCAGTGGGAGGGTTTTCATGTTTCTCAGTCTGCCATATTGCTGAAATTGGATCAGTCAAAAGTTGATTTTTCTAAAGTCCTAAATGGGACATATTTCCTGTCCCCAGGTGTCTTATAATTTTGTTTATTAACAGTCATCTCAATGCCTCAAGGAATCAGGTGTCACCCTGCAATCCCCTTCCTAACACAGCATCACTAGGCTCCGGCATTTGACCACAACTCACAAGATTCCAGACACCGCCTTGTAAAATGCCATCACTTCCTACCCTCAGATTCAAGTGCATAGATGAACACATGCTTACACACATGCATGTCTTCCTGTCCTCTCCACAGAGTTTCTGAGGGGGTGCCAATAGGCCAGAAACCAGGCAGTAAACTATGGCCACAATGAACCATGCTCAGTTCCCTGAGAATACGATGTTCCTGTGGATGTGCTTTGCACTTACTTTTCCCTTCTTGTGCTATTTTCCTTATTCCCACCTGGCAAACTCCTGTTCATCATTCAAAACCCACCTCAATCCATTCCTTTTGCAAAGCTTTCCCTGCCCTTTTATTGCTTTGCACATCCCTCTACTATTGGATTCATTATACTATATTTTTGCATTTAAATGTCTGTCCACCTCACCAGCCTATGAGCTCTTTGTATCTCTAATGCCTGCCATGTTGCCTGACTCATACCAGGTACTCAACTAATGTTTATTGACTTTAACTTATCAGGATTTCAGGGTGATATCAGGGAAATGTACTGACACTGACTCCCAGAATTGGGTTTATTGGCAATCTACCCCTGGACCTTGAAATCTGAGAAAGTGACACAGGTTATACCTTCTCAAAGGCATTAAAAGGGGGAACTTGGGCTGGGAGTGGCGGCTAATGCCTGCAATCCAGCACTTTCAGAGTCCGAGGTGGGCAGAGCACTTGAGGTTAGGAGTATTACACCAGCCTGGCCAACATGGTGAAACCCTGTCTCTACTACAAGCCTCTTCAGGCGTAACCCTGACCCATCCTTCCTTAGTGGGTGGGGCTTCCCTGCAGGATCTCCAATAATCCCAGCCAGAGGCTCAGGGACAGAATTCAGATCTCCCTGGGCCTGAGCCTCTAGGGGGAAGGGTGGCCACAGTCTCTGCAGACTAGCAGACTTAACCACTCCTCCTGGTAGTTCTGAGGAATCTGGGCAGACCAGATAAGTGGGTTTCCCTCCAGTGAAACATACCCTCTCCACCAAGGGACAAAGTGCTTTGTTAAACGAGTCCTGCTCCCCATGCCACCCAACTGGGTGAGACCCTCCAACATGGGTTGTCAGACACCATATACAGGAGCAATCCTAGTGGCATCAGGTTGGTGTCCTTCAAGGTCAGAGGTCCCAGAAGAAGGATCAGGTACCCATCTTTGCTGCTCTCTAGCCTCCTTGAATGACATCTCCAGGCACAGAGCAAATCAGATTAATAGGGCCTGAAGTAAACCCCTAGCACACAGCAGCAGCCCTACAGAAGAGGGACAGGACTATTGAAGGAAAAACAAGCAGAAAGCAACAATAGCATCATCAACAATAACAAAAACAACAAAAAGACCCCCAAAAAACCCCATCCAAGGGTCAGCAGCCTCAAAGACTGAAACAAGACCAACTCACAAAGACGAGAAATAATCAACAAAGAAAATGCTGAAAACCCAAAAGACCAGAGTGTCTCTTCTCCTCCAAATGATCGCAATGTCTGTCCATCAAGGGCACAGAACTGGATGGAGGATCAGATGGACGAATTGACAGAAGTAAGCATCAGAAGATGAATAGTAAAAACTATGATGAGCTAAAGAAGCATGTTCTAACCCAATGCAAAGAAGCTAAGAACCTTGATAAAAGGTTAGAGGAATTGCTAACTAGAATAACGAGTTTAGAGAGGAATGTAAATGACCTGATGGAGCTGAAAAACATAGTACAAGAACTTCGTGAAGCATACACAAGTAACAACAGCTGAATTGACCAAGTAGAAGAAAGGATATCAGAGTTTGAAGACCACCTTACTGAAATAAGACATGCAGACAAGAATAGAGAAGAAAGAATGAAAAGGAATGAGCAAAGCCTTTAAGAAATATGGGACTTTATAAAAAGACCAAACCTATGATTGACTGGAGTACCAGAGGAAATGGGGAGAATGGAAACAAGCTGGAAAACACACTTCAGGATATTATCCAGGAGAATTTCTCCAACCTAGAAGACAGGCCAACATGCAAATTCAGGACATACAGAGAACACCATTAAGATACTCCATGAGAAGATCAACCCCAAGACACATAATCGTCAGATTCTCCAAGGTTGAAATGAAGGAAAAAATGTTAAGGGCAGCCAGAGAGAAAGAACAGGTCACCTAGAAAGGGAAGCCCATCAGACTAATGGTAGACCTCTCAGCAAAAACTCTATAAGCCAGAAGAAAGTGTGGGCTAATATTCAACATTCTTAAAATAATTTTCAACCCAGAATTTCATATCCAGCCAAACTAAGCTTCATAAGCAAAGGAGAAATAAAATCCTTTACAGACAAGCAAACGCTGAGGGATTTCATTACCACCAGGCCTGCCCTGCAAGAGCTCCTGAAAGAAGCACTAAATATGGAAAGGAAAAACTGGTACCAACCACTGCAAAAACACAACAAAACATAAAGACCAATGACACTACGAAGAAACTCCATCAACTAGTGTGCAAAATAACCAAATGGCATCATGATGACAGGATCAAATTCACACATAACAATACTAACCTTAAATGTAAATGGACTAAATGCCCCAATTACAAGACACAGACTGGCAAACTGGATAAGGAGTCAAGACCCATCGATGTGCTGTATTCAGGAGACCCAACTTATGTGCAAAGACACACACAGGCTCCAAATAAAAGGTTGGAGGAAAATTTACCAAGTAAATGGAAAGCAAAAAAAAAGCAGGGGTGGCCAGGCATGGTGGCTCACACCTGTAATCCCAGCACCTTGGGAGGCTGAGGGGGGCGGATCACCAGAGGT
This sequence comes from Homo sapiens, assembly GCF_000001405.40. Classification (NCBI taxonomy): domain Eukaryota; kingdom Metazoa; phylum Chordata; class Mammalia; order Primates; family Hominidae; genus Homo; species Homo sapiens. The sequence continues at coordinate 51,133,585 of NC_000014.9, forward strand.
CAGGAGTTCAGCTCTTGACCAGGCTGGCCAACATGGTGAAACCCCGTCTCTACAAAAAATACAAAAATTAGCTGGGCATGGCGGTGGGCACCTGTAATCCTAGCTACTAGGGAAGCTGAGGCAGGAGAATCTCTTGAACTGGGAGGCAGAGGTTGCAGTGAGCTAAGTTCGTGCCACTGCACTCCAGCCTGGGTGAGAGAGCAAGACTGCATCTCAGAAATAAAAAAAAAAAAGCAGGGGTTGCAATCCTAGGCTCTAACAAAACAGACTTTAAACCGACAAAGATCAAAAAGGATAAAGAGGGCATTACATAATGGTAAAAGGAACAATTCAAGAAGAAGAGCTAACTATTATAAATATATATGCACCCAATACAGGGGCACCCAATAAAACAAGTTCTTAGAGACCTACAAAGAGACAGACTCCCACACAATGATAGTGGGAGACTTTAACACCCCAGTCAGTATTAGACAGATCAACAAGACAGAAAATTAACAAGGATATTCAGGACTTGAACTCAGCTCTGGATCAAGTGTACCTGGTAGACGTCTACAGAACTCTCTACCCCAAATCAACAGAATGTACATTCTTCTCAGTGCTCATGGCACTTATTCTAAAATCGACCACACAATTGGAAGTAAAATACTCCTCAATAAATGCAAAATAACTGAAATCATAACAGTCTCTCAGACCACAATGCAATCAAATTTGAACTCAAGATTAAGAAACTCACTCAAAAGCACACAATTTCATGGAAATTGAACAACCTCCTCCTGAATGACTCCTGTGTAAATAATGAAATTAAGGCAGAAATCAAGAAGTTCTTTGAAACCAATGAGTACAAAGAGACAACACAGCAGAATCCCTGAGACACAGCTAAAGCAGTGTTAAGAAGAAAATTTATAGCACTAAATGCCTACCTCAGAAAGCTAGAAAGATCTCACATTGACACTTTAACATCATAATTAAAAGAGCTAGAGAGGCAAGAGCAAACTAATCCAAAAGCTAGCAGAAGACAAGAAATAACTAAGATCAGAGAAGAATTGAATGAGATAGAGACATGAAAAACCCTCCAAAAATTATATGAATCCAGGAGCAGGTTTTTTTTTTTTTTTTTTTTTTTTGAGACGGAGTCTCGCTCTGTCGCCCAGGCTGGAGTGCAGTGGCGCAATCTCGGCTCACTGCAAGCTCCGCCTCCCGGGTTCACGCCATTCTCCTGCCTCAGCCTCCCAAGTAGCTGGGACTACAGGCGCCCGCCACTACGCCCGGCTAATTTTTTGTATTTTTAGTAGAGACGGGGTTTCACCGTTTTAGCCGGGATGGTCTCGATCTCCTGACCTCGTGATCCGCCCGCCTCGGCCTCCCAAAGTGCTGGGATTACAGGCGTGAGCCACCGCGCCCGGCCTTTTTTTTTAAATTAACGAAACAGATAGACTGCTAGCTAAACTAATAAAGAAGAAGAGAGAGAAGAATCAAATAGACACAATAGAAGATGATAAAGAGGATATCACCACTGACTCCACAGAAATACAAACTACCATCAGAGAATACTATAAACATCTCTATGCAAATAAACTAGAAAATCTAGAAATGGATAAATTCCTGGATGCATACACCCTACCAAGACTAAATCAAAAAGAAGTTGAATCCCTGAATAGACCAATAACAAGCCCTGAATTTGAGGCAGTAATTAATAGCCTACCAACCAAAAAAAAAAAAAAAAAAAAAAAAAGACCAGGACCAGATGGATTCACAGCTGAATTCTACCAGAAATACAAAGAGGAGCTGGTACCATTCCTTCTGAAACTATTCCAAACAGTTAAAAAGGAGGGACTCCTCTCTAACTCATTTTATGAAGCCAGCATCATCCTGATACCAAAACCAGGAAGAGACACAACAAAAAAAGAAAACTTCAGGCCAATATCCCTGATGAACATAGATGCAAAAATTCTCAATAAAATACTGGCAAACCAAATCCAGTAGCACATCAAAAAACTTATCTGCCATGATCTAGTTGGCTTCAGCCTTGGGATGCAAGGCTGGTTCAACATATGCAAATCAATAAATGTAATCCAGCACATAAATGGAACCAAAGAAAAAACCACATGATTATCTAATAGATACAGAAAAGGCCTTTGATAAAATTCAACATCCCTTCATGTTAAAAACTCTCAATAAACTAGGTATTAATAGAACATATATCAAAATAATAAGAGCTATTTATGACAAACCCATAGCCACCATCATATTGAATGGGGAAAAGCTGGAAGCATTCCCTTTGAAAACCAGTACAAGAGAAGGATGCTCTCCTCTCACCACTCCTATTCAACACCGTATTAGAATTTCTGGCCAGGAAATCAGGCAAGAGAAAGAAATAAAGGGTATTCAAATAGGAAGAGAGGAAGTCAAATTGTCTCTGTTTGCAGATGACATGATTTTATATTTAGAAAACCCCATCATCTCAGCCCCAAAACTTCTTTAACTGATAAGCAACTTCAAAAGTCTCAGGATACAAAGTCAATGTGCAAAAATCACAAGCATTCCTTTACACCAACAATAGACAAGCACAGAGCCAAATCATTAATGAAGTCCCATTCACAATTGCTACAAAGAGAATAAAATACCTAGGAATACAGCTAACAAAAGATGTGAAGGACTTCCTCAAGGAGAACTACAAACCACTGCTCAAGGAAATAAGAGAGGGCACAAAAAAATGGAAAAATATTCCATCCTCATGGATAGGAAGAACCAATATTGTGAAAATGGCCACACTGCCCAAAGTAATTTATATATTCAATGCTATTGCCATCAAACTACCACTGACATTCTTCACAGAATTAGAAAAAACAATTTTAAATTTCATATGGAATCAAAGAAGACCCCATATAGCCAAGACAATACTAAGCCAAAAGAACAAAGCTGGAAGCATCACACTACCTGACTTCAAACTATACTACAAGGCTACAGTAACCAAAACAGCATGGTACTGGTACCAAAACAGACATGTAGACCAATGGAGCAGAACAGAGACCTCAGAAATAACACCACACATCTACAATCATCTGATCTTCGACAAACGTGATGAAAACAAGGAATGGGGAAAGGATCTCCTATTCGGTAAATGGTGCTGGAAAAACTGGCTAGCTGTATGCAGAAAACTGAAACTGACCCCTTCCTTACACCTTATACAAAAATTAACTCAAGATGGATTAAAGACTTAAATGTAAATCCAAAAACCATAAAGACCCTAGAAGAACACCTAGGCAATACCATTCAGGACAGAGGCATGGGCAACGATTTCATGACAAAAACACCAAAAGCAATTGCAACAAAAGCCAAAATTGACAACTGGGATGTAATTAAACTAAAGAGCTTCTCCACAGCAAAAGAAACTGTCATCAGAGTGAACAGGCAACCTACAGAATGAGAGAAAATTTTTGCAATTTATCCATCTGACAAAGGGCTAATATCCAGAATCTACAAGGAACTTAAACATATTTACAAGAAAAAAACACAACCCCATCAAAAAGTGGGCAAAAGATATCAAGACACTTCTCAAAAGAAGACATTTACACAGCCAACAAACATATGAAAAAAAAACAACAACTCAACATAACTGATCATCAGAGAAATGCAAATCAAAACCACAATGAGATACCATTTCACGCCAGTCAGAATGGCAATTATTAAAAAGTCAGGAAACAATAGATGCTGGCGAGGCTGTGGAGAAATAGGAATGCTTTTACAGTGTTGGTGGGAATGTAAATTAGTTCAATCATCGTGGAAGACAGTATGGTGATTCCTCAAGGATCTAGAACCAGAAATACCATTTGACCCAGCAATCCCATTACTGGGTATATACCCAAAAGATAATAAATAATTCTACTATAAAAATGCATGCACATGTATGTTTATTGCAGCACTATTTACAATAGCAAAGACATGTTACCAATCCAAATGCCCATCAATGATAGACTGGATAGATAAAATGTGGTACATATACACCATGGAATACTATGCAGCCATAAAAAGGAATGAGATCATGTCCTTTGCAGGGACGTGGATGAAGCTGGAAGCCATCATCGTCAGCAAACTAATGCAGGAACAGAAAACCAAACACCGCATGTTCTTATTCATAAATGGGAGTTGAACATTGAGAACATATGGACACAGGGAACAACCCACACCAGGGCCTGTTGAGGGGTGGGGGTTAAGGGGAGTGAACATAGAGGATGGGTCAATAGTTGCAGCAAACCACCATGGCACACGTATACCTATGTAAACCTGCATGTTCTGTATATGTATCCCGTTTTTTTTTGTTTTTTTTAGAAGAAATAAATTTTAAAAGAGGGGTGCTGGAGGACTTGGCAGGAACGTAAAATATTGTGCAGCCATGGTGGAGGAAAGTTTGATGGCTCCTCAAAAAGTTAAATAGAATTACCACATGACCCAATAATTCTATTCCTGGATATATACACAATAGAATTGAAAGCAGATGCTCAAACAGATACTTGTACACCAATGTTCACAGCAGCATTATTCACATTCACCAAAAGATTGAAACAATTCAAATGTCTATCAATAGAAAAATGAATAAACAAAATGTGGTATATCCATATAATAGAATATTATTCAGCTTTAGAAAGGTCTAAGATTCTAACACATACTACAACATGGATGAACCTTGAACAGGAGCATAGGAGATACGCATACACACACACAAACACACACACACACCGGACATTTATTGGAGGAAGTGGCACATATGATTATGGAGGTTAAATCCTGTGATCTGCCATCTGCAAGCTGGAGACTGAATAAAGTCAGTGGTGTAATTCAGCCTGAGTCCAAATGCCTGAGAACCAGGGAGCTGACCAGGGGAGCAATCCCAGGGCAGAAGAGGTTAGATGTCCCAGCTCAAGCAGTGAGGTAGGAATAAAAGGGTGAATTCTCCCTTCTTCCACCTTTTGTTCTACTCAGGCCCTCAATGGATTGGGTGATGCCCACTCACATTAAGGAAGGCAAACTACTCTGCTGAGTCCAACAATAGACTCAGTTCAAATGCTAACCTCAGCCAGAAATACCTTTGCCACACATCCAGAAACAATGTTTAATCTGGGTAACCTGTGGCCTGCTCAAATTGACACATAAAATAAACCATCACAGGAATCAAAAGAAAAAGAAATGTCCTCTTGTTGCTTTTTCTAAAACAAATTCCGAGTCAAAGAAGGAACATTACTTTGTGGCATCTGGATTAGCTCTTAGTATTTCCAAGTAGTACAATAATGATTGAATCTGTTTTGTGATTAGATCAGCCACTCTGCATTTAGAGGCTGATAAAGGTTACAGTACAACCAGAAATTTCAGCCAACTGAGCTAAACATACATCAGTGATGGCTTATGCCTGCATTTCCTACACAAGCTAGAAAGAAAGGGCCTAAGCCTTCTTTGTTACAGTAACTTGAAGACCCGGGTCTGGGAACTGCCTCATCTGACTTGCCTCTCCAGAATTTCACCAGATAATGCAAACTGATGGAGGTAGTCAGAAAACAGACTGAATCTGTCTTCATTCGGCATGTGTTAGACAGAGACAGCATATGGTTGCATTATAAACTCTTGAGACAGATTTGCTTCTGGAAACCTTTCATTGCCCTATTGCTGTTGCCATGTCAACTGCTAGGACTTTGATTCTGTCTTGCTCCTCCCTTCAGCACTTGACCACTGGGGTGTGACTTCTGTTGAGCACTCTAGGAAAGCTCAGTTGCGACTACAAAGACTGCGTTGCAGTTTATGGGTGTCATAGGGGAATTGTATCCTCTTTTTGCTGCTCGGGGCAAAGTTACTATTTTGGGTCTGAACCCTCTCTCTGTGGGTGCTGCTCAGAGGATCTGGGTTGTTCCCTTCAGGCTAAGTGATTACATAACCTGGAGGTGTGACGGGAACTGTTCCTCTTCCATTGTGTGACTCCTACAGTGGAAAAATAATTACAGTCATGGCGGTGAGTAAGTAGGGGGCAAAGCAAAGAACTGAATGATGTGCAACTACTTTCTGCTCTAGTGTCATGTGACAGTCTTGTTTTCAGAGAGAGGCTCTCAAGCAGTGGTGTCTTACAATGCTTCAGGATGGAAGCAACAGCCAACACTGAAGAGTATCAGGCAACAATATAGAAAATTTTGCTTTCAATTTCCAATTGTATTAACCTAATTGTCTAGGTTAGTGGATTAAATAGACAAGCTAACAAATCTATTTAAAAATGTTTTTAGGCTTTGTTTTAATACAAGACATTTTTAGATCGCGTTATGATTCTGACAATTTTCCATGCTGGAGAACTACTATTCACTAGCTCTTCTTTATAAACAGAGATAATTTTGTGAGAAATTAGAGGTAAATCCTTATATTTAAAATGTCTCTTTTCCTCATATTTTAATTATTTACATAATGAAAATTCATAGAACTACATAAAAGGTACTGGGTCTGGGGCTGGTCAGATCTCAATGTAGTAAGAACAAATTAGTTTTCTGTATAATAAAGGCTTAGGAATTTGTAATTCATGGCCATTATCACTCTGCTGGCCTTCATATTTTTGCATTGCTTATCACAGTATATTAACAAATATTCATTAAATCCCTGTGAGCAAAATCCAGTAAAAGATTGATATCATCACTGTCTTACCCATTTTGTCAGAGGACAGAAATGAAGATGAATTGAGTTTATTCTTTCCTTCCTAGAGGAATTTGGCTAGAATAATAATTCACTTGGCTAAAACTGGCTGGAAAACATGAGAGGGAGAAGAAAAAGAGGCTGGAAGGGAAGAATAAAGCATATATATTTTTAAATGTTAGTTATATTCCAATATGCTAGAGCTTTGACGGCAAGCCTCTTGGCTTCATCTTGACTTTCGATCACGTTCTTCCTCTGGTGACTATGTAAATGAATTCATAATATTTAACACATCTCAACACACGTGCCCCTTCTGTTTTCTTTGCACCACGTTGTAGATCTGCTTGTTTGTGTTCTCTCAGCCAATCTGAGGCATTTGCCTCAAATGCCATAACACCAATGAGTCCTTTGATCAGAATGGAAGAGGAGGGAGCCCAGAGGCACAGACATCCTGGCCTCAGGGAATGCTCAGCAAGGACTTCCCAGAGTCCCTGTTCCCAGCCCAGAGGTCACTTCACCTACTCCATAATGGACCTTCCATTATGTGGTCCCTGGGAACGAAGGCAACGCCCTTTAAAGCAGCTGCCATCATTTACCAATTCATCAAACCCTCTAAAGTCACCATGGTTCTCCCTGGTTGGCCTTCTTCTTTGAATTCAAGTTTTTGTTGCTGCCGTTGTTCGGTAAGCCTTTATTAAAGATGTTTTTATTACAGTCTGTATTTGAGTAGAATATCTGTTTTGAAATTGAAGTTTAATTTCACACTTTTCTTAAAACATATATTGACACAGAAAAGATATGTACAGATGCATGCGCATATGTAGCAGGAAGAGCATTTGCTATTTTGAGGCTTGACAGAGAAATTAAGGAGGTGCAGGGAAAAGAGAAGGGAGAGAGGTCTCTTTATAAAGAGTGGAGAGAAAGAAATCAGGCCTGTCAAGGATGGCTGGTGACTTCAGAACCAGTCATGTCTGAGATATATATATAATCATTCACACGGTTCAAAAATTAAGAATTGAAATCTTCCTCCCACTCGTCTCCAATTCATACAGACCACTTCTCCAGTTTTCCCTATTCTATCAACAAATGTTATTATTTTCTCAAGAAGGTTTCCAGAGTTTCTCTGTGCATATACAAATATGAATAAATCTATTTACGTATTTGTTCATTCAACCAATTACCAATTGTTCCAGGCACAAAACAAAGCTCCCTGACCCCAAAAGATTACATTCTAGCTGGAAGAGACAGATGATATACAACAAATATAACAAATTTGAAAATAATATTTTCCATTAGATCAGTGGGTCTCAGGAAGAAAAAAACAGAAAACGTAAGGAAACAGTCAGGATGAGGAGATTGGTTGCTGTTTTCAAGATGGCGGTCAAATGAGGCCTCATTGAGAAGGTAGTATGTGAGCAATGACTTCAGTTGGGAAATGACGATGGGCTGGGGAAAGTTTTTTTTTTTTTTATAGATGGGAGTCTCACTCTGTCGCCCAGGCTGGGGTGCAGTGGTGTCATCTTGGCTCACTGCAATCTTCCCCTCCCAGGTTCAAGCAATTCTCGTGCCTTGGCCTGCCCGAGTAGCTGGGACTACAGGTGTTCGCCACCACACCCAGTTACTTTTTTGTAGTTTAGTAGAGACTGGGTTTCATCATGTTGGCCAGGCTGGTGTCGAATTCCTGGCCTCAAGTGATCCGCCCACCTCGGCCTCCCAAAGTGCTGGGATTACAGGTGTGAGCCACCGTGCCTGGCCGGGGTGGGCAAAGTTTAACCCCACTCATAATAAGGAAAATGGTTTTCACCTGTGTTTCCTATGGGCACAGTGGTATTGATGAAAAAAGCCTAACTCTGTAAAATATTTAAAGAGATTTATTCTGAGCCAAATATGAGTGACATGGCCTGAGGCACAGTCTCAAGAGGTCCTCAGAGGAGGTTGGGTTACAGCTTGGTTTTATAGGTTTTAGGGAGACATAAGATATCAATCAACACATGTGAGGTATATATTGGTTTGCTCTGGAAAGGCAGGACAACTCAAAGGGAGGAGGTGCAGGAGATAGTGCTTATAGGTCATGGGAGCATTCAAAGATTTTCTGATTGGCAATTGGTTGAAACAGTGAAGTTATTATCTAAAGACCTGGAATCAATAGAAAGGAGTGTCTGGGTTAAGAAAAGGGGTTGTGGAAACCAAGGTTTTTATTATGTAGATGAAGTCTCATAGGTGGCGGCCCTTAAAAATAATAGATGGCAAATGTGTCCTACTTGGACTTTTAAAAGGTGGTAGACTCTCAGTTAACCTCTTCAGGACTGGGAGGGGCTAGAAGGGGAAAGATCTAGTTATGTTATTAGAGATTCTTTACAGATACAAATTTTCCCCTACAAAAGATGGCTTTACAGGGCCATTTCAAAATATGCAAAGAAACATATTTTGGGGTAATATATTTTTATTTCCTTATCTGCCATGTGATACTAGAGGCAGGTTGGAACTTGGTATCTTATTGCTACAAAGAGTCTGCTTTGTCAGTCTGAAGACCTGTTTTTAATGTTAATGCTGGTCAGTTGTGCCTGAATTCCAAAAGGAGGAGACCCCCTTTCCTTCTCATTATGGCATAAACTAGTTTTTCAGGTTTCCTTGGGTCCCTTTGGTCAAGAGGAGGGAGTGCATTCACAATCAGTTAGTTGGGGGGGTTGGAAATTTATTTTTGGTTTATAGTGGCATTATAAATTACACTGGATGGCCCCCACACAGAACTGGATACACGTATTCCCCTCCATCAGTGCTCCTCAGGGAAACAACCTCTCTTTGTTGGCATCTCATCAATGTCAACAAGGGGGACTCACACACATTATGTCGTTAAATGTATAACTTTCGTCCTCTAGGAAGAAACCAGAAGAAGCTGCTGTAGTTCTACTTTGGTGACATTTGTGAGGCAAAGACAAAGCAGCATCTAGAAGGGGCAGCTTGTTCCTTTGCTTCCAGCAGCAGTGGAGGGTGGGGGAGTCACTCTAACTCCTCTCATTTATTGGGCACTTAATATCTACCAGGCACACTGCTAAGGATATGATCTCATTTGTCTCTACAACAACGCTGTGTTGTTGTGGGATAAGAATTTTTATTCTATTTTGACAGATAATAATTTATTAATGTTATAGGTAAAATGTTAGACTCAGGTTATGGAAACTGGCCAAGGTCACATAGATCCCAAGTATCCAGTTCTGAAGCCTGTGGTTCTGGAGTGGGATGGACTCATTGTAGTCCTTGCCTTTCAAGGCAAATTATCAGGCAGTGGGGTATCATCTGCCTTCTGCTGTTCACGATTGGAGCAGCTGGGTAGTGGCTTTGAGCAGTGCAGGTAAATATGTATGCTATCTCCCAGGAGGTCATGCTGTGGTTTCTCACAGAATCCATGATACTTGGCATTCAGCTTGATTTTTTTCCCCTTCTATAATAAAATACCATATCAAGTCCACTTCTGTCAAATGTCCTCATTGGTTTCACATCTTTAAGTCTACCTGTAGATTACTAAGGCAGTTTCAAAATTAATCACGGGATTCTCATATGAAACTCACAGTCATTGTTTTGTCACTTTTTATTATAAAATAGTGCAGTGTCTCTTATCATTTAAAAGTTAATGGTAACTCCGTGCAGTTTTAACAATATATCTCACTTGGCTTCCAGAACACTTGTTCAGGTTACTAAATTCCTTGGCTTGTTGCTGACAGAGTTTACAGAAAAAGGAATAAGTTTTTAGTTGAGCTGATCTATTTTAGGACAAAAGGGAGTGGATCTTACATACACTAATGTTTACTTAAAATTATATCTCTAGCCAGGTGTGTGGTGGCATGTGCCTGTAATCCCAGCTACTTGGGCAGCTGAGGCGGGAGGACTGCTTGAGTACAGGAGTTCAAGGCTGCAGTGAGCTATGATCACATCATTGTACTCCAGCCTGGGAGACAGAGAGACCCTGCCTCAAAAAAAAAAATCATATATATATATATATATACGTATATATATATATATATGTATATATATATATATATATGTATGTGTATATATATATATATATATATATATATATGATAGTCTCATCTCAATCTAAATTCTAATTATTCACTAAAAGTACAAAGTACATCACTCTTTTGGGATAAAACCCATTCCTATGCCAACGCCAGAGTGAGTGTGACTGGAGCTGGATTGTCAATTCTATAATTAAAACGTCAATTTTTTGTTCTTTAAAAATGTGGTTCTATTTCTATTCTTCTATTATTCTCTTTGATTCTCAGAAAGCAAGAAGAAAAATAAACTTAAAGTTTGTACCCTTGATGAAGAATTGACCCAAACACTTCTTTCTGTTGTTGAAGATGAAATGTGCCTTTTGTATTTTAGTTATTGAAATGTCAGCCTTGGAAGTATTCCATTTTTTAGAAATTAAAGGTCTCAGAAGTTGCTCAATTAGGATCCTTTTATTTGTGACTGATTTATTAATCAATTACAAATGTGATTTAAAAGACATACTTTTGAGATTTATTAATTTGTTATTTATCAATATAATTCATATTTACTTTTCATTTTGAGATGTTTTAACCGTAAGTGATGCTGACATAGGAATGATATAGGGGAGACAGGGATAGAAAATAAATGTCTGACATTCTGATGTGTTTTTAAAATTAATTGGAAGCAGTATTCAGAAATATTCTCTAATTAGCTGTCAGCTTTCAGCCTGCATTCTGTAGCAATCTTTAATTTGACATCCAGAGATACTTCTTTATAGAAGAAAAACACAAATCATAAGTATAGATCTACCTGGTACTTTCTGGAAATTCTTGTAAGCTGCCAAACGGTTCTATTCTGGAACACAAGAAACAAAACAGCAGAAATCACTTATATCATTGCAAAAACAAAAAATGTCTTTGTTTTACTATCATCATCATTATCATCATTGACTCTGAGTTTAGGAAAACTTTGCTTTCCATTGGCTTTAGGTGTACCTTTTGCCACATGTCCAAAGTAGATGCTCGATAACCACTTTTTGAATGAATGAATGAATGAGATGTTTATGTTTATGGCTGCAGTGGGCCAGAGTTGGAAGATCTTAAACATTTCTGAGCTGTTACATGAGTCAGCACTGCAATACTTGTGCTAAAGAGAATCTTTCAGAGTTCATCTTTTCTTAAGTTGTCTTCTGCATGAATCGTCCTAAAGTTCTTCCAGACACACTGGGACTCCCAAATGCCTGTGATGTAAGGCCTCTGCAATGTGTGAATGTGTAGGAAGTGTTTTTAAGATTTTCTTTCCCAATCAACTTGCTTTTTGGCAGATGACACAATTAAGGTGCAATATGTAGGTGGACATTTGCTAAATTATAAAATAAAGGAGGCTAGTGGGTGAGTGCAGAGTCAATGACACTAATAAAGTGGAGAAGATAAGAATCAGATAATTATAAAAGGCAATTTTATTTTTTACAATTTATGAAGAGCCATGAAATGTTATACTAACAGAAAGAATTAAGCAACCAAAAACATATACCAGCCCTCTGCAGGAAGGGGAGACTACAAAGATTATTTTATTTTATTTTATTTATTTATTTTTTTAGATGGGGTCTTGCTCTGTCACCCAGACTGGGGAGTGCAATAGTGCAATCTTGGCTTACTGCAACCTTCGCCTCCCCGGTTCAAGCGATTCTCCTGCCTTGGCCTCCTGAGTAGCTGAGATTACAGGTGCACACCACCATGCCCAGCTAATCTTTTTGTATTTTTAGTAGAGACAGGGTTTCACTATGTTGGCCAGGCTAGTCTCAAACTCCTGACCCCAGGCAATCCGCCCGCCTCGGCCTCCCAAATTGCTGGGATTATAGGTATGAGCCATCATGCCCGGCCAATAATTTTATTTTTGACCTGCAATTTTTATACGCTCTTCTACCAACTTAATCTCTCATTTTCTGATTTTTAAACACACACACACACACACACACACACACACACACACACACCCCTGTAAATATAAAAGTATAATGTTGTAAAGCAAATGTGATTTATAAAACAAAATCAGTGCATGAAATACCTTCTGAATACAGAAATACAGTTTAGAAAAGTTCAGTTTGTAGAGGATTTCATATGGTGACATTCGGCAGTTCAGTCCCAAGTTATTTTACCAGGGAGCACAATCACTGTGAATTTAGCAGCAACTACATTGCTGTTTTGACTCTCAGCCTTGAAGACCAGTGCTTGGTTTTGTGCATGCACCAAGAATGAATCCATCTCTTGAAGGCTGACTTACTAGAGACTGATCAGTAAAATCAAACTGCCAGTTTGTTTGTACAGTTTCATGGCACATAAAACTGTTACATCGGCAAGAGTCCTCACATCAACATGACTAGCACATTCTCTCGCTGTAGAAGACCAAGAAAAGAAGTTAGGCCAGCCCTAGAAGGCTGTATGATGAACATGGACTCAGGATACAGGAAGTGAGAGCAGCTGAGTGGCTGAAGGTATCAGGCCTGAGGTGGCCAATAGATGCTCCCAGGAGCCAGATAAGTAGGAGAAGTGGGTGAAGGTACCCTCTGAGGGCTTTGGACAGGCAGAGAGCAGTCTGCAAGGGACAACTGTTATTAATTCTGATTGTTGCTACAAGGGAATAAGAGTTTTTTCAAGTAAAGTAATAAATGGAGAATCTGATATAAAACGTTTTCATTCAAAAAACATTTCCAGTGTGGCTGGGCACCATGGCTCACGCCTGCAATCCCAGCAGTTTGGGAGGTCAAGGTGGGCAGATCACTTAAGGTCAGGAGTTGGAGACCAGCCTGGCCAACATGGTGAAACCCTGTCTCTACTAAAAATACAAAAAAAAAAAAAAGAAAAAGAAAAAGAAAAATTAGCTGGCCATGGTGGCACACACCTGTAATCCCAGCTACTTGGGAGGTTGAGGCATCAGAATTGCTTGAAACTGGGAGGCGGAGGTTGCAGTGAGCTGAGACTGCTCCACTGCACTCCAGCCTGGGTGACAGAGCAAGAATGTCCCAAAAACAAACAAACAAACAAAAAATGTCCAGTGTGAAAGAAAAAAACCAAGGCTACAGTTTTCCAAAGTGGAGGCAGGAGATTGTGCAATCCTTTCACAAAGGTCAAACCACAAAATGTTCTAATAGATTTAAATAAACAACCAAAGTCAGTATCCACCAGCTTTCAAAATCCATCAGTTGGGAGTGCCTTCATTAACTAACCAATCAGAACTGGTTTGCAATTTAGGATTTCTGCCTAGCCAATGAACTGCCTATGGAAACAATTTTTCATGGAAATCCCCTATAGAAAACCTCTCCTGCATTTGCCTTACAAGACACTATTGGAGGCTGCCCTGATTCAGTGTACCAGAATTGCAATTCTTGGTTTCCCAAATAAATGTTATTTATTTTGACCTCATGTTGATCTTTTTTTTAGTTTTTTTTGTTGTTGTTGTTGTTTTTTAAGCTAATGTCAGAAATGGGACCTGAAGTGATCTTACTCAGTGGTCCACGGACCAGTGTTCTATAAAGTACGGTGAAGTCCACACAACAAAGAGCCACTTGTACTCTCTGCTTCCTCGGATCACAGACTCCCTTGCTCATGAGTCCTCTCAGGCTCTGGCCTCCTTCCCTTTGGTTTTGGTCAATGTCTTTATTTGGGAATCTGAGAACAGTTGTTCCATCTGTGCCCACAAAGACTTTTAGGCTGTGCAAGAGTTTTCCTCGTTTATCAAGAGTTTGCCAATATTTACGTTTTCCTATTAGTGAGTATTATTATTATTGTTATAAGTATGGGATTCTTTAATTCTAAACCTTGTAATGATTGTTCCACTTCTGGAACTCCTGCTGGTTTTACGTTAAAAAAAATTATGAACGGTGAACCTGCATTTATCTAGAATACTGGAGCTTCTATACAAACGATGCTTTCAAATTACAACAGCCAAAGTACAATTCCTTTGATATATCAAAACTAGATTGTCTCCTAACTAAATTAGAAGACCAGTGTTCTAAAACAAAACAATCTGAATGGGGTGCATATTTTAATTGACATTTAGAGGTGTCCAAACACATTCAGGACTCTAAAAATTGCCTCTCTTCAAAACACAGTCTCTAAACTCACAGAGGCTAATAAAAAATTTAAAAAGAAAGAAAAATGTCTTCGAGGCTCAGATTTCTTCCTTCAACTCTCATTTCCTGACTTCTTTTTCTACATACTGGACTTGTTGAACTTCCTTTCTATTTTTTGACACTGAAGCTTCTCTTGATTCCCTTGTTTATGTTAAACCTGTTCAAATTCATCATTTCAATCTCCATCCACATAATGAAGGCACTCACAAATATTTCTTATATACCCTGGACAAAAGTCAAACTTAGGGATATGGCTAAAGAGTTTCCCAAGGTTTCTGAGGATCTTCATAAATTTGCTAAGATTTTCAAATTGTTATCCATACTTATGAACCTAGTTTCTCTGACCTTTATCAATTAATACATATGCTTATTGAAGAAAGTCAGGCACAACATTGAATAGCAAAAGCAGGCTGGAACAATCCTCTAACAAACCTCCAATGCAGTATGCCTCTTGATAAGGAAAAAGCCCATGAAAGAATCAAAACTTTATACCAAGCCATTGTTTTAAGTATTCCCTAAACCAATAGACTGTAACAAGAGTCAGGCCTACACCCAAAAGGAAGGTGAGGCAGTACATGACTATTACAACAGACTTGAAATAGTTTTCAAGAAAATCTGAATGCTCCCCTTGGACACTGAATCTACCAAACTGGCTTTTAATTCTATGTTCATAAACGGCTTAGATGAAGATCTTGCAATTCTAGTTAAACAGGGTTGGTTTAATTGGAAATAATGCCCACCTCTGATTTAGTTAACCTGGACAACCAATTATCCCAAACAATTTCTAAGATCAATAATGTGAGGCAAATAAGATAATGATGCTACAGCTTTAGCAGCTTTCTACCTTCATAATAAAAGATAGCAGTCTAACACCAGAAAATCAAATCTTAAAGGGGTCTGTCACTGTTACAAACAGCGTGGACATTGGGAAAAAAATATGTACAATTAAAACCTGTTGAACAAACCCTTAATAAGCTGGCCTCTATGTCCCTTATGGACTGAGGGTACTCCCAGGAAAGAAGGTGATCTTTCAGATCTTGCCTCTTTATCATTTGGGTGAAACTTTCCTAATGATTGGAAAGAAGGTTCTCACTGTCCTTTTTGACACTGGAGCAACCTTCTCTGTGCTTACTCCCACCAACCTCAAGCAGCCCCTTCCTTGAGTACTGAGTACTGAAAAAATTCAAATGGCGGGAGTTTCTAATGATCATTAACACTTTACACATCTTTACCCTTGCTTTTTCAATTGGATCCTCTCTGGGACAGTCATTATTTTACACTAGTTCCCTCAGCCATAGTTCACTTACTTGGAAGGGACTTAGAAAGTTTCATGCTGCCATTTCCTTTTCTGAAAAGGGGGAGATAATTTTTGAAATCCACTCAACCCCCTCTTTATTTATTAATTTAATTTAATGTGTTCAGAGACAACATCTCACTCTGTTGTCCAGGCTGGAGTGCAGTGGCATGATCATTGCTCACTGCAGCCTCAAACTCCTAGGCTCAAGCAATCCTCCCACCTCAGCCTCCTGAAGTAGCTGGGTCAACAGGCATGGACTACCACACCTGTCTAATTTTTAAATTTTTGTAGAGATGGGGGCTTGCTATGTTGCCCAGTCTGGTCTTGAACTCCTGGCCCCAAGTGATCCTCCTGCCTTGGCTTCCCAAAGTGCTGGGATTACAGGCATGAGCCACTGTGCCTGACCTAACCCCTGCTTTTACTAATAACAGTAAGAATTCTTCAACATCTTGGGGAATTTCTGCCCTTAACTTAAATAACGAAGATACTGAGTTTTTCAAAAGAGTTTCCTAAGGAACTTTGGGCTAAATCAATAACAAACATTGGATGAATCCATTTGGCTCCCCCATTAAAGATTCAAATGGACCCAAAGAACCCCCCAACTAACCAGATAATACTCCCTAGGCCTTGAAGCTCTTGCAAGAATTAAACAAATTATAAAAGAAAATAAAGCCAATAATCTTATAATGCCTCGTACTAGTCCTGTAATACTTCTATCCTTCCTGTAAAGAAACCTCATAGATGAGGATGAAGATTTGTACAAAACCTAAAAGCCATTAATAACAATGTCACTCCTTGACACCATGTTGTTCCAAACCTGCATACCCTCCTGGCTTGACTTTCATCCCCACAGATGGTTAGTTTTTTCACAGTGATAGATCTTTGTAGTGCTTTTTTTCCTTTAGCATTCCCGTGTGTGCTGATCATAATTCTGAAAGACACAATCTCAAATGCCATAACCTGAATGTTGACATTCTGAAAGATCAAAATCCCTAAAGTTTAAAATCCTGAATGTATAAGATCCTGCCAAGAAGATTAAAATCCTGAGTGTTGAAATCTTGAAAGCCAAATTCTGGGGAAGATATTAGTTCTTTTCTGGTTGTACACATTATGTTAATTGTGTCGTATTAGGTAAAACTATTACCTTGTTATTGTCTTTATTTGGAAATTAGGTATGGTTTAAGGAGATACATACGGGTGCCAAGTTGACAAGGGGTAGACTTGTGGACTTAATTTTAAGTGTCAACTTTACTGGATTAATGAATACCTAGAAACCTGGTAAAGCATTATTTTGGATGTGTCCATGAGGGTATTTCCAGCAGAAATGAGTGTGTGAGTGTGAGTGGACTAGGTGGGGAAAATCTGTCCCCAGTGTTGATGGGCACCATCCAACTGACTGGGGGCTCAGAGAGAACAAATACAGAAGGTGAATTGGTCTCTCTCTCTCTCTCTCTCTCTGAAAGCTAGGACAGACTTTTTTCCTGCTGCCTTGCACATCAGAATTGCAGGTTCTAGGATTTACATCAGTAGCCCCTTAGGTCTTGAGGCTTTTGGCCTTGGACTGAGTTATACCATCAGCTTCCCTCGTTCTGAGGCCTTTGGATTTGGACTGAGCCACACTAATGGCATTCCAGGGTCTCCAGCTTTCAGATACTCTGTTGTGGGACTTTTCAGCTACCATAATTGCATGAGCCAATTCTCCTAATAAATCTCCTCTCATATGTCTATATATACATATCCTATTGGTTCTGTATTTCTGGAGAATGCTGATTAATACAGATTTGATGTTGGGGAAACAAATAGCATTCCTTCTTACCGTGTATGCAAGAAATCTGTGAAATTGTTCCCTTGCCAAAAAGCTATGATAAGTTTAGTGTATGAGTCTACTTCATGGTGAAAGATAAAGTTTAAAAGCTAATTATTATTGGTGCTGCAAAATCAGAAAGCATTTAGTCGTAATAGCCATGCAATAACCAGACTTTCAAATTTGTACAACCACTCTCCAAATACAAGTGCAGCAAGTGTTTTGAAGGTCATAGAAGACATACAAACACAGGGAAAATTATAAGAAATTTCCCGTCAGATGCCCTCTCTCACCACTCCTATTCAACATAGTGTTGGAAGTTCTGGCCAGGGCAATTAGGCAGGAGAAGGAAATAAAAGGTATTCAATTAGGAAAAGAGGAAGTCATATTGTCCCTGTTTGCAGATGACATGATTGTATATCTAGAAAACCCCATTGTCTCAGCACAAAATCTCCTTAAGCTGATAAGCAACTTCAGCAAAGTCTCAGGATACAAAATCAATGTACAAAAATCACAAGCATTCTTATACACCAATAACAGACAAACAGAGAGCCAAATCATGAGTGAATTCCCATTCACAACTGCTTCAAAGAGAATAAAATACCTAGGAATCCAACTTACAAGGGACGTGAAGGACCTCTTCAAGGAGAACTACAAACCACTGCTCAAGGAAATAAAAGAGGATACAAACAAATGGAAGAACATTCCATGCTCATGGGTAGGAAGAATCAATATCGTGAAAGTGGCCATACTGCCCAAGGTAATTTATAGATTCAATGCCATCCCCATCAAGCTACCAATGACTTTCTTCACAGAATTGGAAAAAACTACTTTAAAGTTCATATGGAACCAAAAAAGAGCCCGCATCGCCAAGTCAATCCTAAGCCAAAAGAACAAAGCTGGAGGCATCATGCTACCTGACTTCAAACTATACTACAAGGCCACAATAACCAAAACAGCATGGTACTGGTACCAAAACAGAGATATAGATCAATGGAACAGAACAGAGCCCTCAGAAATAACACCGCATATCTACAACAATCTGATCTTTGAGAAACCTGAGAAAAACAAGAAATGGGGAAAGGATTCCCTATTTAATAAATGGTGCTGGGAAAACTGGCTAGCCATATGTAGAAAGCTGAAACTGGATCCCTTCCTTACACCTTATACAAAAATTAATTCAAGATGGATTAAAGACTTAAACGTTAGACCTAAAACCATAAAAACCCTAGAAGAAAACCTAGGCAATACCATTCAGGACATAGGCATGGGCAAGGACTTCATGTCTAAAACACCAAAAGCAATGGCAACAAAAGGCAAAATTGACAAATGGGATCTAATTAAACTAAAGAGCTTCTGCACAGCAAAAGAAACTACCATCAGAGTGAACAGGCAACCTACAAAATGGGAGAACATTTTCGCAACCTACTCATCTGACAAAGGGCTAATATCCAGAATCTACAATGAACTAAAACAAATTTACAAGAAAAAAACAACTCCATCAAAAAGTGGGTGAAGGACATGAACAGACACTTCTCAAAAGAAGACATTTATGCAGCCAAAAAACACATGAAAAAATGCTCACCATCACTGGCCATCAGAGAAATGCAAATCAAAACCACAATGAGATACCATCTCACACCAGTTAGAATGGCAATCATTAAAAAGTCAGGAAACAACAGGTGCTGGAGAGGATGTGGAGAAATAGGAACACTTTTACACTGTTGGTGGGACTGTAAACTAGTTCAACCATTGTGGAAGTCAGTGTGGCGATTCCTCAGGGATCTAGAACTAGAAATACCATTTGACCCAGCCATCCCATTACTGGGTATATACCCAAAGGACTATAAATCATGCTGCTATAAAGACACATGCAGACGTATGTTTATTGCGGCACTATTCACAATAGCAAAGACTTGGAACCAACCCAAATGTCCAACAATGATAGAATGGATTAAGAAAATGTGGCACATACACACCATGGAATACTATGCAGCCATAAAAAATGATGAGTTCATGTCCTTTGTAGGGACATGGATGAAATTGGAAATCATCATTCTCAGTAAACTATCACAAGAACAAAAAACCAAACACCACATATTCTCACTCACAGGTGGGAATTGAACAATGAGAACACATGGACACAGGAA
This sequence comes from Homo sapiens, assembly GCF_000001405.40. NCBI lineage: Eukaryota > Metazoa > Chordata > Mammalia > Primates > Hominidae > Homo > Homo sapiens. Next base: position 51,153,621 of record NC_000014.9, read on the forward strand.
GGGGAACATCACACTCTGGGGACTGTTGTGGGATGGGGGGAGGGGGGAGGGATAGCTTTGGGAGATATACCTAATGCTAGATGAAGAATTAGTGGGTGCAGCGCACCAGCATGGCACATGTATACATATGTAACTAACCTGCACATTGTGCACATGTACCCTAAAACTTAAAGTATAATAATAATAAAATAAAAAAAATAAAAAAAAGAAATTTCCCGTCAAATTATTCAAGCATGTGCAAGTTCTGACCCTTCTCATATAGTGCCAATTTGTTATGCTATATATTTCATCTTCACATCATTTTTAATACTGGAAATATAAATGGTATAAAGACTTTTAGAGCATCCTAATTGGTTTTATTCAATTTTTGCAAATTTGACTCCATAAACATGCACTATCACAATGTTGTGCATGTATATAGAAATGTTGAAACTTCCTCAATAAATGAAGAGATGTCCTTTTGGTACACCTGCATCTGTGAAAGGTTAAATTTCTTGATCTTGACTCTCTGGACAACAATCTTAGTTTCTGATTGATCTCATCAAAAAACTTAGGTTGTCTCATCACAGTATTTCAGATGACTACAGTTGTAAAATTGTGTGCACACAGTTACCAACCATAGTGATATGCATTTATACATTTTGCCTTTTGATCTATTTTTTAATGAATATGGTTCATCTGCTCATAACTATTATACCCATGTAATTGTTGTTAATGTACCTGTTCATGCTTGGAAAATATGTGTATTATTATATGATTGCTATTTTATTGTGTGAACTAGCCTATGACGTGTTCTGTCTTGTTTTTATGTTTCTCAAATAAACCCCCTTTTGGATGCCCCATTCTCCATGATGTGCTTATTTCACATTGCATGCTTGTATCAAAATATCTCATGTACCCCATAAATATATACACCTACTATTTACCCACAAAAATAGAAAATTAAGGCCAGGCATGGTGGCTCACGCCTGTAATCCCAGCACTTTGGGAGGCTAAGGTGGGTGGATCTGAGATCAGGAGATGGAGACCATCCTGGCTAACACAGTGAAACCCCGTTTGTACTAAAAATACAAAAAATTAGCCGGGCATGGTGGCAGGTGCCTGTAGTCCCAGCTACTTGGGAGGCTGAGGCAGGAGAATGGCATGAACCTGGGAGGCAGAGCTTGCATAAGAACGCACCACTGTACTCCAGCCTGGGCAACAGAGTGAGACTGCATCTCAAACAAAAAAAAAACAAAAAAAAAAAAAAAGGAAAAGGAAAGAAAATTAAAAAAATAAAATCTAATTTAAAAAGTACATAAATGTATTTTTAAAAAATTTTAAATTTATTTCTTCCATAATTATATTTTTGGGATTTTGATCTTTCCATATTTCAACATTCAGGATTATGACATTTGGGATTGTCTTTTTGGATTATGACCCAAACCCTTCCTTTTATTTACCTTCATGTGTGAAGAACAACAATATACCTGGAAAATAATGCCCTAAGAATATACTGAAAGCCTCTCTTTTTTTTTTCACAGAGACTGAAGACAGATTTAACAAACATGTCTTTCCCTCAGGTTTGACGCTCTTGCAGTATGTTGATGATGTTGTTTCCCTTCTAAGGAGGCTTATGAACATGATAGTGTTCATTCCTTAACCTTCTAGCAGACAAAGGCCATAAAGTTTCTACAGAAGAGATTCCAGGCTCATGTTAAATATTTAGGATTTTTAAGATCAAAGATATTATCTTGGATATCAAGAATTTCTCTTAGATCCTGACAGACTAAAGGGTATTTTAAACTTTCCTCAACCTCAGACTAATATACAATTTACGAGAGTTTTGGGGCCTAGCAGGTACTGTTGAAACTAGATGCTTAATTTTTCCTTGATAGGTCAGACCTTATATGCCCTTCTAAAACTTGACAAACTAGATCTCCCAGACTATGAAGAGAATGCTTGTATAGCATTCTATCAATTAAAAGAACTCCTAAGTCCTCCTGCCTAGGGCACCTCAATTACCAGCTCTTATTCTCTCTTTTTGTGCATGAAAGATGTCAACCTAAATAACAGACAGAGATAGACTCTTTAAGAGAAAATGATATTTATTTGAGAACGGGCATCGTAACAAAAATACAAGCTATAGTAAACTATACCCTGGGGCAAGGAGAAGTTTTAAAGGCAAAATAAGTAGAGTTATAAAAATTGTTTTGAAACAACAATCCTTGGCTACAAGGATCAGTAACCAGAGTGGCATTAGTCCAAGGCTGGACAGGCAGTTTCTGGGTAGATATCCTCGCAGAAGTAATTTTCTGTGTGTGAAATTGCACACACAATGAGATGAGATTTGGAGGGAAGAAAACAAGGTTGTAGTTTTTGTAGAGTCTTTTATGATAGTTCTTGTTATCAAGCATTCATGCATGTGAGCTCTTCATGGCCTTCCCTGACTTCATTTGTCAGAGTTTTAACACAAGTTATTCTATTTTGATTGTGATTTTACATTTTACATTTCCCCTTTAGATTGAGATCTTTTCCCAAAAGCATCACTGATGAATCATTCTGTAGTTAGATTTCCATTATCCTTTGGTGCTGGAATACATCAGTCCCAGTTTGTTGGTCTGGTCCTACATCAGAGGGAGTGACTAGTAACATGGAGTAAATGTCAAAATCCTTTTAGCCACATTTGAGCAACAAGGTAGGTTTGGAGGGAGTGGCTTTCAGGCTCAGTCTACCTAGAGTCCATTGTTAAGTTCAATTTTGTCTCTTCTGTAGGCACTGGCTATCATCTCAAATTGCTGGTCCAATATTATTCTGTTAGGAGCTGTACTTCTGCAGAAATTTAAAAAGTAACAGTGTTATGGTTTGGATGTTTTGTCCCCTCCAAATCTCATGTTGAAATGTAATCCCTAATGTTGGAGGTGGAGTATGATGGCAGGTATTTGAAACGAGGGGGTGGATCCCTCATGGACAGCTTGGTGCCATCCTCACAGTACTGAGTCTTACTCTATGAGTTCACATGATTTCTGGTTGTTTAAAAGAGCCTGGAAACTCCTCCTCACTCTCTTGTTCCCTCTCTCAGCATGTGACATGCTGGCTCCCCTTCACCTTCTGCCATGATTGTAAACTTCATGAGGCCCTCACCAGAAGCAGATACTGAAGGCATGCTTGCACAGCCTGTAGAACTGAGCCAATTAAACTTCTTTTCTTTATCAATTACTCAGCCTCTGGTATTCCTTTATAGCAATGCAAATGGACTAACATAAACAGGTTTTCTTTAAAAAGAAAACATAGAGTAAAATTACTAGTAATATGAAAATCTCAGTTTGCATAGTGGTTTTTAGCCACGAACCTCGGCTTAAAGGCAATTGAATGAATAAATCAAATAACCATGGGTAACTAGGTGAAACCTGTTGTAATTATATGACCTGTTTTCTTATTTTGTGTATGTGGGTCACCACTTCTCCAGAGGAATTTATCCAGGTACAGCATGTAATATTAGCAGTATCATAGACATTTTCTTATTTAACAAACAGGTAATATAGAACAATTTTATCATCCAGTATCCCATGACTGGGTTGAATTAAAGCAGAGAGTGAGCAACAGTCATATTAGGGATATTGCCAAAGTTACCCACTAGGTGGACTAAAGGATCTCTTAGGTCAAGGTCTGTCAAATGTCTAGCATAAGCTACTGAGTGAGAAATTTCAATTACATTATTTTCCTGCCAAGTGGAAAAAGTCCTACCTTTTACCACTAAAAGGGATAAGAGTCTCATTACAATATGGTGTCTTGTTGCAATGTCTTAGGAAAAGCTGTTTATGGCAGAAAGCCATCAACTTCTTGTTCTTGTTTGCATGTCTCTGGTTATGGCATTGGGTCCCTAGTTATGGCATTGGGTAGTTTGAACTTTCTATGTGGCCCACATATCAGATGAGATTTGTTTCTTAAAAATTATCTAGTCTCAGCCTATAGGACTCCAGGAACAGAGAACATTTCCATTGTTAGTGATATTATGGAAGAAAGTTGGATTGGAGGAACATAGAAGAATTCAGGATCCAGTCTAACCTACAGGTAGATAATGAAAAAAGCAATACAGAAGGCTGCAATTTAATAATGGGTGTATTGTAGCTTTTTGGGGAAACATACAACTTTTCTCTCCACAGTCTTTTTGATTTCTACCAAAGATAATAAGAGTGAGGAAAATTTGTAAAATAAGTTGAGTCTCACTGATTTTGGTCTGATTATTTCACAAGTGCAGCAGGACTAGTAATTCATTACATAAGAATTTTAGATTTAAAAACATCTCAAGGCTAACAAGACAAACCAAAGCAGACTTCATATTTTACCTACTGTCTTGAGGTTCCTAAGCCTGTTAGAAAGTGACCATTTTTACTCACTCACCATAAGGCTGAGAACCCTTGAAGCCAGGCATCCTATGTACATTCTCAAGTATGACATTCCAGTGAAAACCTGGGTAATATAAGCAATGTTTCCAATGCTAGGGAGGAGACTTTTATTGAAATTATGCAGACAGTTGTTTTACCATAAAAATAAGAATACTCGTGAATAGTATCCAGACTTTGGAGGGATCAAGTAGGAGAAGAAGTAAATGCTTACACTTTTGTTCATATGAGTATACTTTACCAAATTAAACTATAGATAGCTTAAGATAAAAAGTTTTCTTAAGCCTGAAAAACACTTAGTAAAGAACCAACAATGTCTCAAATAAAAGTCATAAAACATTATCTTTATCAGTTATTCAATCTCACGTAATTTTTGTTTTGCTTGATCCTGATTAGCAGCTTTATAAATTCATCAGTTTCTTCATCAGAGTTCTGGAAATTTGTTTTAGTCCACTGATCTTAAAGTTACTGGAAACCTATATTTAAGAATATTTGTTAGAGCCTTTTCCATGAATCTGATTGAAAGTGCTTTTAGAGAAGAATCGAAACTGTGAATGACAGAGACTTAGAATAGCCATGATTAAAAATTTGATAAAAGTGTATTATAATCAGCAATTGATATGGAAATTTGGTTATTTCTGTGGTATACAACATTTTAACACAACAACTGAAATTATGACTGATACCATTAGATTTCTATGAATCTATATAATTTTTGAAATAATATACCTATAAATGTAACTGAAAAAAGATCTAGCATCATTGATCATTTGACGAGGCTTTCAATATAATTCAACATCCCAAATAAGCCTTATTTAGTACAATATAACTTTTTTTTTTTTTTTGACACAATCTTGCTCTGTCACCCAGGCTAGAGTGCAGTAGTGCGACGTTGGCTCACGGCAACCTCTGCCTCCTGGGGTCTGCCTCAGCCTCCCAAGTAGCTGGGATTACTGGCATAAGTCACCAAGCTCGGCTAATTTTTGTATTTTCAGTAGAGACAGGGTTTCACCATGTTGGCCAGGCTGGTCTCGAACTCGTGGCCTCAAGTGATCTGTCTGCTTTGGCCTCCCAAAGTGCTGGGATTACAGGCCCACGTGAGCCACTGTGCCCGGCCCAATATCTCACTTTTATGAGCCTTTAAGAAGTTCTGGGGCCTCTGGAACATCCCAAAGTTAGTTCAAAGTCAAAAAAGACTTAATTTAGAACTTGATCCTTGGGAAGCCTAGCAAGGATATCAAAAGATTCAAAACACTTGATCAAAATAGGAACACAGGTCACTGTGAAATAATAGTCACTTATTTAACCAGAGTGGTAATCAAAGACTTCAAAAGTTATACAGAAAGTTACATAGATGTAAAAACAAAACAAAACCCCTTAACTCTTTCAAAACTCAGTTTTCCTAAGTAATCACAAAACTAATAAAGACAACATGAAACACAGGAAATTATCTTGATAAAATGTAAAATTTTTGTTTCTTAGACCAGTTACCAAAAAGGTAAAGAAAGCCTCCTGCAGTGTGATGGTTTCTCCTAATGGAAAGCCCGTTTAGCAAACCTGGAGGTTGAACCTGATGAGAAAGTACTTGAATTTAATCAAACACAGGAAGAATATGTGCTCAAGGCTATGAGTGTACCCCATATTATAGAGGAATGTAAATAAGAAAACTAGTACCTTGAGCAGGAAAATACATGGCTTTTAGTAAGAGTATGGGAAATTTCCTGGTTACATGGAACAATTTGGACACATCACGGAAAGCCAAGAGTATAGAATCAAGTTATACTGGAGGAAAACATTGCTCTAAATTGTAAATCTCAGTTCAGATGATTGAAAACATAAAGAAACAGATTTCAGAATTAAATCAAAACCTCTTGCAAATTTTACCAAGAACAGATCAATTCTTCAAGGAAACCTTCTTGTAACATGGAGAACCACATTTTAGTTTTATATCAGTGTATTTTTAATATCAAAGCTCAATCTTTTTTTTTTTTTTTGAGATAAGTTCTCGCTCTGTTGCCTAGGCTGGAGTACAGTGGCATGATCTTGACTCACTGCAACCTCCACCTCCCAGGCCTGAGGCGAAAGCGATCCTTTCACCTCAGCTTCCCAAATATCTGGGACTACAGGCATATGGCACCACACTGAGCTAATTTTTTAATGTTTTTGTAAAGATGGGGTCTCACAATCTTGTCCAGGTTGGTCTTGAACTCCTGGGCTCAAGTGATTCTCCTACGTCAGGCTCCCAGAGTGCTAGGATTACAGGTGTGTAATCTCCACCCAGCTTCAAAGATCAATCTTTAGAAAGATACAAATAATTTCCTTCTAATTATAGCTAACTTGATCATGCACAGAAGTTCTTTCATAAATTCATGCTTCACAAGCCTTTCATGGCTTACTCAGACCTTCCACAACCTACTTAGGCCTTCTGCCTTGTCCTATACTTCCTCTTTCTTTCTTTTTTTTTTTCTGAGACGGAGTCTAGCTGTCTCCCAGGCTGGAGTGCAGTGGCGCGATCTTGGCTCACTGCAAACTCTGCCTCCCGGGTTCACACCATTTTCCTGCCTCAGCTTCCCCAGCAGCTGGGACTATAGGCGCCCACCACCATGCCCAGCTAATTTTTTGTATTTTTAGTAGAGACAGGGTTTCACCGTGTTAGCCAGGATGGTCTCGATCTCCTGACTTCGTGATCTGCCTGTCTCGGCCTCCCAAAGTGCTGGGATTACAGGTGTGAGCCACTGTGCCCTGCCTACTTCCTCTTTCTTAAATAATCAGTCATTTTACTTTAGGAGAAAAAAATTACTTTCTTTTTCCTCATCATTTTGAAAACTATTCTCTTTTTAACCTTCCTCATCAAAAATACATGTTCATACTTAATAACTTTCTATGCAATGCTCCTTCCTACTTACTGATTCCTTTCTAACTTGTTTCTCTTTTTCTTCCTGCTGTAGTTTGAATGTTTGTCCCCTCCAAAACTCACGTTAAAACTTAATCCCCTATGTGTTACTATTGAGAGGTGGGGCCTTTAAGAGGTGATTGAGTCATGAGGGCTTTTCAACCATTCACGGATTCATGGGTTAATCATGGGAGTGGACTGGTGGCTTTATAAGAGAGAACTGAGACAGCATGCTTAGCCCCCTCACCATGTGCTATCCAGCATTGCTTTGGGACTTTCCAGAGGGTCCCTACTGGCAAGAAGATACTGACCAGATGTGACCCCTTGACTTTGGGCTCCTTGGGAGTAAACTTATTTTCTTTATTAATTACCCAGTTTCAGGTATTCTGTTATAAGCAATAGAAAATGATACTAAGATACTTTCTAAATTTACTTTTTTGAAACAACCTTAAATAATGTCTGAATTTAGAGAAAATTATACTTTTCAATACAGCACACATTTTTATGCCTTTCTTACAATTTTTCTTACCAAAAACACATCTTATTTTGGGGACATATTTTGTACACAGAATTATATACATTAATTAGAACTTTTAATTCTCAGTTACCTTAATTTCTAGCAAAAACTTAGGAAGTAAGCAGTTCTGAACTGTCTATTACATATCAGTATTTTATAGATGAGAACCATTTAATAATTTTTAGAAACATGTTTCACATAACATAATTTTTATGTGTATTAATAGGCCAAAATACATTTAGTTTCTCTATGAAATTCAAGAAGCCAAGAACAAACTTACATTTATGTCCAGCAATTTGTTTCAGTATTTTATCTTATTTGAAAGTTATCCATACATTTAATGAGTATCTATTACTTAATTTAATATCACATAATTTTAGGATTTCAAATTATGTGAAAAGTTTATTTATAAATATTTATCCCATGTACAGTTATCTAATTTATTCATTTTTAATAATTATACCTAGATTATGAAAATTGAGCTATTAGATAAAGCTAGTCATGATTTCAAGTTATTTCCTAGTTAACCATTTTTACAGCATGTGACTGTCAGGTGAATCACCTAAGTAAGAACCTTAAAATTAAATATATAGGTATCTTGCTGATAACTCAGAAAATACAGCTGTGTTCATTATACCGACAATATTAAATTAGTCTTATCAAAGACTCACACAAAGATCATTCTGTTTTTAGGTTGGGTTTACAGTTTTAAGACCTTAAAACATCCAGCAGAGACAAATGTGATCTTACCAGTAAACCTAGGTGAAAATGTATGCTGACAATTCTGAAGACATTTCTATTTTTATTTTATCAACACATTTAAAACCAGATTATTTATCAAAGATTTACATAAGTCACGTGAACTAAAATGCATTTGGGTTAATTACTATATATTTCAGCAATTTATATGAGGACTCACTTATTTAAGCCAATCTGAATAGAATTCTGTAAAGGGATTTCTGGCTGACTACACCAGATTCTACCGTATAGACACACCATACAACATAATACATATACGTATGTGTAAACACAGCTAAACACATGTACACACAAAGATTATATAGTTTTCCTTTTAGAATTTTAGTCATGATACAGTACAACATGGTAATATAAATTCACTAGTATAAAAGGAGAGTTGGATCCAAATTGTGTTTTTGACAAAACGGGATCCCTTCACATGGCTAAACTTTACTTGCTCTGATAGGTAATATTATGAAGGCTGTGGACTAAAATGTTGGGTAAAGTAATTTGATTAAAAATATATATATTTTACCCTCCCCACTCCCCTTTAGTTTTAAATGAGATTAAGGTTAAATTTTCAAATGTTTACATTTTGTCTAGCTCTGGCTGAACTGTATAAAAGAAAACAAAAGCCCCAAGTAGTCTTGAATTTTTGTTATGAATTTATATTTTGTTTGCTGAGTTGGTTTGCTTGATTAGTCAATGAAGGCGTGGAAGCATTTTAGAAAGGTATTTGCAGTTTTTCTTTTTGGCTTTTTCTGGCTTCTGCATGACAGGCAAGGTAGTTTTTATGCTGGACAAAGATATTATTGCTCTAAGCACAAGATTTTGATGTATTGTTCTGACAGCCTAACTTTTATAAACATTTATCAAGTTATTTTCTTTTACATTACCAATCCTTCAATTAGCTGTTCTATCACCCTAACCAACTGTTAGCCAGGCAAACCTACATTTACATTTCCAAAAGAATGACTCAGGTTTCTAGGATGTTGGTTACCAGGGAGTTTTTGTAAATTATAAAGCCATTAATTTGAAAGTCCTTTAAGATTTTATTTTTCTATCTTGCCTGGAATGCCATAGCATATCTTGATACTAGCAGAAAAGTCATCAGATTCAAAGTAGGTAGAAAAAAAAATAGAGAACTTAGAGGGCTCTATATGTTAGCTCTAAAATTAAAGTTTCTAATCCAATTCTAAGAAAAACAGGCTTGGGGAGTTCAAATGATCTTCATAATGGCCACTGATTTAAAAATTTGCCTGAAGAAAAGTCATGAGGTGTCCCAGAAAGCTTGGCATGCCTTAATGTTTGAAAATCCCATTCCATTTCTTATTAATCTCTTAAGAACAAAGAAAATCCTACAAATCCTATCAGAGAATGTCAAAAGTTTGGACCAGTGTCTTAGATGGTGACAACCATCCTAGTGGCTTTTAGCCAGCCATCATGTGCCCATCATTTAGAATGCTTTCCCCCTATCCTCTTTCAGCAGACATCTGTCAGAAACAAGCAAGGGAAAACAAAGTAAAAGAGCAAATCATTTACAGATGCAAGTAACCAAACCAAAATGAAACAAAAATTAAGACTGCTCACAAAAACTTTAATCCAGACATGTAGGCCAAACAAAATATTAAACTACATGCACAGAAAGAACCAAAAATGAATTTGCCAGAAAGACATGCCTCACAGATGGAATGTAAATTCTGCAGAAACCAGAAGGGCACTTGTCTCTACAAGTGACAAAAAGGGCTTGTCAGAAAAAACCTTTACAGTCCCAAGAGGAAGGCATGGTCCTTTTTTAAGAAGGCAGCCTTAAAACCAAATCAGGTCCTGAATAAAGTCAAAAGAACTCACCAAAAAAAAAGGAGCCTGAGAATCTGAGAGGAGATTCACGGGCAGAAAAGGCAACTTCATGGAAGCAGAGAATGCAGAGGGCTCAGTAAGTAGTGCACTGTATTACAGTGTACAAGGTGAGCTTACTTTGGCCCCGCTTCTGAACACTAAATGATGTCAACCTAAATAACAGAGAGAGGCTCTTTAGAAGAAAATTATACTTATTTGAGAATGGGCATTGCAATGAGATTATGTATGCAGAGTAAACTAGGTACATATTTAAGGAGGTGGGGGTGAGGGGACTTTTTAAAGGCAAAATGAGAAGAATAACATAAATTGTTTTGAAACAAGAATCCTTGGTTATAAGGATCAATAGCAAGGGTGGCATCTTCCAAAGGTTGACAGGTAGTTGCTGGGCAGATGTGCTTGCAAAAGTATTTTTGTGTGTAAGCTTGCAATAACCTTTTGTAATGTTGTGGATTTTGCAGTCTTTTGTGACAGTTCTTGTTATGAAGCATTAGTGCATGAGTACTTTCCTTTCATGGCCTTCCCCAGCTTCATTTGTCAGAGTTTTAACACAAGTGACTCTATTTTGATTTTGACAACTTTCACTAAGACAATGAAATGAGTTGGACGTTCTTACCCAGAAACATGGAGATCAATACAGACCTGCTGGCTATTAGAACCAGCAGTTACTTTTAATAGATAAGGGGCTTCCTCCCTGCATGAGAGCTATCTAAGCCATCACGGTTTTAACTAAATCTATGGAAGAGATAGTCATGGGCTCTCTTCTTACTATCTATGTTCCTCATGAAGCATTACTCAACTCTCATCATACTTAACATCTTTCTGCAAGCAGACTCACTACTTAAGAGATCTTGCTCTGGATTTCTCTTTATATTATTCTGTGTCATGCAATAATATTAATCCAGCAACCCTCCTTCCCCTACCTGATGATGAGACACCACATGACTATCTAAATCTAACTGACCAGCTACTAAAACCTAGAGTTGATTTACAAGAAGCCCTTATACCAAATGCAAAACTTTCATGGTTTAAGATATATCATTTATGACAGACAATGAAGAAAAATATCTTGCTGAATATGCTACTATCACCTTATACTGAAGTAGTTGAAGCAGTCCCACTGCAAATGACTAGTCTGGCCCAGCAAGCAAAACTTTATGCCTTAACCAGGGCTCGTATTCTGGTGAAAGATAAAACTGCAGATATTTACTCTGATAGCCATTATGCCTTTGTGGTTGTTCATGATTTTAGTATGCTTTGGAAACAGCATTTTTAACCTCCAAAGGAAACAAAATATAAAATGAAATTTTTATCAATAATTTATTAGATTCAATACAACCTCCCTCTTCCTTGGCCATCATCAAAGTTTCTGGGCACTCAAAATTGGATTCTGATAAAGCTAAAATGAAAAATTTTATTGGACTCATAATGGTTGCATTTTTTGCCCAGCATAAAATTTATGTGGTATGGTCTCAATAATAAAGTGGTATTACCAGAATCAATGAAAAAAAAAATCCCGACTCAGAATGATACATTAGATGATTCATTGGGCAACTGATAAACTTGTTAAGTTTTCTAACATAGTACTGGTGGGGAAATATTACAATGACAGCCAAAAGGCCACAACTGTCTTGTATTGTTTGTCCAAAATTCAACCACGGAAAGACAAGTCAGACAGTTCCAGGTCATTTTGGCATGCCTAATGGACCCTTTGAGGTTTAGCAAATAGACTGCATCCAGCCACCTCTCTCTCAAGATTCTAAATAGGTTTTTTTTTTTTTTTAGAACGGAGTCTTGCTCTGTCGCCCAGGCTGGAGTGCAGTGGTGCCATCTGGGCTCACTGCAAGCTCCGCCTCCCGGGTTCACACCATTCTCCTGCCTCAGCCTCCCAAGTACCTGGGACTACAGGCGCCCGCCACCACGCCCAGCTAATTTTTTGTATTTTTTAGTACAGACGGGGTTTCACCGTGTTAGCCAGGATGGTCTCAATCTCCTGACCTCATGATCCACCCGCCTTGCCCAAAATGCTGGGATTACAGGCGTGAGCCATCGTGCCCAGCCAATATGTTTGTTTTCTTTGATTTTTTTTTTTTTTTTGAGACAGAGTCTCGCTCTGTTGCCCAGGCTGGAGTGCAGTGGCGGGATCATCGCTCGCTGCAAGCTCCGCCTCCCGGGTTCACGCCATTCTCCTGCCTCAGCCTCCCAAGTGGCTGGGACTACAGGTGCCTGCCACCACGCCCGGCTAATTTTTTGTATTTTTATTAGAGACGGGGTTTCACAGTGTTAGCCAGGATGGTCTCGATCTCCTGACCTCGTGATCCGCCCGTCTCAGCCTCCCAAAGTGCTGGGATTACAGGCGTGAGCCACCGCGCCCGGCCGGCCAATGTGTTTTTGTTATGATTTGTATGTCTTCCTATTGGGTAGAAGCATTCCCTTGCCAACGTGCCACTGCCTCAGCCATTTCAAGACTATTAGAAAAGATTATTCCTCCACAGGGCATACATTCAGAGTTACATAGTGACTGAGGAGCTTACTTCACTGGCCATGTCATAAAACAAGTCTGTGAACTCTGGTCCATATTACAAGACTTTCATTGTACCTACCAGTTCCAATCTTCAAGATTGGTTGAAGGAACAAATAGCATTATCAAAACTCAGCTGGTAAAATTTGTGGAAGCACTGAAGTTGTCTTGGCCAGTGGTACTTCCTCTGGTCCTATTAAATCTAAGGTCTGCACCTTTTGGAAAGTTGTTACCTTTTAAAATTATCACTGCATGGCTGATGCATTTAGCCCACTCTGCTTTTAATGTTAAGTTGATTAAACCAGGCATTCTCCAATATCGTAACGGAATAATTAAGGCTATAGACATAAGCCATACCTTGGTAGAACAATATTTCCATAGTAAACTCCCAGGAGACAAAGGCACCAGACATCATACCCTTCAGCCTGGTGATTTGTCTATTAAAAGAGGTATTTATAAAATAATTTCCTTCAACCTTGATGGGAAAGGCCATATCAGGTACTCCTTACCAATTCCTGCACTGTCAAACTGAAAGGCATTGACTCTCAGATTCGTGTTCCTCATTTAAAGAAAGCTCCTACCCCTGCTGGAATTCAGAAACAATCGGAGATTTGAAGCTAAAACTGACCCAAAGTGAAGCAGATGACAGCTGAAGTTGACTGCTTACCCAAGACACCTGGACCAGACCTCTGTATTATTAAGCTCCCTGAAATATTTGGCCTCTTATTTGTTGCTGTCTCTATACTCTTGGTTTTTGCCTTTTAATCCCTTGCACAACAGAGTTACACTGAATTATATCTTGGCTGAGCAAGGAGGTGTTTAGATTGTAGCCAATATCTTCTGTTACACCTGGATAAATACTTCTAACAAAGTAGAAACCAGATTGGAAAGATTTGTGCACATGTTAATTAATTAGCTAGAATACCCACCATTAAAGTGTGTGGCTTTTTTATCTTGTCAGTTGACTACCTTCTAAAGTTAGAAGTGGATAAATTTCAGTCTTCAACTTTTGTTACTCGCTATTGTGGTTATTGTTGCTATTGTAATATTTAAGTTACTTATGTTACTTCTTACCCAGGTTTACTTAGAAATAAAAGTTTAAACAAAGTAATAGTTGTTTAGAAGCTCAACATGATCAATTAAGCCTATAATTCAGAAAAGACAGCCAACCTGACAACTTTCTGGGGGGACCTAAGAAGCCTTGAGAGCTCTCCTCTCAAAATCTCCTTGTTACTCAGATGTGGCCCATTGTAGCCTTACACTCCCTTAGAATGTGAATCTCTCCCAGGGAGAAACATGATTCCTGGGACAGGTTATCCCAATGACAAAGAACAAAATTAAACTTGCCAACTGATCTGCAATGCTTTCTGTAGAAATATCTTGATTAAAAGGAGGAAATGTGAAAGAAAATGAAGTAACTAAGGCTAAGGCTTTCTAAAGTGCAGTTGGCAGATTGTGAGAGGATTGCACTCATACTTGCTAAAGGTCAAACCACAAGATGTTCCAATAGACTCAGATTAACACTGGCCTTCAACATCTCTTAGCTGGGAGTACACTGGCTAACCAATCAAAACAGATTTGGGATTTAGTATTTTTGGGCCTCTGAAAACAACTTTTAGTGAAAATTCCCTATTTAAAAACCTCTCCTGTTCTTGCTTTATGAGACATTGCTCAGGGCTGCCCTGATTCAGTGTACAATGCTTTGTTTCCCAAATAAATGCTATTTCCTTTGACTTCTGTGCCAGTCTTCTTAGCTAACACCAGTTAATTTGATTATTAAAAAGAAAACCTACAGGAGTCAGACAAATCCATCCGTGAACTAGGTTAGGTGTACAGTGCTCCAGTTTGTAACTTTTGCCTTGAGTTTCCAATAGCTTGATGCCTCTGGCTCACAGGAAAAAAAAAAAAAAAAGGTCTTGCTATAATACTGTGAGCAGCCTTTAAAGCTCCTTGTCCCTTAAACAATGTTTAAATGCACACAGCCAACACTTCCTTAGTGACACTCATTTTCCTATGTTTCTACGTTTTTATGATGGACCAACTTTGCTCCCTCACACACATCCTCACATACTTTGGATGAACACATTGTTTAGGTATTATATTTATTATTTTATTGTCCATCTTGCTGACCCAACAGCTGTTCTATCTCTAAATAGATTTGCATTCTCCTCTGATTGCTACCTATTGATTTCATGGTTTAACTCTCATTTCTCTTGCTTTTAAGTTCCAGGGGGTCAAATCACTGTACCTCCATGAACTGACAATATTGCCTGGTAAAATGTAAGCCTTTTTGTCAAAATCATAATTTATTTTCAGTTCTGCCCCTTTGACCTGGAATAAACTATTTTTCCTACATTTTGATAAAAACAATAATCTCCCAGTTGGCCTGTTTAAAATAGAACATATTAAATGGGCCATCTGTATGATATCTGTATTACAGTTTTGAAAAAAATAATGTTTGAGCACTGTTTAGGATGAAATAAACTGCAGAAATGATTCTTAATGCTTTTTTTGTCTAATCACAGCTGGTTCATTAGATATGTTATTTTTAAAATCAGCAGCATGGTCATAGAAACATTTTCTTCTCAATTTGCCACACCAGTAGGCATATGGTGCTGATGCCGGCATGAAATTGAGGCAGTGAAGCCTTGAAAAAACCCCATAACATTATGTTTTACTTTGGGTACTAACTTGAGATTAAGCAGCTGTTGACTGAGTGAAGGGGGCATTTTAGAGACAAATTTTATGGTCTGGACTTTAAACTCTGCTTAATGGAATGGAAGGTTCTGTCCTTTGAAGTGCACCTATTGGGGCATCAGGTCTGGATGGCACACTCACTGCAGCCAACGTAGCCTGTGCTTCATGGTTCCAAAGAGAAGCCAGCTCTCTGAAGAGAAATCAGAGGATGTTTCATTTTGCCAGTCTGATCTTAAAGAGGCACTGAGATATTTGGTATTTGGGAACATTATATCTGGCACCTGGCCCTGAAGTTTCAGTTTATTTAAACAAATGTATGATAATGAATTTTTATAAAGGCGAATACCTTTATAATGACCACCCATATCAAAAAACAAAACATTGCCTTTCCTTCAGAAGCCCTTCTCATGCGCACCTATCCCAATGATGATTTTTAATCTTTCTCCAATGACCTTTATAGTAATTGCTGCTTTAAAAATACTTTTATCATCCAATTGTGCATCCCTGAATATTATGGTTTTAGTCTTGCTCATTTAAGAAAAAAGATGTATTTTAAGTTTTAATCTGATCATCCACTTCTTTTCCTCATATATATATATATATATATATATATATATATATATATATATACACACATATATATATACTTTTTTTTTTTTTTTGAGACAGAGTCTCGCTCTGTCGCCCAGGCTGGAGTGCAGTGGTGCGATCTTGGCTCACTGCAACCTCCACCTCCCGGGTTCAAGCAATTCTCTGCCTCAGCCTCCTGAGTAGCTGGGATTACACACCTGGCTAATTTTTTGTATTTTTAGTAGAGATGGGGTTTCACCCTCTTGGCCAGGCTGGTCTTGAACTCCTGACCTTGTGATCCATCCACCTCAGCCTCCCAAAGTGCTGGGATGACAGGCGTGAGCCACCGCACCCGGCCCTTTTCCTCATATTTTATCTGGGTTCTTGGACCTATAGAGTTTCTCACAGTCTGGATTTTGCTGATTGCACAACTCAGGATGCAATTCTGTCCCTCTGTCCTCTGGTATTTCCTGAAGGAATCAATGATTTGGTACACTGTAACAGTCTGAAGGTAATCAGTTCTTTTGTAGATATATGAGCTCATAGATTTAAGCATATTTGATTAGCTACTATCCATCAAAATTACTACTAAAATTACTATTACCATTGAGCTCCATCTTTGGTCAACAAGATCCATCTTTGGCCAACAAGGTCCATCTTTGGCCAACAAGAGCTTAAGTTGGCTCCTGAGCCTTTTTAATGTGACTCTAGTAGTCTTTGATAACTTCTTTGGTACTTGGTACACAATATATTCCAGGCTCATTTTATCACTTTCGGCCTCAGACCTGGAATCTGCCATTTCTTCTAGAAGCTCTGGTTTCCTTTAGTGAGAAATAGTATTTTAAGACCACAATTTGGGTACTAGGGATGCCCTTCCTTCTAGGTTGGTCATTGTCTCCAGGCCTTCTCTGTCTCTACTTGTCTCTCTGTCTCTATGCATTTATTTATATTTATCTATGAATATAATCTGTATATGTTATATATAATATGTAAAAATATATATTTCTAAATCATTTTAAAAATAACTTGCAAACATCATGACACTTCATCCCAAATGATGTTCTTACTGAAATTTCACCCGTTATCATTTACAAGAAATTTAACATCATCTGATAATATAACCATCTATATTTAAAGATCAATATTTACATCTCCATTATCCCCCAAATGGCCTTTACATGTATTTTTTAAATCCAAGATTAAACCCAGGCTTATGCATTACATTTGATTGTTACGCCCTTTTATTTCTCTTTAATTTAGATTAGTATCCACCCCTCCCCACCACACACCTTTTATCTTCTCTGACACTGACATTTTGAGGAGCATGAGCTGTTGTCTCTCAGAATGTGCCACAATTCTGGATTGGCCCTTATGATTACATTAAAATTAAACATTTCGACAAGAATACTGCCTAGGTGATATTGTGTATTTCCCTCTTGTAGTATATAAGGAGAAGGCAGATAATATCAATTTGTTCTTTTATTAGTGAGAAAGAGTTTGATCCCTTGATTAAGGTGTGTCTGCCTGATATAGTCATTGTAAACCTCTTTTTCTTTTTTAATTAAAAAAGAATCCATGTGATGATAATTTCAGATAATGTAACTACCTTATTTTTCAAACTTTCACCCAATGGGTTTAGTATCTTTTTCTAATCCTTACCTAAATCAATTATTCTATAAATGTTGTAAAATGATTTTCTAATTAAATCATTTCTTCTATCTTAATTAGCTTTCATTTCTGTGTAAAGAAGACCTTTTCCTCTTTTCCCTTTTTCTATCTCTCTGAGTATTACTGGGGGTATCACAGATTTTAAAATTTATTATATTACTCAAAGTGGCAGCACCTTCAAGCTGGCTCCTTTAAAGAAAAAGAAATATTTTGTGTACTTAGGTTCCTTGTCACAATCAGAAAGGCATTTTATAAAATCTATGGAAATATGTACTGTAAGGTCACACACCACATTCCAGTTTCCAGGACAGTGACCAGCATCCTGTCACTTTTGTTGAAATGAACTAAACTTGCATGTGCCTGAACCATGTCCCTTCTTGGTGGAAGTCAGGCCAGCAAAGAGCATTGCAAGTGGTTATCTAATAAAAGAGAGGGTGGTATAGTGATTCTCAAATCAGGCACAGCTTGGTCCAAGTGCCACTTCTATCTTATCAGTAACTTTAAGGACATAGGAAATGATACAACTTCTCTGAGTCTCAGTTTATTAATTGGTTAAAAAAAAAGACATACGATAGGAGTGATTGTGAGGTTTATCAATCACCCCGTTCACTGGAGGCATTCAGTAAATGATAGCAAACATAGAGCAGCCAGAGTTTGAAAAGATGCAATGGCATGAAGATCTAACTTATACTCCTGGTTTTTTTTTTTTTTTTTTTTTTTTTTAGTCTTCTTGCAGGGAGAAAAGACTCACTAGGGAAGAAGCCTGCTCTGGGGTGCTTCAGAATATAAACTTGGGGGAAATCCATCTTGTTTTATCCCATCAATGACTGAAAGCAGGGGTTCTGATTTGTGAGTGGGATATTTTTCTGTCCAAAAGAAAATGCTTGTCTTATCTCTGGGTTTTTATTATTATGGTAAAATATATGTCACATAAAATTTTCCATTTTAACTATTTAAAGAGATATAGCTCAGTGGCATTAAGTACATTCCCACTGTTGTGCAACTATAACCACCATATATCTCCAGAACTTTTTCACCTTCCCCAACTAAAATTCTGTACCCATTAAACAATAACTCCTGAGTCCCACCTCCCTCCAGCCCCCTGCAACCATCATTCTCCTTTCTATCTCTGTGAATTCACTACTCTAGGTAACTCACATAAGAGGAATCATAAAGTATTTGTCTTTTATGACTGGCTTATTTCACTTAGCATGTCGTTAAGGTCATATATGTGGTAGCATGTATCAGAATTTCTTTTTGTTGTGGTAAAAAACAACATAAATTTTACCATCGTAACCATTTTTGGGATGTACATTTCAGTAGTGTTAAATGTACTTACATTGTTGGGAAACAGATATCTAGAAGCTTTCCATTTAGCAAAACTTAAACTCTGTATCTACTAAACAACTCTTATTTTACCTCTTTGTCCAGCCCAATAACCACCATTCTACTTTCTGTTCTTATGAATTTGACTACTTTAGATACTTGCTATAAGTGGAATCATACAGTCTTTGTCATTTGTGACTAGTGTATTTCATTTAGCAAGTTTAATCTACGTCGTAGCATGTGACAAGATGTCCTTTCTTTTGAAGGCTGAATAATATTCCATTGTATGTACATACTACATTTTGTTTATCCATTCATCTGCTGATAGACATTTAGGTTGCTTCTAATTCTTGACTATTGTGAATAGTGCTGCTATGAACATGGTTGTACAAATATCTCTTCAAGCACCTGCTTTCAATTCTTTGGGATATATACCCAGAATTGGGATTACTGGATCATTTCCTTCCTTTTTAAGGCTGAATAATATTCCATTATATGTATACATTGTATTTTGTTTATCCATTCATCCATCAATGAATATTTGTGTTATTTCTACCTCTTGCCTGCTGTGAATAATGCTGCTGCTATGAATATGGGTGTACAGATATGTTTCTTGATTCTTTTTTGAAGAGTGCCTGTGGCTCCCTGTTCATTCATTCATCATATCCATATTGGCCTATCCTAGTACTTATCCTATCCTAACACATAGTTGAATTCAGCTAGAAGCTATTTCTTTTCAAGTTCCACATAGAGCAAACATTCTAGATTGAGTCCTAATTAGATAGCTCCATTGGAAAGGTGCTGTTGCTGCTTTTCTTTGACAACTTTCTGCTGCTACCACCTGAGGTTTGCTGGGGGCAAGAGAATGAGGCCTTCTTTATTGTGAAAAAGACCCTAGATTCACAGTTGTTTGATGCTGTGAATGCTTTATTCCTCTGCAAAGAGCCTCCCATACACAGTACCACAAGCCCTATATTCTCCCGAGCTGGGAGAAGCAATCTCTTCTACCTTGCGAAAGAAGAGTAGCCCTCTTTGCCAATAGATGACACGAAGACCTGAGATGTAAGATGATGCTTGTCCTTTTCCAGATCGACCCCCACCTTCTATCATTACTACTGGATTAACAATTAGAATCATCTCAGCACAGCCCAAGCAGTCCCTGCTGCAGGAGCAGCCAGTTTTCTTCTGAAAGAACTGCAGGATCTTACCAATATATACTGGCAGGAACCTGAGAACATATGTGGGACTGGATCTTGACAGTGTTGGACAGAGTAAGGTGGAATGTAAACTTGTATAGAGGGGCCTTTATTGACCTGGGAGCACCCTCCCATGACTCAGGATTTAACTCCCTGGCAAGGACATTTAATAGGTTGCTGGCCAAGTTATTTGGTGCTTGGACATGAAAATTTACAGTAAAGGAGACAAAGTATGGAGAAAAGAGTAAAAGGGCACATCAGAATTGGTTTATTGCATGATATCAGAGAACTTAACAAATCCTATGTTCCCCAGGAAGGTCCAGAAGACAGTCCTTTTACTAAGACAACAAGGAATGCCCCAGTGAGGGAGGCACTGACACCACTGAGTAGTCAATGGTTGCTGTCTCCTGTAGGCTTAAGGACCATGCCCCTTTAGCCCATCTGATTCCAGCACAGACTCAGTATTTTTGCCTTAGGACATTCTCCAAAATTTGCTCATCCTGCATAGATGAAATCTAGAAGCATGGGGAGCTTAATGTCTCAAGGGACTGTGATGGTTAATATTATGTCTCAATTTGACTGGTCTAAGGGATGCCCAGATAGCTGGATAAACATTATTTCTAGGTGTGTCTGTGAGGGTATTTCCAGAAAAAATATAGCATTTGAACCAGTAGACTGAGTAAAAAGATCCACCCCCACCAATGTAGGTGGGCATCATCAAACCCACTGAGAGCCCAGATAGAACAAAAAGACAGAGGAAGGGTGAATTCTCTCTGTTTCTCCTTGAGCTGAGGCATCTTCTCCTGTCCTTGGACATTGGAGTGCCTGGTTCTCAAGCCTTCAGACTTCAATTACATTACACTATCAGCTTTCTTGGTTCTCTAGCTTACAGACAGCAGATCATGGGACTTCTCAGCCTCTATAATTGTGTGAGCCAATTCCCATAATAAACCTCCTTTTAAAAGCATGTGTGTGTGTGTATATACATATATACACTTATATACAAACTGTATATATGTGTATGCATATTTATAGACACTATATACAAACTATATATATGTGTATATATATTTATATACAAACTATGTGTGTGTGTGTGTGTATATATATATATATATATATATCATTTGAATATTTGTCTCCTTTAAATCATGTTAAAATTTGATCTCTGGCCGGGCACGGTGGCTCACGCCTGTAATCCCAGCACTTTGGGAGGCCAAGGCAGGCGGATCACAAGGTCAGGAGATAGAGACCATCCTGGCTAACACGGTGAAACCCCGTCTCTACTAAAAAATACAAACAATTAGCTGGGCGTGGTGGCGGGCGCCTGTAGTCCCGGCTACTCAGGAGGCTGAGGCAGGAGAATGGTGAGATCCCGGGAGGCGGAGCTTGCAGTGAGCCGAGATTGAGCCACTGCACTCCAGCCTGGGCGACAGAGTGAGACTCCGTCTCGGAAAAGAAAAAAAAAAAAAATTTTGATCCCTAATGTTGGAGGTAGAACCTGGTGTGAAGTATTTGGGTCATGAGGGCGGATCCCTCATAAATAGCTTGGTGCTGTCCTCATGGTAATGAATGAGTTCTCCGTCTATTAGTTCCCAAGAGAACTGATTGTTAAAGAGCCTGGCATCTCCTTCCCTCTCTTGCTCCCTTTCTCACCATGTGACACACTTTCTACCTCTTTACCATGACTGGAAGCTTCCTGAGTCTCTCCCCAGAAGCAGATGTCGGTGGCATGCTAGTTGTACAGCCTGCAGAACCATGAGCCAAATAAAACTCTTTTCTTATAAATTACCCAGCCTCAGATATTCCTTTATAGCAACACAAATGAACTAAGAACACACACAACACACATAAACAACACATAAACACACACAGATACACACACACATGTAATTTTTCCCCTTCTGTTGGTTCTGTTTCTCTGGAGAACCCTGACTGATACAGGGGCTAACTTCACTTTTCAATGAATGAGTAACAAGTTAGATAATAAACTCCCCAGTTTCTCTGTTCTTCAGTGGAACATTCTGAGGCACATTCTCCACAGTTCCTTTAAGGGTCTGTGGTGGGACTGAGTCCCTGATGTCCACAGCAGTAACAAGTCACCCCACACTGGCCTTTCTCCTGTTCTGTCTCACACTCTTAGCGACTTCACTCCTGTTCCCTGGGATCTCCTCCCAATTTAACTACCATACCTCAGTCCTTGTCTAGGTTTTGCTCTCAGGAGAGCCCAAACTAAGGCTCTTCTGAACTACAATTTCAAGTTACTAAAATTTGTGTCTGGATAGCATGGTATGCTGAATACCCATTAGTCTATAAAGATATGCTCATTCAGAAAACATATTCTAGCCTAGCATTAACTGATTAATATTAACATTTTCAAAACTCTACAACCCACTCCCTCTACTTCAAATCCATTTAGAGGAGAGGCTGAATTTTCCCCATATTTCCCCAAAGTTCTGATGGAGTACTTGATGGCAAAGCCAGGTAAAGCTTACAATATGTGTGAGCAAATAGCCAGAACTACAGTATTTCATAAGGAGTGACTGTTACTAAAAGCAATAAGGGGGACCTAATTAGAGAGCTAGTGCAACTGGCAGTAATTGCATTTTCTCATGTAAGCATCTTAGCACATCTAAGTGCTTAGCCTTAATTCTCCACACTAACTCCCATTAAATGTTTGTACTGTCCTTTGCTAACACCCACCTTTCCTAAGTTATTGTCATGCTTATTCTGTAGCACTATTTTCATTCTGTGAAACATTAGCTGGTTCTTTTTCCCCCTTTTATCAGGGAGAAATTTTCATATATTTAGGTCCCAGATCTTGAAATGTTCTTTCTCTGGTAGACTCTAAGCCTTGCTACTTCATTTGAAAAGCTTCCAAATCCCATTTCCTTCACAGGTCTTCTCTCTGAGGAGCATGATATTGCACCAACTCCAGCCTCTTTAAATTCAGAATTCCTCAGAGATCTTCTTTCCCGACCTCCCACGAGGGCAGCTCTTGGCAGGCACTGAGGTTCAGACTGGTTCCTCAGATCCCTCTTTGTCCTTTACACCTCTCCACAAAGCATGTGGCTCTTCAGTTGGAAATTCCTTGACATCAAAAAATAATGGCTTTGTAATTCAATTCCTGGCACAAGGACATGCATGGAGAAACACTTAATAGAGTCGTTTTACGATGATTGAGCCAGATGTAAATGCAGAGAACACAGTTATTTTGCTTTGAGTTAATATTAGAAGGCTCAGTGAGCAGGTTCACATGGCTATAATATAAGTGCTATACTTCACAGCACTTAGGAGCCAACGGTAATTTAAAAACACACAGACAATAAGTTATATGAGGTGGAGAGTCACAGAACCAACCACATTCCAATATAATATTGAGTGTTCTTTGGGGCATAAAGCATAGTAATATCCTAGATCCATTACCAGTGGTATTCCTTATGTCTATATAGTCCTAAGGGTCTATAAAAATGATGGCATTGGGTAGGAGATAGGTCCATTATGCAAATCCAAGAATATTAAACATGGACAGGATGATAGAGATTATCTGATTCAGCCCTCTGATTGTGCATTTGTGGACACTGTCATGAAGAGGCTTGCTCAATGCACACAGGTAGTTAGTGGAATAGTGAGTCTTCTGACTCCTAAGTCTGTGTCTTTCCAACAACATGCTATGTGGATGTGGGGAGTGAGCCTGTTGATTCTTTTCAAACTGCAGACTTATCAGGAAGCCAGGAAGCACTTCTAATCTAAGGACCTATATAAAGGAAAAAATTCTCAAATGAAGAGTAAAGTTTTATATATAAGAATATTCAGGCCAGGCAAGGTGGCTCACGCCTGTAATCCCAGCATTTTGGGAGGCCAAGGTGGGCAGATTACTTGAGGTCAGGAGTTTGAGACCAGCCTGGCCAACATGATGAAACTCTGTCGGTACTAAAAATACAAAATATTAGCCAGGCTTGACGGTGCACAACTGTAACCTCAGCTACTCGAGAGGCTGAGCCAGTAGGATTGCTTGAACCCAGGAGGCAGAGGTTGCAGTGAGCCAAGATTGAGCCATTGTACTCCAGCCTGGGTGACAGAGCAAGACTCTATCTAAAAAAAAAAAAAATATATATATATATATATATATATATATACACATATATATACACACATATATATATGTGTGTATATATATACATATATGTGTATATATATACACACATATATGTGTGTATATATATATTCATTATGGGCTGTTTACAATAGCTAGAAATTATCTAAATGTAGACAATAAAGTAATAGTTAAGTAAATAATGGGATAATTATACAATAGAATAGTGTGCAATCATATAAAGTGCTCTACTAAAAAATCTTAATGCCATAGGGAAAGCAGAATACCAAATTTGTATATGTCATATTACCTTAACTGTGTAAACATATATATATATACACACACATACATAGGAGAAAACAGACAGAAGCATACTGTTTTCAGTGTGCTTACTGAAATGGTAACTGTGATAATTATGTATCTTTGAGTGCTGAAACTAGGTGGTGATTTTTATTTTTAAAATAACATTCACACAGTTACCATAATGATTTTCCTACAGGAAAAAGAAGCAAGTAAGATAACCTAAAATATACTAGTAAGAGTAATCAAATGATATAAATTTTTATGTGAAAGACAGTTTTCAATGACTCTCTGTCAATCTCTGAATAGGGGGAGATGCATTATCACGACAAACCAGACTCAATCATAGCAATGTGCTACCTTGGATTTTTGACATGTCAAGTACAAATGATATAACATCAGAAAACATCAACTGTATTTAATTTGTGTCTCTGAGAAGAAAGCTATTAAACTTTCAAATTTTCCTTTTTTCTTTACTTTATGACCAGCATTATTTTTCCTGTTACTTAAAATTTATTTATGAACTAAAGGTTATTTTAATTTTGTTTTTTGTGCTGCTGTAAAAATCATGGTCATTGTGCTGGTTTGAATCTTTTGAGATTCAGGTGTCAAGATTAGATGTGCAAGACATTTATTGAGGTAATGCAGGCAAACAATAAATGGAGAGAGCAGGAGTGGGCAGAAAGTGCCTTCAGACAGAAACAAAAGTCTGACCCCTGTGGCAGCGAGGCCATTGGGCAGTTCTTAAACCAAAGTACCCACTGAAAGACAGACTTAGTCCATTTGTGCTGCTATAACAGAACATCTGAGATTGGGTAATTTATAAAAAAAAGGAAATTTATTTCCTCATGGTTCTGGAGGATGGAAAGTCCAAGATTAAGGCACCAGCCTCTGGTCTCTGGTGAGGACCTTCTTGCTATGTCCTCACATGGCAGAAGAGCAAAAGGGAGCAAACCTACTCCACAAGCCCTTTTTATATGGCCCTAATTCAATCACAAGGGAAGAGTCCCTCATGACCTAATCAACTTGCAGAGGCCCCATCTTCCAATACTATCATCTTGGTGATTAGGTTTCAATATTAATTTTGGAGGGGGCAGCACATTCAAACCATATCAAGAACACTGTGTCTCACAGGAATGGAACTGTATGTGTGTCTCCATTGTGGTCAGTCATTGGCTCAGGGCAGCCATGGGAATTGTCCCCTTGGTACAAATGATGGTGGTGCATTCAGAAGGTCATTCAGTAGGGCCACAATAAATTATGTCCATTACATTAGGATATATGAGTGGCACAAGTTCAGGGTTATCATAGTCATAAGATGCACATTACAAGAAGACAGATAGATGGGTAGTTCCATAAGCCTTTGAAACACAGAATGAGTGACCTTGACATTTTCTTCAAGTTCATTGCCATATGCTGCAGTGCCAAGAGGCAATGCCTAGAATAACTTGGAATGAAGCATATTTGAATTTGTGAGCTGATAATGTATATCACTTTAAAATCACCTCACAGATACAGAAATAGTTATTGTGTGCATATTTAATTTCTCTAGATGAACTTCGGCTGGGGACAGGCAACTCATCTACTCTAATGTACTTTTGTTTTTGCTAATTCCCTATTTCAGGTAAATGTAATGAAGATAATAATATATTGTAAATGAGATATCAATTTAGGACATTTCACAGTACTTCCTTTGAAAATATTGGCTCAACAGAAACTATAATTACTGGAAAGCAAAAAATGTAAAGCTGCCATACAAACTGAAGTGTTTCTACTATTTCTCTGAGGAATTTAATCAATTCAGTCAAAGCAATCAACAAAACCAGTTGTTTATTATTATACATGCCAAATCATTTAATGACTAACTAGGTTTCTTCAGATTTCACTGACTAGATGTTGAACTGCTGGGATAACATAAACCAACATGCCCAAAAGGCTCTTCAGGTTGCAAGACTTGAGAAAATTCACTAGAGCTAATATTAATGAGTAAAACCCCATCTTCTCTCAATTATTTTACATTAGAAACAAAAACACTCTTGAATTATTAAATGGTCAAAACAACCAGTGAGGCTGTATAATATCATACATTCTTATTAATTTTTTTAAGTTATCTTGCTCTGAGGGGTGACTATATTTTTAAATTTTGCCTCTGGGATCCACTTTATTAGGATATCTTTGTGTTTCTGGGACAGAACAGACCCTGTATGCTCTGCTCGTGGTATAAGCTCACGACTGCTTCTTGATTTGATTTGTGTTACTCTAGAAAGACAAATGAGGAACCAGACTATTTCAGTCTGTGATTCATTCTCAAGTCAAGTGTGGTTCCTGGACCTAGCAGGAGCAGCATGCTCCCGGGAACGTGTTGGAAATGCAAATCCACAAGCCCACCTCAGACCTACCGAAAGTGGCACTTTGGGGATGAGGCGAGCAATATGAGTTCTAACAATCCACCCAGGTGACTCTGATGCATGCTAGGAGGAGGTCTGGCTGACACCACTCCCCATGGTGTATTCTTCGGAAGGGTATTCTGTGGCATATTAACACGTGTCACACAATGAAAGGGTTCCTCATTTGAATACGTTTGGGAAATTCTGAGATAAAAAAGTTAAATAGAGCAAATGGACCACACTCCTCCACAGTTTCCCTATAGGTTATCATATACAGATACCTGTTTAATGTCCCACAAATAGGATATCCCATGCTCTTTCTCCCAAGAGTCTAGTTCTCCATCCCTCTCAGCTATTCAGAGAGAGAAAGAATTCTTCTTTCAGTACAGAGTCCACTTTTTTTCCACCCAAACGTGACTGACAGGGGGAAAATTCAGTGTGGTTTGATGCCTCATTCCCTCTACTGCAAGGCAATCATGATAAGAAATGGGTAACATGTTAAACAAAGTCTGAGTTATTCAGTCTTAAATAATTACCCCTTTGGGACAATATTCAATTTACTCCACATATATATTTGGAGAAAAGACACGTCTTCAAGGACAAAGTCTTGCTACAAACATAGCAAATTCCTAGTACTAAACTGAATGAAAACATCTTGGTCTGAATTATCTATATTTGTATTATTTCAGTGGTTCAGGGCTTTCCCAAAATTAATGTGGGGTCATTTGCTTTCCATCTATCTTCAATGTAAAACCTAACAAGGACTTGCCTACAGAATGGATTCTAGCTTCCACTTTAGCACACAGAAGTAGGTGATGAACCCCAGGGTGGTAGTTTTTCAGTTTCAGTAACTTGCACTGCAAACTCTACCACTAACAACAGGAAGAAGCTGTAGGCAACTTAAATTATACTGGTTTTCCACTAACACAGGGGATACTAAATAAGACTTAAATGAGTTCAAATTACTTCTTCACTTAAGAAAAAAATTTTAATATACTCCAATGCTGTAAAATTTTAGTTTAATTTAATAATGAAAAATAGATAATTTAAAACGTTCATTTTTGGTTAAATATTGTACGCTGGAGAGCAGGAGGACAAGCATGCAGTAAAGGGGATTATTCCAGCCTCTACAGAAACAACATTGCATTTTTTGTTCGCCTTTGCCTGGGTCAAGATATACTCCCATACAACCAAGTACAAACATCTAATGGCCATGTAGAGAAGAAGCTTCCCAAAAACTCAGACCCTAATGAAAGCTGATAAAATCTGGGTGAGACAAAACTTAGAGAATAACTCAAGCATGACTTCAGACTTAAAACCTCTTAAAGGAACACGTCAAATTATGCCAAGTTGCTTGTGCCCAGTTGTAATGAGAACAATTCAGTGCTGTAGGAGAAAGGGCACTAATTTAAGAGTTGTTGGCATGGCAAACAATAGATGATGTCTCATCCCTTTATATCCTATAATAAGTGTGTGTCATCCCAGCCTCTCCTCTAGTTCCTCTGACTCAAATTCATGTATTGTTTAAAAACTTACTAAAATGCACTGAATCAGAGCACTGCAGACAATAAAAATAGAGGCAGTTTTTGACGCCAAGCCAAATAATTTTGGCATTTATTCCCAATATGCATGTAAACAAACTGTCAGGCACCCTTATGTACGAATGGAAAATTATTCATAAAGGGGAATGATGACTGAAGTTCTGAGAACAGTTACCACTGCAGGGAATTAATTCACTGACGCATGTAGTCTGTGGAGGGCTGTTCCTTCATTTAGTGTCACATCACATTAGCAAACATTTCATTTCATGTCGTACACCACTAAACACAAAACTCTATGTAAACCACCATAATTAAAACCCAAGTCTTTCAAAACAAAAACGTTAAGGCTCTCTAATGTTCTGTTTTTTCTTTCTCCATAAAAAAGGAGGGAAAGAGGTAGGATTACTACCTGAAAGCTGGGAGGTCAGACCTTAGAAAATGGCCATCAATAAGGCAGTCACATCTCTTAAATAAGGGGAGTGATGGAGAGATAAAAGCAGTACAACTGGATTTTAAATGTGTTAAAATAAACAAAACAAAACAAAAGTTTTGTTTTGTTTGGATGAGGGGTCATAGATTCTGGTTCATTCTTATAGAAAATCAGAAAATCTAAGTTTTAGTTGTAGCAGAGACCGCTAGATACCCACAACTATGTATCCTCCCCATTCTATAGTCATATGATTTGTAACTGGGTACATGGCCTTCAAATTTGTCTGTATATTCCAGGATCCCTTATAAGCCAAGTGTGGCCTATGACTAACTTGTAGCTGTAGGGATGGATACAGAAAGGATGTGTGCACCTTGCAGGGTGTACCTCTAAAGAGAAGGGGCATGCTCTCCACTTCCCCTTCCTCCTTTTCACTGACTGAAATGTGGATGAACATGTAGATACACGTGAAGGCAGTACCTCAGTGACCAGGACCAGGAAGAAAGGATCCTGGGTTCTAGGACCATTGCGTTGCCATAGGAACCCTGACCACTCACACACAATTTAAAAAACCTATTTTTATAAAGTCATAGTATTAGATTAGCTGTTATTGAAGTCACATGCATATTCTAATAAATACAATATATGTTTGTTAAAAATGAAGGATATAAGTCTTCTAGTCCTGTATAGCAATGGTTGGTAAATTATAGCCATAGGTCAAATCTGGCCAATGCTTGCTTTTGTAAGCAAAGTTTTACTGAAGCACAGCTATGTTCATTCACTTATGTATTGGCTGTTTTCCCACTATAATATCAGAGTTGAGGTGTATCACGAGAACACACTCACTATCGTGAGGACAGCACTAAGCCAGAAGCAATCCACCCTTAAGACCCAAACACCTCCCACCAGGCCCTGCCACCAACATTGGGGATTGCAATTCAACATGAGATTTGATGGGGACATATATTGAAACTATATCATCTACCAAAGAACACAGGCCAAGTTCAATGGAATGAGATCAAGTGCTTGGAAATCACCTAATGAGTATATGGTGTCCACGGTACTCTTACATTTGTTAAACAAAAATTAACTGTATGCTCAAGTATCTTATGAAATTCTTACCACTGGAGAAATACAGAGAAGGGCCCATTATTCCAGTTGTGGGTAAAGGAGAAACACTCATCCTTTGGGGCTACCCAAGGACAGAAATAGTGAAGAGAACTTTAGTCTTTGGGCTTCTCTGGGTGTATTCTGTTTGTGTGCAGCCCAAGGGAGCCTACTATATTTTTATTACTCACTCCAGTCTTGGTCATACCTTCTTTCTGGGGCATTTGGTGGACTGTCTCTCATTGCCAGCACCTGTTACGACGTCATGCACCTCAGCCTCAACTACTTTTCCACAAGACTACACAAATTCTTTAATTATCTACAGAGCCTACTAAGAGAAGGCTGACATGAACCGAGCAAGTGATGGGCAGGCACAATGAGGGGGATGAAGATGCAGAAATGATACATTGACTTTCTTCTCATATCCCCATGGAATTAGAAATATTTCTTTTCACTTCCAAAATTGTGAATAGAGTACCACTCTTTTAAAATTCTTATTATTAAAAAAAATTTTTTAAAGGCAGGGTCTCACTCTGTGGCACAATCATAGCTCATTATAACCTCAAACTCCTAGGCTCAAGTGATCCTCCCACCTCAGCCTCCCAAGTAGCTAGAACTATAGACACATGCACCACACCTGGCTAATTTTTAAATAATTTTTTGTAGAGACAGGGTCTCACTATGTTGCCTAGGCTGATCTCAAACTCCTGACCTCAAGTGGTTCTCCCACTTTGGCCTCC
This sequence comes from Homo sapiens, assembly GCF_000001405.40. NCBI lineage: Eukaryota > Metazoa > Chordata > Mammalia > Primates > Hominidae > Homo > Homo sapiens. Next base: position 51,184,587 of record NC_000014.9, read on the forward strand.
CAAAGCTCTGGGATTACAGACGAGAGCCATCTCGCCCAACCAATTAACACTCTTTAAATCTAGAACCAGGGTTGATCCAGAGCCAGATTTTTTTTTTTCTGGGATGTTATAGGCTATACTTCGAGTAACTGGTCTTATTAACAGTTCATTAAATAAATATTTCCTGTCACCTGTATGTAAGCTATTGTTTTAGGTACTCTGGATTCCAGGATGGATAATAATGTGTCCTCTGCCTTTGATGAATTTACATCTAATTAAGAGGAAAAAATTCAAGGATAAACTACTCCCCTTTCTCCCCTTACCATTTTCCCCTAATGCACTAATATAGACAAATACTATGCAAAATGGTATGCCAACTATTGGTCATCAAATTTGGTTCTACAGCTATTACAATACTTACATTGGAGTGGACCCTAGAGACTATGAGTTCATTTCTGCTCCTAAAAATCAACTGCCTTTGAAAGCAAAAGGACAGAAAATAAAGGTCTGTATTAGTTTGTTCCCACATTGCTAAAAAGAACTACCTAAGACTGGGCAATTTATAAAGAAGAGAGGTTTAATTGACTCACAGTTCTGCATGGCTGGAGAGGTCTCAAGAAACTTATAATCATGGCAGAAGGCAAAGGGGAAGCAAGGCGCATGGTGGCAGGAGAGAGAGAGCAAGGAGGGGAACTGCCAAACACTTTTAAACCATCAGATCTCTTGAGAACTCACTCACTATCACGAGAACAGCATGGGGGAAACCCGGCCCCATGATGCAATCACCTCCCACCAGATATCTTCCTCAACATGTGGGCATTACAATTCAAGATGAGATTTGGTTGGGGACATAGAGCCAAACCAAATTAAGGTTTTTTGCTGATATAGGCTAAATCCATTTTGCTGATATCTGAGTATTACCAAAATTTGGGGGTGAAGAGAAAATTTAGACTGAGTTTTTTAAAAAGTCATTTTTTTGGTGTGTCCCTTAAAATTAGTATTTAATTTGTGCTGGTTTTTTGAAACAGGTCTAATATTTTCTGCAACCCAACACATACTGCCTGAGTAATACACTAATGAAAAATTGCAATATTGCAGTATGGAAGTGACTTGAACTCAGTTTTCACATATTTGTTTCTGGACTACTAATGACTTTCTGAAACCAAACCAAAACAAAAACACTCTATTTTTAAACTTCCAATGAAAGAAAGAATGGTTAAGAAAGTTTGGGGATCAATTTTCTTCTCCTAGAGAGGCAATTTTGAGACCACAGTTTTCATTTACAACTTTCAGAGACATTTTACCACCACAAATGTGTTTCATGCATAATAGAACCACATGGAAGTCACTGGAGTTGTGGTTGTCCCTTTGCTGGTAACTGCCAAATCTGGTCATCAAAGAGTTGCATGTTCTAGGACTGGCCTTAGGCAAAATTACCAAGTAGGTATGTAGTTTGTCTTTGACACCTCTCACTTCCTATTTTCAGGCGTCCTTCTACTCTTTCTGTAGTTGCCCTTCTCTCTTCTTTAAAAAAATCAGTTCCTCATGCTCAATTCTCAGCCTCACTCCCACTATATTTTATGATCCTATAATGCAGGGGTCCCCAACTCCTGGGCCATGGACTGGTATTGGTCCACGGCCTTTTAGGAACTGGGCCACACAGTAGGAGGCAAGTGGTGGGCAAGCAAGCAAGGCTTTGTTTCTATTTACAGCCTCTCCCCATCACTTGCATTACTGCCTGAGCTCTGCCTCCTGTCACATCAGCAGTGGCATTAGATTCTCATAGGAGTGCAAAGCCTATTGTGAACTGCACATGTGAGGGATCTGGGTTGCATACTCCTTATGAGAATTCAATGCCTGATGATCTGTCACTGTCTCTCATAACCCCCAGATGAGACCATCTAGTTGCAGGAAAACAAGCTCAGGGCTCCCACTGATTCTACATTATGGTGAGTTGTATAATTATGTCATTATATATATATTACAATGTAATAATAATAGAAATAAAGTGCACAATAAATGTAATGTACTTGAATCATCTTGAAACCATCTCCCTCCCCACAGTCTGTGGATAAATTATCTTCCATGAAACTGGTCCCTGATGCCAAAAAGGTTGGGGACCACTGCTGTGATGGTTAGTGTATGTATCAGCTTGACTGGGCTAAGGGATGTCCAAATAGCTGGTAAAATTATTTCTTGGTGTGCCTGTGAGGGTGTTTTTGGAAAAGATTAGCATTTGAATCAGTAGACTGAGTAAAGAAAATGCCCTCACCAATGTGAGTGGGCATCATCCAATCTATCAAGGGCCCAAAGAGAACAAAAAAACAGAGGAAGGGTAAATTACTTCTCTCTTCTTGAGCTGAGACATCCATCTTCTCCTACCCACAGATGTTAGAGGTTCTAGGGTTTTCAGACTCCAGGACTTACATTAGCACCCCACGCCCCAATCCCAGCCCAGGTTCTTAGGGCTTAGACTTGGACTGAATTACATCACCAGCATTCCTACTTCTCTAGCTTTCAGATGGATCATATGACACATCTTGGCCTCAATAATCATGTAAGTCAATTCCCATAATAAATTATCTATCTATCTATCTATCTATCTATCTATCTATCTATCTATCTACCTACCTATCCATCCATGTGTGTGTGTATCCTATTGGCTCTGTTTCTCTAATGAATCTGTAATATAGACCTCATAAATTGACAATCATTGCCACTTGTTACTATCAAAATCTAGCTTTTTATGTCACATTCCCTTAGAGCCTTTTTTCCTCCAAAACATTCCTGGAGCTAATCTGCTTAAGTAGATTGAGTTAATGTATTTTGACTGTTAAATGTTTTAATGAATTACACTGGTGGCTTCACTGTGTATTATTTTGAGGTTATAACTTCAGGTTTCTCAAAAGTTAATATAATAACTGGCCATGTGAAGAATAATTTTCATCTTTTCCTGACTGTTGAACAAAAGTGCATTCTTTTGTTGCCTACATATAATAATCTCTTTTAAGAATTTAGTACCGGAAAAATCTCTCTTTCCTAGGACTGGCCTTAGGCAAAATTACCAAGTAGGTATAGTAGGTATAGACAAACTGATGTCTTTTCTTTTAATAGGTGATAATTGTATAATAAATTCTAATAATAATTTTATTTGGCCAGCTTCAGGAAACTTAGAGCTCAATTAATGTTTAAGCATAGTAATAATATTAGTCTGTGTTCAGGGCATGTTTAACTCTTTCTGTGGTATCTATAATAATGGTCTAAGGGTAAAGATCTTTTTAAATATGGGCTACCTCATGTTTTCTTAGAAGCAAACAAAAATAAATATAGATTTGATTCTAAAATATTACTCCTTGCAGAAGCATATTCACAATTTTCTAGAATCATATGGAAGCAAATTATCCCAGAACAGTGGTTACAATGATAACTGAGACATGAAAAGGCCTTGGGGGGATTATTTTCATAGTCTGTTGGTGTCCGCCAAATTACACTCTTAGGGAGTTGCTTTAATAGGCCCACCTTTAGGCCTGGCCCAGGAAGACAATCCCTGTGTTGCTTGTGCTAGGGAGAGGGAGTTTGGTGAGCTCCTCCTGGTAGCTGGCATAGCAGCTTGAAAGAACTATTCAAGAGAAGATGAGAAGCATGTCAATTTGTAATCTGCTCTAGCCTAGAAGGTTATGCAGAAAGACCCCATGAAGGGAGGGGGTGAGAAGGAACTTATCAACAAACTCTTCTGATATAAATATTCAAACCTAGTTTTCATTGGTCTAAATGCTATTTTTGTTTCTGAAATGATGTCCTGTGGAAAAAAATCAGGGCAACTAGAGCATGCCTGTGCACACCTGGGATTTTATAAGAGTTCGAGTTCTAAGTAAAAGTTCCAGTTCTTTTATTCAACCACCTACCCCCCAACCTAATTCCCATCTAGTTCCCTCTTAACTTAGAAGAACACCTTCATTTAAAGAGAACCTTCGCTGTGGATCTCCTTCACATGATGTAAAATGGCCTCTTTTAGAATTTAATTCTGCACAGCTGGACAAGCAAGGGGGGCGATGCAGGTTGCCACAGAAACTGCTGTTGGTGCTGGGATTCTTTATACTTTGTTCCTAAAAATAAGATGTGAAATGTACCGAGGGTGTGATTAGTGCAGCACAGAAGGGAATTTCTAAAAGGAGAGCCAAACCTCCCGCCCCCATAGGAACGGGGGTGTTCTTCATAGCTGGAGGACAGGACATAAATCCGGGAGCAGATGCTCAACACGGTTCCTCCCTCAAAGGTGCAGGGAAAGACAAGTGGGAAAAGTGGCTTTTAAAGAGGAAAACCATCTTCCATCAAGCAAAATTCATATAAATTCCAAGGTTGAGATGTCCTGAAATTACCCAGGAAGTAAATAGAACTGTTCTCCCCAGCCTACAAAAAAGCCACAGAAATTTGGCAAGGACACTACATCAGATTATTGTAGTCCAATATCCAGCCCAGCACAGGATCCTGTCACATTCCACTTTGGCCAGATGGCTCCCTGGTCAGCCTGGACATATTCAGTGGCCTTCATTTTTTGGGGGAACATGTGACAACTAGAATGTCTCTCTAAATATTGTTGGAGTCTGCCTTTCTGTAACTTCCACTTATTTGCCCTTGTTTACCTTCTGGGGCAACAAAGAAAAGTCAGTTGTTATATTATTTGGCTGGAATGCAGTGATCTCGGTTCACTGCAGCCTCTGCCTCCCAGGTTCCAGCAATTCTCCTGCCTCAGCCTCCCAAGTAGCTGGGATTACCAGCATGGGCCACCATGCCCAGCTAATTTTTGTATTTTTAGTAGAGACAGGGTTTCACCATGCTGGCCAGGCTGGTCTCGAACTCCTGACCTAAGGTGATCTGCCTGCCTTGGCCTCCCAAAGCACTGAGATTACAGGCGTGAGCCACCACACCTGGCCTGTTTTTTTTCTTTATACTTCTTCAAGGTAGATGTCACTTTTTTTTTTTTTTTACTTAATATGATAATTCTTTACTTAATACCAAAATGGAGCAATTGGCCTAGGGTATCCACTTGCAGTTCGGGGAGCCTGATCAAGCAGACAAGTCAGTTTCATAGATCTTTGGCTTCAGTGCAAAAGCAAACACCATTAAAGCTTTATCTTTTCATGGTTACACACAGAAAATTCTTACGTGTTTCCCAAGCAAGGCCACGTGTGTGATTCAACATCTACTATGTGCCAGGCACTGTACTAAATGCATACATTATTTTATTTGATCTGGTTACATGAGGTTACCTTTGACATCCCCAGAATTTTATAGAGGAAGTTCAATTCAGTCTGAATGGCAGCATCCTCATGGGTGTGTCCACCAAGTAGAGTGGCAAGGGCGTAGACTTGCTAAATCAGTGATCTTGGATAAGTTATATAATCTCTTTGAACTTCAGGTTTCTCATTTCTAAAAACTGGTATAATAAACTCTCATGAGTTATTAGAAGTAAAGAAAATTATATGCTGAAAATGTCAAATGTATAGTGGGTGCTCAATAAACCCTAGTTCTCTTCTTCCCTTCCCTTGTAATCCTATAGGTCTCCCACTATTGTTGTATAGCAGAGCTGTCAATCAAATGTCACCTCAGAGCCATATGCAAGCAAGCCTGGAAAAACTACCTGTACAAGTATTAAGAGTCAATCTGAGCAAATAAACCATTAAATGAATAAACCCCTTTGTAAGCAGAATATAGTGAAGTGATATGGGCTGCTAACATGAAAGAACTTACTTCCCCCAAGGAAGTGATACCTAGATCTCATTAACAATTAAAATGAAAGAAAAAAATAGATATATACATACCATCAAGGAAAAGGTTGAGACAGACTTGTGTTAAGTCCGGAATTCCCTGCTGTGACTACCACCTCCCACCCCTCTATCCTTCCCAGTCTTCACTGCCCCTCACCTCTTCTTTACATCCCTGGAGGACATAAAGCCCTTTAGTTCTTTTGCCCTCATTCCTCCCTGCCCAGATGGACCTCATAGATAGTCTTTCAGTGAGACTCAGACCCCTTTTCTCATGGTCATCTCCCTCCCTAATCCCCAACTCCGGATAGACAATACCACCACCACCCACCTCCCTATTCTGCTGATAGTTCACCTCAGTGTTGGTAAGATGATAAAGGAAGCCTGGGAAGGAAAGGATACCTCTTGACCTTCAAGAAGGCTGAATAAATATAAGTTTTCAGGGATAAGATTGGTTAAGGCCTCATTATTCTTATATAATTGTGAAACTTGTATAAAATAATATATATGTATACATAGCAAATAAACTTGGGGTATCTATGTAGCACCAACTTACGTGGGTCACCAGGTTGTGCAATGAGGTGTTGCATGAGTGTGCTTGATTGGGGGGACCTCAGTCACTTGCTGGTGCCTAGTTGCATAGGAGGAGGTGGGAAAGAGTCCTGGCTTCTGTCATGGGAAAGCCAGGACTCACAAAATAGGTAATTCTTCACATAGGAAGGGCATTCCAAGGTGTAAGGCAGCCAAAAATATATTAATCATCTACCCCATAGCACCTTGAATAAAGTGTCTTTTTCCTCCTAACATTTCTAAATCCATTCCTCTTGACCAAGAAGTGGAGTGCCTGAATACTGTAGCTACTAAGAAATTTTTAGAGTTCAAACAACCCTCAGAACTTTCCAATTCTAGAACAGTTTTTACGCAGTGATTTAGTAGGACACAGGCAAAGGTAACCTAGCCCATTTAGCTGCTATAAGAAGTAATTAGCAACTTCAATTATGCCAGAGTCCTTAAATGGACTTCAGGCTCTTCCATGTCTGCCTCGCCTCACTTTTTTTTTTTCAAAAGTAGTTTTGTTTTTCTTCTTGTTTTTCCTTAAGGGCCTAGTGATACCTATCTACTAATAGTAAAGTTTCACTTTTCTTATCAGTTGATATTTTACTAATTCACAAATTCATCTAAAAAATATATAAGTGGGCCAGACGTGGTGGCTCACACCTATAATCCCAGCACTTTGGGAGGCCGAGGTGGACGGATCACTTGAGGTCAGGAGTTTGAGACCAGCCTGGCCAACACAGTGAAACCCTGTCTCTATTACTAATACAAAAATTAGCCAGCCCTCGTGGTAGGTGCCTGTAATCCCAGCTACTCAGGAGGCTGAGGCAGGAGAATCACTGGAACCCGGGAGGTGGAGGCTGCAGTGAGCCGAGATCATGCACCATTGCACTCCAGCCTGGGCAACAGAGTGAGACTGTCTCAGGAAAAAAAAAAAAAAAAAAAATATATATATATATATATATATATACATACACACACACACACACACACACACACACACACACACACACACATATATATGAATGAAAGAACCCCAAGTTAAGGTACTATCTATAAAAGCTCATTGGAAAAAAAAGTGAAATTGTTATAATGCATAATATTACCAAAGTATAACAAAATGAGATTTATTAACAAATTGCATTCTAATAATATACTACATTAGTCAGAAATTTGTAGATACACCACACTTCCAGAAATCTGACTGAGTTCATTTGGGTTCTCCAGGGGCAGGCTATTCAAGTGCAGGTAGTTTATTTGGGAGGTGAAAGGAGCACTGATAAGAGAGTGAGGAGATGAGACCAAGAAGGGTTAGGTAGCCAATACAGGGTGTGTTACCACACCAGCTATCAATGTGGGAGGCTGAGCTCAATCCCACTGCCACCGGAGGACCTTTGGGAGCCAGCATAGATCCCACTCCTCAGAGTTGTCCCAGCTAAAGAGTGAGGGAGGACTTGAGGGCTGATCCTGCGGGTGTTAATTTTCAGGCCTGCTGACTTCACAAAGTGGGTTCCAGCAGCAAGAGTTCTTGCCCTCGGATAAAAGAAGATGCTGCTGGTTGGAAATCATGCTAGAGTAGACTGGTGAGGGTCTGCAACCATGGTTTCCTAACTGACCCAAGCCTCCTAACACTTGACCTACATAAGATTTGACCTAGTAGTTAGTCTTTTTATCTGCTAAGAGAACTATTTGGATCAGATGTTTTCTAAAGTTTCTGTGATTGTCTTCAGTTTCCTCATTTGCTTGAACTCCCTGGATGGAGTTACATGCTTATTTCTTGTTACTATTATAACGTAAATGAGATGTCTAATGCTTCTGCTATGTAGGAAAATTAAGTTCTAGGATATATTTGTGATATGTGGTATCAAAATCTCTGATTTCCTTTTTTGGGGTGTTACTACTCTACTCTGGTACATTTTATTGCAACAGTTTCCTAAAGCCACGAATAAGAAAAGATGTTTGTTACATATCTACAGAAGCTTATTTCAGAGAAGATGAATACAGGGGATACTGCAGAAGCTTTTCTCCTTAACAAAAAAAATCACTCTGGGCCTATGGCATGAATATGAAGTGCAGATATAAATGCTTGTCCAATACTCTTTCTTTGAAGACAGGATGTTAAGTTTACTACAGTCTTGTTCTGATAAGCATCTGATCATGGTTCTTGAGATTGAAGATATTTTTGCTTTGGAGCTGGGGCTGGCATGGCCACATGGTTTCCTTCTGATGGGCTTTGGCTCCATTCTGCTCCTGCTAAGCTGGTGACAATGGCTGTGTCCTCTCCTATGGGCTGTATCTTCCTTCTACTCTTGGCTTCTTTCTCTCTTCCTCTGTCCTCTCCCTTTCTTGCTATCTTTTCTCTTCCTTGTATTTTCTTCTCTTCTGCCTTCTTGGTTTCTCCCTCTTTCTCTCCCTCTTTTTCTCCTAGGTTTGGGACACTTCCCTAGTCTGTTTCTCATCTCTTATCAGTTAATTTTGGTCCCCATAAAATTAGGAAGAACCCCCAGCTCAGTGCCAGTTGTTTTTATCTGGGTTACATTCTCTTTTCTGGGTAAAGTGGTTGGGATTGTTCCATGGCTTTAGAAAAATAAGCAGATGAGATTTTTTTGGCTTCTCTTCTTACCTGTGGTTGCCATATTTAGCAGATAAAAATACAGGACACCCTACTAAATTGTAATTTCAGATAAGCAACAAATTTTTTTACCAAAACTATATCCCAGATATTACATGGGACATACTAAAAAATTATTTAATAAAGTGAAGAGTGCAATTATTATTGTGGTAAGTTATAGAATAGAAATTTAAAAGCTACTACTAAAGGCAGTTCTCATCCATCATATACAGTCTTTGTGATTAACTTGTATGTGATTACGTCGAATATTTTGATATGTACTTAAGGAGTTCTGTGTGGTGTTTGTTATAATGAGAATTTAATATGTCTCATATACTGGCACACAACAATGACAGTTCTGTGTTTCTCTATTTTTCATTACATCTTTATCACTTGGGCTTAATTTTAGGGACATAATAATTAATGGTGTGGTAATTCTCAAATTCTGCCCTCCCAATCATTCCTTCCCTCTTGGCCTGTCCCTGCCATGGATGATTCTAGAGAGAGCTATACATGAAAGAAAAAAAAATAACAAATGGAAAACAAGGTAATACAATCTCATTACCTGTGACAATGTCCCCATGTTGAGCCGTAGTAAAGATGGCATGGACCATGTGGTTTAGGTTCAGGGACTGTGTGAGGCCCCTACTTCCCTCTGAGTGGTGCCAAAATGTGAATAGAGTGAGGAAGACATCCATGCAGGAGAGCAGACCTGGCATGAGGTGTCAGAACCTTAGCAGCATGAGGAGAGCATCCATTTGGAAAGAAGAAATGGGGTGGGATATTATAGCCCAAGTGGAGTGAGGCGGATATCCACAAAAGATAGGGGACAATAGCAGCAATGTGAAATGTTACATACAGGGAAACTGACCAAGTAAATAAATGCATTAAGGAGAATGGGGCCAGGTGCGGTGGCTCACACCTGTAATCCCAGCACTTGGGGAGGCCGAGGTGGGCGGATCACTTGAGGTCAGGAGTCTGACACCAGCCTCGCCAACATGGTGAAATCCCGTCCCTACTAAAAATACAAAAATTCACCAGGTGTGGTGGCACACACCTGTAATCCCAGGTACTCGGGAGGCTGGGGCAGGAGAATTGCTTGAACTCAGGAGGCAGAGGTTGCAGTGAGCTGAGATTGTGCCATTGCACTCCAGCATGGGTGACAAAGAGAGACCTTGTTAAAAAAAAAAAAAAAAAAGGATAATGGGAGACAGGGAGACAGGTTTCTCACTGTTGGAGATGGGAGATATAAATATGAAAAGGGAAAAAACTTGAATGAGCACAGTGGTGCTCATGGTGTTGGACTGGAATCAAAGATATTGGTGTGAACTCATGAATTTCAATAAATATAGATGAATATAGAAATATACATGAAAATGAGAGTATATATATATATATATATATATATATATAACCCTAGCTTGGTCCATTGAGAGGGCATGGGAACAAAAATGTTCTGGGAAGGAGGTATGTGAATGGATCTATTAGAGTGGGAACGAAGTATGAGATCTTTGTCCACCAGACAACACCCACTGTAGAAGAAGCATTAATAACCACGTGGACAGGATGACTTGGCCAGTAGATGTCAGCCAGCTTCTGTCACCAGCCATCCCATTTACTCAAGAACAGGGTAGTCATAAGCAGAGATGGATACTACATCTAGGCCCAATAGCAGATAAAGCCTTTCCTGTCACTGAATGTCTGACCTTCCAGCAGAGAAATAAAAACTGATCCCCTGACATCGTACTATCCCTTGAGGAGACGCACCAAGCACCTGATAGCAAGGTGATTCCATCAGACACTTCCTACTCGAAAAAAGTCAATGATTCATCCTGATCAGGATTGGTGCATAATGCAGGTATGGGTTTGCCTTTCCTACCTACAGTGTCTCTGCAAGCACCACTAACTGAAAACTCACCACTTGTCTGGTATCTTGACATAGGATCTAAAAAACACCACCTTGGAATACGCAAACCCTTTACGGAAAAGAAGGTGTGGTAATGGGCGCCTGAACATGAGATCCACTGGTCCTACTGCATTCCTCATCATACAGAAGATGCCAGCTTGATAGAGCTCTGGAAAGGACACTTAAAGGTACAAATCATGTGCTAGGTAGTAGGTAGAAACCTTGTGAGAGGGGTACTATCCTTCAGGATGTGTAGACAGCTTCAATAGCCAGTTTAAGGTACTGTGTCCCAAGCAAGTAGACTACCTGGGCCGAAGGACCAAGGGGTAGAAGTAGGAGTAGCACTTCTCTCCATCATTACCAGTGATCTACTTGGGGACTTTGTGCTTCCTATTCTCCCAGCTTTTGGGCCTAGAAGTCCTAGTCTTCATCAAGAAAACATTTCCAACAGGGGTACATCAAGATACCCACTACACTTATAGCTGTGGCTGCCACCTGGTCATTCAAGGCTCCATGTGCCAGTAGACTAGCAGGTACACAAAGGAGTGCCCATACTGCCAGATGTAGTTGACTCTGGTTATTATGGGCAGGTAAGCCTGATGCAAAATGGGAGTGCAAGGAATATACTTGGTGCTCAGGTGATCTAGTGAGGCATCCCGTGGTTCTCCTATGCCCAGTTTCAACTGCAAATGGGCAAGTGCAACCATATACTGATAAGGCACAGTAAGCTGGGGCCCAGCGCCTCAGTGATGTGGATCAGGGTCACCCCCTCCTCGCTAACAAGCCAACTAGACTAGCAGAAGTACTAGCCAAGGATGAGGGGAATCTAGAAAAAGTTGTGAAGGATGGTGATAATGAGTATTGATTATAGCTTGGGAACAATTGCCACAGCAGAAATCTACTTTCTTCTCCTGACCTTCCTCTTGGAAGTTTCCCCAGATATTGTGACTAACTAGAATCCTGGAGAAGTTGTATCTAGATGGAGTGGGTTAAATGTGAAAAGCCAGTGGATCTGTGCACAGCACAGTACAGACTGTTGTAGATGCTGCTGGTGTTCCACCCAGATGACCTATACCTGACCTATGCACAAGGTCACCTAGCAAGGTGATTCCATTAGGCACCTCCTACTCAAAAACAGTCAATGATTCATCCTGATCAGGATTGATGCATAATGCAGGTATGGGTTTGCCTTTCCTACCTACAGGGTCTCTGCAAGCACCACTTGCATCTTCCACCTCCAAGTCCGAGGCCTAGGATGTTTGGGAGGTTTTATGCTCCCCTCCCAAGGGTGGACAATGACGGTCTGTCACAGGAAGGACAGCTCTGCACTGTGATTTATGCCCTAGAGCATGCCTTCCAACATAGACACACACACACACACACACACACACACACACACACACACACACTCCAGTGGATCAGGCCAAGGCTAGACTTTACCAGAGACCATAACCATGCTCGGTTCCTTCCCCTTCCCTATTCTGCCTGTCTCATCCCTTACAAGTTTTTTTCCTGAAGAATATTCACTAATAACACACATGCCCTAAACTCTCTTACACGATCTAGTCTAAGGCTATGCCATTGCTATTTCTCTGGGAGGCAAAAAACAATTTTCAAGTTTACTTAGACCAACTGGAAGACTAATTCAACAATGGGTGGATTTCAGAAGAGATGAAAATCCTATAGTACATTTAGGGGAAATAAAAAGATTTCTCCAAATAGAAATTTATGATACTGAAGTACTAGTTAAGACTAAACATGGAGAAAAAAGATCCAGCCTCAGTTGATTTCATAAACCAAACATTAATTAGCAGTGACAGTGCTATTGTTAAAAGCAGAAGTACTCTGAAGAAATATAATGTCTGAACAGCCAATAAAAAGTCTTCCATTATTTTCTGAATTGGTCAAACTCTTAATATAGTAGTATATCCTATTTGATAAAAGAGAGTGTGAAGAAGGCTGGGCGTGGTGGCTCATGCCTGTAATCCCAGCACTTTGGGAGGCCAAGGTGGGTGGATCACCTGAGGTTGGGAGTTCGAGACCAGCCTGACCAATATGGAGAAACCCCGTCTCTACTAAAAATACAAAATTAGCCGGGCGTGGTGGCACATGCCTGTAATCCCAGCTACTCGGGAGGCTGAGGCAGGAGAATGGCTTGAACCCGGGAGGCAGAGACTGCGGTGAGCTGAGATCACACCATTGCACTCCAGCCTGGGTAACAAGAGGGAAACTTCGTCTCAAAAAAAAAAAAAAAAAAAGAGAGAGAGAGTAAAGAAACTAGACCATGTAGGGTACAGCAACACAACTGATTAAAGTGCAAACAGTAGGCTCTATGTGCAGAAGATCTTTGAGAGGAGAAGCATTTTATCATTGACATTGTTAGGAATTGCTGGTGAATGCTGATAAAAAGTAGACTGATTTTTAGTCAATTATATGATTGTTTTAAAATTCTCTACAGACAATACAACTTCCTATTGCCTGTGCCCACAGAGACTGCTCCCTGCTCTTTGCTCTTGGTATAATACAACAATGATTTTCTCACCTGACAAAAGACTGGAGAAACGTAACAAGAATGTTTTAGAACATTGCTATGCAAGGCAGGGTCTATGGACCGGAACTGGTCTGTGACAAGGTAAGTACAGAAATCTAGAGTAACCTCTTAGGCATTTTTTATAGCAATTTTATTTTCCTGATATCCAGTATCACCTTCTAATAATTCATTTCCACTGTATTTTATAAAATCTACTGGGCTGTGACAGAAAATTTTAAGAGACTGCCCTTCACCATGAGTATTTTGAGAAATATTAGTTTATAAGTGTCCTGTTGATACACTCTGGAGTATCTTGATCAAACAAGATTGTGACTTCTCATGAATCTATGAATCTGAAAACATACCAAATGGCTAGGCTTGGGAAAAGAATGGACTAGATGTCACCAAAGCTGGATATTAGAACATAGTGCTATTACATTAGGACAATTTTAAACATCTGATTCTATCCTGGGACAAACTTACTATGGTTCTCCTAGAATAAAGCTCGTTAATATTGAGGAGATAAAGATGTGAATTTCCTTTCCTGAAGGTAACAGACTGAAATGTGAACAGTGCTCACCTTGAATTCTTTCATAGGGTAGAATACGGGCAATTGGAAGGATGCCGTGAATATAATTAATAATATATGGATGACTGTGTGCAAAAAAGAGTAGGAGGGATTCACTGTTCGATCCCAGAGCAGTGATAGCTGGGCTGACTAAGACAGTATATAATGGAAGACATTTCTGACTGAAATAATTAGGGGAAGAATGAAAACGTCAGTCTCTTAGTGACAAGAATTTCTTTTTACTCCAATTTTAGTTAAGACTCCCCCCTCGGTTCTTCTGTCATTTGAAATTTTCTTAAAGTAGTTTGGCATTTCCTTTTCAAAATGCCACCAGTCATGATTCAGGTAGCAATTTAGCTTCACAATCCTAGCTTTTTCTGTGTTAGAACACAGAGTAGAAAGAAGGAATATTTATCTCACAGGGGATTTTAAATCTGTGACTTAAAAAATTCTACTATAGATATTACAGAGTATAATTATTAGTTATCTTCAACTTCATTATTCATCCATTCACTTCATACTTTATGGCGTAATAGGAAATAATCTTTTGGCATATGAATAGAGTAAATGAATAGAAAATAGACTGGAATAAATTTAAGTCAGAGGAATGCAAGATATTCTTGCCTATGGGGGGAAAAGTTTATTTTTTTCTTTTTGAATCTATTATGTTTGAAAAACAGTCTAAAAAACATCCATTGTTCAATTCATTCCAGCAGTCAATGAAGCTAAAACACATAGATATATCAGTGTCCAAATGCTTTATTCTTACAGTGTTTCTTGCAAAACACAAGCATGTTTTACTGTTTTCTTCTTTTACTATTTTTTTAAAAAGACAGATCAGAGATATTTCTTAGATTACCACAGGCTCTATAGAAAACATTTTTGATCCAATAACCCATCATCCAATCTGGAGTTCTGTCTATAGTCAAATGGCTACTACCAACCAACAAATATACTATCATATGTTTAATAAATGTACAAAAAAGCCCTAATATTAAATATCTATCTCAGGACCTTGTTCAACATCGAGTTCCACTAAATAATCAGTCTTGCCTTTTTGAAATTCTTTATATGTCGTATTTGAATTTTTCCTGTAATCATTTAGCCCCTCTTTCTAATAGCTTTATAGCGTATAGGTTCTTTCAATAATTACTTTGGTAACATTGGACAATGTATGAGACTCACAATCACAGCTACTTGGTAGTTTTCTGATTGAACTTGAAACTTGCTGGATTTTTCTTTTCTCCTCTCAACTTTTTAGATTTAGGGAGTGCATGTACAGGTTTGTTACAAGGGTATATTGTGTGATGCTGAGATTTGGGGTACAATTGAACCCATTTCCCAGGTAGTGAGCACAGTACCCAATAGGTAGTTTTCAACCCTTGCCTCCCTCCCTCCCCACTCTAGTAGTCCCCAGTGTCTACTGCTCCTATCTTTATATCCATGAGTACCCAATGTTTAGCTCCCACTTATAAGTGAGAACATGTGGTATTTGGTTTCCTGTTCCTGTTAGTTAACTTAGGATAATGGCCTCCAGCTGCACCCACGTTGCTGCAAAGGACATTGATTTCATTATTTTTTATGGCTGTGTAGTATTTCATATATACACCACATTTTTTCTGTATCCAATATACCATTCATGAGTATCTAGGTTGGTTGGTTCCATGCTTTACTATTGTGAATAGTGCTGCGATGAACATACAGGTAAATGTGTCCTTTTGGCAGAACAATTTATTTTCTTTTGGATATATACCCAGTAATAAGATTGCTGGGGTTGAATGGTAGTTCTAAGTTATTTGAGAAATCTCCAAACTGCTTTCCACAGTGGATTAACTAATTTACCTTCCTACTAACAGTGTATAAATGTTCGGTTTGAGATCTTTCTAACTTCTTGATGTGGGTGTTTAGCACTATAAACTTTCCTCGTAACACTGCTTTCTACATCCCAGAGCTTTGGTATGTCTCTGTGGTTTTTTTTGTTTTGTTTTGTTTTTTCGACAGAGTCTCACTCTGTCACCAAGGCTGGAATGCAATGGCACGATCTCGGCTCACTGCAACCTTTGCCTCCCGGGTTCAAGCGATTCTCCTGCCTTAGACTCCCGAGTGGCTGGGACTACAGGTGTGCACCATCACACCCAGCCAATTTTTATGTTTTTAGGAGACACAGGGTTTCACCATGTTGGCCAGACTGCTCTTGAACTCCTGACCTCAAGTGATCTGCCTACCTTGGCCTCCCAAAGTGCTGGAATTACAGGCATGAGCCACCGCACTGGGCTGTGTCTCTATGTTTACTCATTTCAAAGAAGTTTTTGATTTCTGCTTTAATTTTATTGTGTACCCAAAAGTTACTCAGGAGCAAGTTGTTTAATTTCTGTGTAATTGTGATTTTGAGAGATCTTCCTGGTATTGATTCTATTTTTATTCCACTGTGGTCTGACAGTATGTTTGGTATGATTTCGATGTTTTTGAATTTATTGAGACTTGCTTTACTGCCGAGCATGTGGTTGATTTAGAGTATGTTCCATATGCCAATGAGAAGAATGTATATTCTGTGGTTGTTGGGTGGAGTATTCTGTAGATATCTATTAGGTCCAATTGGTCAAGTGCCAAATCCAGAATTTCCTTGTTAGTTTTCTGCCTTGATCTGTCTAATGCTGTCAGTGGAGTGTCGAAGTCCCCCACTATTTTTATGTGGCTAAGTCTTTTCATAGGTCTACGAGTACTTGATTTAAGAATCTAGGTGCTCCAATGTTGGCTGCAAATACATTTAGAAGAGTTAAGTCTTCTTCTTGGATTGAATCCTTTATCATTATGTAATGTCCTTCTTTGTCCTTTTTTACTATTGTTGGTTTAAAGTCTGTTTTATCTCATGTAAGAATAGTACCTCCTGCTCTTCTCTGAATTTCATTTGTACAATAGATCTTTCTCCCATTCTTTACTTTGAGCCTATGGGTATCATTACATGTGAGATGGGTCTCTTAAAGACAGCAGCCATTTTTTTTATCCAACTTGTTACTCTGTGCCTTTTAAGTGGAGCATTTAGATCATTTACATTCAAGGTTAATGTTGACATGTGAGATTTTGCTCCTGTCATGACATTTTTAGCTGGTTACTTTGTAGTCTTGATTGTGTAGCTGCTTTATAGGGTCTTTGGGCTATGTACTTAAGTGTGCTTTTGTGGTAGCAGGTATCATTCTTTCATTTCTATGTTTAGAACTCCCTTAAGGATATCTTGTAAGATTGGACTTGTGGTAATGAACTCCCTTTGTATGTGCTTGTATGGAAAAGATTTTCTCTTTCACTTATTAAGCTTAGTTTGGTGGGGTATGAAATTCCTGGTTGTAATTGCTTTTCTCTAAGGGTGTTGAAAATAGGCCCCCCATCTCTTCTGCCTTGTAAGGTTTCTGTTGAGAAGTCCCCTGTTCCCTGCGTTCCCTTTGTAAGTGATCTAACCCTTTTCTCTGTCTGCCTTTAAGATTTTTTTCTTTTGCTTTGACCTTGGAACATCTGATGACTATGTGTCTTGGGGATAGTCATCTTGGATAGTATCTTGCAGGGGTTCTCTGAATTTGCATGTTGATCTCTAGTGAGACTGGGGAAGTCCCCTGTTCCCTGGGGTTCCCTTTGTAAGTGATCTAACCCTTTTCTCTGTCTGCCTTTAAGATTTTTTTCTTTTGCTTTGACCTTGGAATATCTGGTGACTATGTATCTTGGGGACAGTCATTTTGGATAGTATCTTGCAGGGGTCTCGCAATTTATTGAATATGCATGTTGATCTCTAGTGAGATTGGGGGAATCTTCATGCAATATATCCTCAAATATGTTTTCCACATTGCTTACTCTCTCTCCTCAGGAATGCCAATAAATTGTAGGTTTAGTCTCTTTACATAATCCCATATTTCTCAGAGGTTTTGTTCAATTTTTAAAGTTATTTTTTCTTTATTTTTGTCTGACTGGGTTGATTCAAAGGACCAACCTTTGAGCTCTGAAATTTTTTCCTCAGCTTGGTCTAGTCGGTTGTTAAGGCTTCCAATTGTATTTTGAAATTCCTATGGTGAGTTTTTCAATTGCAGAAGTTCAGTTTGGTTCTTTCTTAAAATGGCTATGTCATTTTTCAACTCTTGGATAGGTTTACTGGCTTCCTTGGATTGGGTTTCAGCTTTCTCTTGAATCTCATCGAGCTTCCTTGCCATCTAGCTTCTGAATTCTATGTTTGTCACTCAGAAATTTCAATTGGGTTAGGATCCATTGCTGGGAAGCTAATGCAATCCTTTGGAGGTAAGGAAACACTCTGAATTTTTTAACTGCTGTAGTTCTTGCACTGATTCCTTCTCATCTGAGGGTTGATGTTTCTTTATCTTTTTGAAGTTGCTGTCATTTGGATGGGGCTTTTTGTGTTATATTCTTTTCTTTCCTTGAGGGTTTGACTGTGGTGTGTACTATGTATAGTCAATTGGCTTCATTTCTAGGGGATTTCAAAGGGTCAAAGCTCTGTATGTGTTCCTCAGTTGTGGCTAGTTTCCTATACTGGGTTTTGCAGATGTGTGCTGAAGAAATTTTTCTTCGGTGGTGTAATTCAGGCTGTGATCCTAGAGATGGTGCTTAGGAGGGAGTGCGGGCAGACAGGTGGCTTTTACTCAACCATGAGCTTCTTTTATATTTCAGTGCCTTCGCAGCAGTGCTCTGGGGAGAGGGGGACAACAGGAGGTGACAAGAGATAACCTCCTCACCAAGTCCCTTTCAGGGCCTTGGGCAAGTACCTTCCAATCATTGGTGCTGCACCCACATTTCCATAGCCCCAAGGGAGGCCGTGGCAGGCTATACTCCCCCGTCCCTTGAGGGTGGCCTCAGCCAAAGGTTAGGTCACCAGAAAGCCTGCAACTCCCTGGGGACCTGCTGTTCCTCTGTGCCTGGCAGAGTCATAGCAGGTTGTGGGGTATGTCTGTGGGTGGTGTGGTGATGCAGTGGGTCAAGGGTGGCAGATCTCTGGGCAGGGTGGTGGTGCTGGGTGTGTAGCTAGTGTGGTGCCCATGCCTCAGGGGTTTTTTGCCCAGCAACAGCTGTGGGGCCCTCCCAGTTCACACTGCCCTGAGCAGATCTCCCTCTAGTGTCTGCCCCAGGAGCAAGCCCACTCAGCTAGATTTGCAAACCCTGAGACTTCTGTGGCAGACTATGGGGCTCCCTTGGGCAGAAGCTGTAGCTGGTCAATAGGCTACAACCCTCCCAGACTGGTCTTGCAAAGGGAGAGATGCCCAGCTCCTGTGCTGGCTCATGAACCTGTGCCTCACTCTTCTCAGTATTCTGAGAGTGGGGACTCCTCCCCCACTTGAACTCAGACCACAGAGTTCAGCTTGATACCCCTGGGCAGTGTGCTAAACCCTGCAGGGTTGGGACCAGGCCCATAGCTTTGTCTTCTGGCCCCTTGGGGTTGAGCACCAGTTGTGCTGGGGGTGCCAAAATACTCCCAGGCCACTGGCAAAACACTCAGGCAGAGCAGTAGGGGCTGTGCTTTGTGTGCCTGCTTACAGGAGGGCGGCCAGCAGGCAAGGGGGCAGGCAGATCAGATATGCCTTGGTCCCATGGGAAAGGCAATCCTGCCTTCTCCCAGCCCAGCAGTCAGCAGGGGCTAGA
Organism: Homo sapiens; assembly: GCF_000001405.40. Taxonomy (NCBI): domain Eukaryota; kingdom Metazoa; phylum Chordata; class Mammalia; order Primates; family Hominidae; genus Homo; species Homo sapiens. The sequence continues at coordinate 51,204,132 of NC_000014.9, forward strand.
GCCTCTCAGAGCAAGATGGAGAGCCCTGGGGGACGGGCGCCTGTGGCTGTTTTGCTACAGCTACCCCATATTTGAAACCTTTGTTGGTTTCATGTTGCATGTTGTGCATGTTGTGCATGTTGCAGCTCTGCCTCTGCCTACTCTCCAGGCAGTCTCCTTGCCAATTCGAATGTCTGTGGGGTTCATGGGATCTCTTGGAGCTAAAATCCCAGAGTTCCATAGTGGGAGTGTGGTGCCCCAGAGGTCCTTTGCTAACCCCTTCCTTAGGACCTGTTCAGGTCTGGGAGCCAGTCCTGGCATTTGGCAATTCCGTGCAGGCTTCCCAGCTTCCTTATTCTTCAACCTTGGTGTCTGCATTGCCGCTCTATGAACTTTCAGTGTTTTCTCTCAAAAGATCCGTTCGAAGTCTGATGGTTTATTCAACATTTTGTTTTCTGTGGATGGAAGAGGGGTTTCCTGGCTGCATCTAGTCAGCCATCTTGTCCCTCTCCTCGAGATTAGCCTGGACTTTTCTTACCCCTCCATATACCACAGGAGGCAATGCAGGACTCTCCTGACTGAAGCAAAGCAGAATCTACAGGGGAAATGGAAGGAAATAAAGCAGGCGGAGGAGTCTTCTGGGAGTTTGTTCCCTATGGAAATGTTTCAGATCTCCAAGGCTTCCTATTTGTAATCCAATTCCCCCCTGTGGCTAATAATTTCTGGCTGTTTATTTATTATTTCCAGAGGGAACGTTACCCTTAACAATAAATACCATACCATATCAGAAGAGAGACCAAATAAAAATGGCAAGTGGGTGAATGTAGAACTTACCAACTCACACATTAATTATCCCTGGTGAGATGAAGGGTGGGAGAGCTCAAAAGGCTTTGCAAAGCTCAATTTCAAATGGCTGGTAGATCCCCACAGGCCTTGCGAGGCAGAGGGCAGAATGGGGAAGAAACTATTGCATATGGCTTTTATTATATTTGTAAAAAATGGAACCATCTGTATTAGAAAATTTTGGAAAGATATTAAAAATCTAAAATTTTATGTTTTATATAAATATAAAATAAAAAAGAAATCTCATTTCTTTATAAAAATCTCAAACAGAAAGACATGCCAATGGAAAATTAAAGTTTAATCTGTATAAATTTCCTTTGTCATTTAAGGAAAATTAATGATTGAGCCAGTCCACGCATTTATCACATTTGAAGTCTAAAACTCTTTTTCCATAACGAGAAAGAAATACTCATTTTTCTTGGCTAAACCACTTTGAATAGAGTGTACTTTTTAAAAAAATCAGAAATTCTGGACTCTGAGGCATAGTAAGCACACTGGTGATCAGCTGTTACTGTGCGCGTTCTTCGGTTTCAATAGTGCTTGACTCAGCAGCCCTCTCTCGCAAAAATGGGGGGAAACATGACCTTTTAAAGCCATGGTAGGAACAGTGTGCCCCTCTGCCTCGAATGAGTATGTTCCAGCAACCAGAATGCACATCAGAGGGCAGGGAGGCCAGAGCCCATCTGCTGCTCTGGTCTGGAAGGAGCCACGCCACAGGCAGGTCAGGAGTAGGGTCAGATCTTGTGGTGAAGAGCAGTCCAGTTCCAACCCCCACCAGAACTAATTCCCCATTACTCTCGACTGCTTTTAATATCATGTGAACATATGCTGTGCCAGAGACCACATGGGCGGCTAGCTGTGGCAGGCAAGAAGGCTGTGGCAAGAGGAGGTGAGGGGGAAGTGACGAAGGCTTGTGTCTCCACTCTGCCCAGGAAATATGTCACCAGGTGCCTTGTTTTAGACAGAAAAAAAAAAAAAAAAGAAAGCCAACTGTTTTTCCTACTCTCATACTCACCACACAACATACTCTCAATACTTCACTTCTAAAACCAGATGTGTGGCTTTTTCCCCACTTACCAAGAAATTGTCCAGTGGACACCACCTAGGTGTACAATTCATTCGGACACTAGCTACCTGGAGTTACAGTCAGATCCCTCAGGTTAAGGGCTCAGTCCCACAGGACTGTCCCCTCTTCAGATGACAATCCTAAGTCTGGGTCCCTGAAACTTCTGTCCAGCTGGCTCTAATTAGGGTTCCCATGGCCTGCTTCTTGGGTTCAATTAATTTGCTAGAGCAGCTCACAGAACTCAGGGAAACCGTTTACTTACATTTACTGGCTTATTATCAAGGACATTACAAAGGGTACAAATGAACAGCCAGATGAAAGAGATGCATAAGGCAAGGTATGAAGGAAAAGGCAGGAGTTTCCATGCTCGCTTTGGATGTGCCATCCTCTAGGCACCTCCACCTTTTCAGCAACCAGGAAGCTCTCTGATCTCTGTAATTCAGGGATTTTTATGAAGGCTTCATCATGTAGGCATGATCGATTCACTCAGTCTCCAGCCCTCTTCCCTCTCTGAAGGATGGGAAAGGGGACAGAAAGTTCCAAGCTTCTAATCAGGCTTGGTTTCTCTGGTGGATGGCCCCCATCCAGGAGACCTCAAAAAGTCACTTCCTTAGAACAAAAGACACCACTATCACCCAGGAAATTCCAAGGGATTAGGAGCTCTGTGTCAGGAACCAGGGACAAAGAGCAAATATTTGAGTAAAAGATGCACCTAGCACCACTATTGCTTGGGAAATTACAAGGCTTTAGGAGCTCTGTGCCAGGAACTGGGGGTAGTGACCAAATATATATTTTTCTTGTTATTTCATAGCCCTACTCATAAAAATGGTGATGGGCTCAGCATTTTCTATGTTCAATATCTGATGCAATATTAGATACACCCATCTCTTGTGATAGCTCAGAAGTTACCACTAGTATATAGCACCTCCTTACTCCTAAAACCCAGCTTCTGGAGTAATTAAAACTACCATGTACTTCAAGATGAATTCAGATGCCTCAATTTTTCTAAACTTGAAGGTTCTAGGTGGCTAAGAGACCTCCTTTTGGTGGATAATTTTTTTCTTTGAGATTTTTATTGTTTGTTGTTAAATACACTGAACACATACAAGGGATGGCTATAATTTATCTATGTTGGAAAAATAAAAAAGCTACAACTTACTTGGTTATGGTCATTTGAGTACAAAGAGCCTGATATAAGTATCGACCCTAAGTTTCCTCACCTATTCATCTCACACTCATGTTTCAATTTATATTGGTCCAGATTTTCTTTCCTGAATTTTAATATTCACTGTTTACAGCTGTTCCATTGATTATCTCTCATTTGTTTCCCAGAAGGCATGTTTTCTCCAAAAGTACCTCACAAATAACTTTTTCCCATTCTCCCATTCAGGGAGGATATGTTCTTTTTAAAGGATAGATATGGTGGCACAATTTGTTCTCAAATCCAAATGATATAAAATTGTCTCTGAGCCACTGCTCAAATTTCTATTTTTATATCTCTCCCTGCTTTTGTAAAAGATACCTCCTCTGAACACAACTCAGATTTCTGTTCTTTTTGGTAACATGTATGCAACATCTTCAGTTTTTTTTTAAGAACTATTTTTAGTTTATCTAATTTTAATAATCCCTGTGTTTCATCAGGGGGAACCAGAATTTCTGTTGAATCATGTGCCGTAACAAAGGAGTGGGTAACAAATCCTTAAAACGTTATTTTACTTCTTATGAATGATAATGATCTTGAATGTTGATTATCGTCATAGGCTATTGCTCAAGAGGATGCCCAACTTATTTGCTGACAGATTGTGGCATCTTATGAAGAGGAACAGGTGTTTAGCTTAGGGGTTGGGGTTTTATTTACCTGGGGAGTCACTAATGTGCCAACATCCCTCATGTAGGCTTTTTGTAGATGAGGCCTCCCCTGGGGCACGTCTGTAAGAACTCCCCTTCCCTCTAGTTCTGGGAGGGGCTCTTCCCACGGAATGTGGCTGCTCCCTCCCTTCTTCTCCTTTCCCTCCTCTTCCTCTATCCCAACTGCTGCTGTCTGAAGGTCTGGACTGATTCTGTCTTAATGCTCAGACTGACCAAATTAGAACCAGGAAGCATTTGAGCAGATTAATAAAATATCCTTCCCAACTTGCCAGAACCCCCAAGGGTCTGATTCCAGCTCTTGTGCCCTTTTTGAGAGGAAAGCCCCAGACTATGACTTGAGTTTTGAGATGGAAGTCGCAATAAATGTTCACAAATCAACAATGTTATCAATGATGCGTCTGGTCTCTAGGACTATTAGCACGTTATTGCAATTCATCTGTTTAATTCCTATGAGAACTGGAAAAGTCTGACAAAGGAAAACACAGAAGATGATACACTGTTTTCATATAAGACTTCCTTCATGGAGAAGAGATTTCTAGTTTCACTGAAGATTACCAAAAGCTATCAATTTATTATAGATCCAGTTGTATCTGCTGCTCAGTTTATATTTCCCAACCTATTTCCAGTGTCCAGATAATATGTTCCCTCTGGGAAGGAAACTTATAATCCACATACAACATTTCCCTCTGGTACTTGTAAAGTGTTTCCTTCAGTTTCTGTCAGCTGTATTTTAAGATGGGGAGCACTACTAGTAATTTGGAGCTTGTCTGAAAGATGTAAGACTAGTAGACAGATCACTCAGATAACACAAAACATAGTTCAAAAAAGTAGATAATGGCTGTCTACACCTACTGCCCTCAAAAATATGAACAAGAACTTCCAGAAGACAGAAACATATCCAAAGGAAGTCAAGACAAAGTAATGCATTTTGGATATATACTACCTTCATGAAATGGAATTTAATTCTGGTAATACTATAAAAATTTTCAGGTTAGAATGGAAAAATCTTTTACTAAAGAGATAGTCTGATCTTTGGGAGATGCGCTTTTGAGTAGAATATTATTTGTTTGCATTATACTTCATGGAGAGGAAATCTGACATTTTGAAAGATTAATATCATTGGATCTTCAGAGCATAAAAGAGAAATAACAGGTTGTCTAAGTGAATGGAAAGCATAAGCTCCCAAATATGACACACTCTAAGTCTCATTTTGACGCACTTTAAGTTTCACAGAAAGTATAACAGGTTGCAGATCTACCTTTAAAATTTCAGCTACACATCATACTGGGGAGCTATTTCCTATAACTATGGTGTTAATACATTTCATGTTATGTATTAATCAGTGACACCCTGATGTGTCAGGGAGCCAGCTGTACCCAGCAGGTTCTCACAACCTAGCAGATGGCCCAGGGTTCAAACATACTACAACACCTGTTCTTCAGGAGACTCCTAGCCCAGGCCTTTTCCTTAAACTCAAAGAGCTTTTTTTTTCAACTATGTGTGGAAATAATTCTATTATCTTATATTACACAAGAACAGAATTTGTATTTCAGGTTTCTGTTGGTGGTTGGGAAGGCAGGGATGAAAAGGAATATTTCTGAGCCCACAGTAGCAAATAAATGGAAGTAAATATACGTGTAAGGAGAGAAAGGGAAGGAAGGAGACAGAGATATTTGTGGCCTGTAAGCAATGAAACCAGGGGCAGGACCAATACAGCTGCCCTCTGCTCACTGCACCATCTGCTTTGCAGCTGGGACAACACCAGGGGCTGCACAGACAATTAACTTACTGCTGCAGAGGGCCACTCATGAGCCAGGTGCTGAACCACCTTTAACCCAAAAAGCAACCCAATTGTCCCAGAGGATGGATTAATGCCAATCCCTAATCTATTTAAGATGATTTGGGCAGCAAAATCTTGAGATAAAATGTTTATTTTTTTTATTTTAAGGGACCAGATCATTAAGAGAAAACTTTTGTCTTTGAATTTCATTTCTTTATCTACAATTATCTGATGGTACAAGATTTCATATTTAGATAAGTTAGTACCAGTAGCATAAATAAAAGAGCTGGTTATAGATTCCTGAACTCTTGATCACAAAGAGCATTAGGAAGGTCAATGAGGATTGTGGCAAAAGTCATATGCATAAAAATCCAATGGGTAGTTCTCTTTACATTTTAGAATCTATAAAGGACTCTGTTCACTAAAAGTGTAATTATCGGTAAATGAACTGTAGCAAATCGGTATTTTTATCTACTTAATAGCAACTCAAAATTCAGGTGTTACTGTTACTTTGAGTTAGGGCAAAATAGTAACCTATAATTTTTTAAAAAATGCAACCAAGACATTATAAAACTAAATCTCAAAGTTCATCATTAAAAGGCAAATTAATAAAAACTGAATTAGGCCACATGAAAGAGGGATTTCTTATTGTAAAATGAGCCAAAGCAAGTCATTAAATTGACAAACAGGATGAATATCTGATTCTGAAAACCAGAGCCAGTTTGATAACAATTACTACATTACTACATAGGAAAGCTCTTGACTAGGCATATAAAATGGAAGAAGGGCCAAGATGAAGAGTTTCCAGAATTGGGGGCAAATTAAAACCTTAGTAAGTCCTTATATTTGCATACTTCTTCACTGAATAGTCCACTGCTATTGACAGCTGCTTGAAGTTACTTAATCTAATATACTCTCTAGAACATTTTCTAAAACCTTTTTAGTAATCTTTGGGTGGTCTTGGAAGGGCAACATTGCTTGAAGGAAGCAGTTCCTAACTGAAGCTTTGACTTTCTAGAGCCAGATGGGGCATATGAGAAACTCAGTGCACAGAAGGAAGACTCTGCCTGTGTTCAGCACAGCCTCTTCAACACTCTTGCTGCCTGCCTGCCCTCGGGTGGATCTGCAGAGCAGGGACCAGTTGAGGGCTGGGCAGGCTTACTGCTCAGTGCTGGGGATCCAGTGCTACATCAGATATACATAGTCTCAGATCAAGTCAGTAGACATTAGGATGAAAGAAAGGGGAACTAGAATAATTTCCAGTTATTCTCCTATTTTCCCATACTCACTGTTTTAGGTTTGGGGCTGCAGGAAGGGAAAGGAGGGGAAAAGAAATAGAACTGAAAGAGAAAGGGAAGAAAGAATATAGAAACGAAAAATGAAATAAACACAACTTAGAAGTAATAATGGCTAATACATCTTGAGAATTTACTCAAAACCATGCTGTTTTGTTTACACACACATGCAAAACATATGTACATGTTAATATATATATTATATATTACACATTTATACAACATAGATATATTTAACATTTTTTTAAGGATGATAAATACTAAAAACACTATGAGCAGTGGTTTACTGGTAAAAGTTTAACAACCAGCTCTCAAAAAAAAAAAAAAAAGCCTGATTTGTAGTGTTTGCCAATTTCCACCATTGCTAGTTTCAAGTTACCAACCTGATGTCACTGAACATGGGAGCTGGGCCAAGATTCACAACAGCCCAGTAAGTAGCTCACCATTATATGCTATTTGCACTACACACATACAACAGATATAAATAACCCCCAAAACATAGATAACAGTAAAATATAGTCAAATAATTAGGAAATAAGTTTTGACTATTTATTGCCTTTAATTTGATATAATTTAGTAAATTGTATAATAATTTAAATTTTTTAAAATTCCTGAAAATTTAACAATTGGTTTTTGCAAATAGTAATAACCCCTCATACCACTGCCTATAAAATAAGTACTATTATTATCCCCATTTTACATTAAAAGGAAACTGTGGACAAGAGAAGTTTAGGAATTTGCCTAAGATACCATAATTTGTGAATGGTGGAGCTGGGATAACAAACTCAGGCTCCAAAGCTGTTCTGCTACTCTGATGGAGAAGTACAGACTTAAAACAGGTCCTAGTGACTGAATTCAACTCTGTTTACATTCTAATTACTAGTTGTGGCTATTCTGGTGAAGCGGGTAGCTTTACGGAGAGGTGGATGATTCTCTAGCCTGGATGGGTAGAATGCTGGTTAGAGACCCTACCAAGCTAAAAAGGACTGGTGCCTCTCTCCATGTGTCCCAGGAGGAAGCTGCATCTGAACTCAAGCTCAATACGCAGAATCTTATTGAAAATACTTTGTGGAGAACACCAATGTCAATTTACTTTTCTTCTTAAATTAAAGTTATCATAAGATGTCATTTCTGGCTAAGATGAGTGAATTGAATGAAACTTTTTAGTCATTGGGCTGAATCCATATTTTCTCCAGAATCCCCATAGAGATTTCTGAGTGGGTCATAATTCTAAATGAGAAAGACACAATATTCAGGGGAAAAAATGTTATCATTCAAACAAAGTGTTATCTATGAGAGTTAACTGGTCATAACTATCACTAACACTACACTGACAAATAGCAAATTACTTTCTGTCATGACTTTTAGCAATTTTCATTTTATGTATGTATTTTGAAATAACTATTATTTGAAAATTTAGAACAGAATAATATATATCCTATACATCCTATAAATTAATTCATCCTATATGAATTAATTTTATGTTTATAACCTATAGTTTTGGGCTGCATATTTAGAAATTCAAGCAAGTAAAACAATCCATATTCATTTTTGACAAAAAATGAAAATCATTTCAAAAGTCATTTAAAGCAACTAAATGTATAAAAACATTAATTGCTTGGAAGCTAATTCATTTGGGTTATGAATTTACAAAGGTTGTGCTTCCTGTGGCCTCCATGGTAACAATAATAAAACAAGTTAATAGAATTAAATTTACATTCAATCAGTTTCAAAGATTAAAAAGTTGATGGATATACTGGAATGTAATTTTTAATAACCAAGTAAACCAATTACCAAATTCAGTGCTAGACACATGTGTACTTCACAGCAAAAAAATAAAAATAATGTTTTAATCTATTTCAAATATCACTGAAGAATTCATTAATACATCTGCTTAATAAACCTATACAACCTCATTAATTTTCTTGTTCAGTTTTTCCTGGAGCCAATTCTATGAATGAATGCTGGCCACACTGATCACGAGTTCACTGCCTGCCAGAAGTGGAGTCCAGGTCATGCTAAAGACAGTGGGAAATAGGAATCAGAGGAGAGCTTGAAAAGATAGTGGTGGAACTCTTACTATAGGATTTGGGAAGTAATTTCAGCAGAGTCAGGAAAATCTGAACCCCTGTTTCAGCTACTACATGTCCATTTTCCATCTTTCATGCCTATACACAACTCTTGTCAGCCCCTAAGTCCCTCAGAGCAATGTAACATTTGAGACCTGTCAGTAAAAGACTTCAGGATAATATACTCTAAAGGTTCAAAGATTAAGAGTGGTAGCAGGGCATGGATGTGGCTTGAAAATCCTGCAGCCCCAAACCCAAATGACTTCCACATAAGGAAGATATGAGAGTTGCCTAAGGAACCTCTTCCATAGGACAACTACCACAGGCTTGGCAAGAACTGCTAGATGTCCAACAGAACGTTTTCCTTTACCTCCTGGCCACATAGCTAAACAACATTTAACTGCCTCCCTTGCACATGACTGAGTTATGACCAATAGAATGAGGACAGAACCATGTCAGCCATTTCCAGGCCTGGAAGTTTCATAAAAACTTCCTATGTGATTCTTCTTCTTCTTAGACCCCATTCGCCAGCTGGATGCAGAGGATCCAGCAGCAAACTCTGATATTCTTAGCAGATGGGCTCTATTACCCCATCTTTTTTTTTTATACTTTAAGTTCTAGAGTACATGTGCACAACGTGCAGGTTTGTTACATATGTATACATGTGCCATGTTGGTGTGCTGCACCCATTAACTCGTCATTTACATTAGGTATATCTCCTAATGCTATCCCTCCCCCCTCCCCTCCACCCTACAACAGACCCCTGTGTTCAAGTGTTCTCCAAGTGTTCTCATTGTTTAATTCCCACCTATGAGTGAGAACATGCGGTGTTTGGTTTTTTGTCCTTGCGATAGTTTGCTGAGAATGATGGTTTCCAGCTTCATCCATGTCCCTAAAAAGGACATGAACTCATCATTTTTTATGGCAGCATAGTATTCCATGGTGTATATGTGCCACATTTTCTTAATCCAGTCTATCATTGTTGGACATTTGGGTTGGTTCCAAGTCTTTGCTATTGTGAATAGTGCAACAATAAACCTACATGTGCATGTGTCTTTATAGCAGCAAGTTTCATAATCCTTTGGGTATATACCCAGTAATGGGATTGCTGGGTCAAATGAGATTTCTAGTTCTAGATCCTTGAGGAATCGCCACACTGTCTTCCACAATGGTTGAACTAGTTTACAGTCCCACCAACAGTGTAAAAGTGTTCCTATTTCTCCACATCCTCTCCAGCACCTGTTGTTTCCTGACTTTTTAACGATCGCCATTCTAACTGGTGTGAGATGGTATCTCATTGTGGTTTTGATTTGCATTTCTCTGATGGCCAGTGATGATGAGCATTTTTTCATATGTCTGTTGGCTGCATAAATGTCTTCTTTTGAGAAGTGTCTGTTCATATCTTTTGCCCACTTTTTGATGGGGTTGTTTTTTTCTTATAAGTTTGTTTGAGTTCTTTGTAGATTCTGGATATTAGCCCTTTGTCAGATGAATAGATAGCAAAAATTTTCTCCCATTCTGTAGGTTGCCTGTTCACTCTGATGGTAGTTTCTTTTGCTGTGCAGAAGCTCTTTAGTTTAATTAGATCCCATTTGTCAATTTTGCCTTTTGTTGCCATTGCTTTTGGTGTTTTAGACATGAAGTCCTTGCTCATGCCTATGTCCTGAATGGTATTGCCTAGGTTTTCTTCTAGGGTTTGTATGGTTTTAGGTCTAACATTTAAGTCTTTAATCCATCTTGAATTAATTTTTGTATAAGGTGTAAGGAAGGGATCCAGTTTCAGCTTTCTACATATGACAAGCCAGTTTTCCTAGCACCATTTATTAAATAGGGAATCCCTTCCCCATTTATTGTTTTTGTCAGGTTTGTCAAAGATCAGATGGTTGTAGACGTGTGGTATTATTTCTGAGGGCTCTGTTCTGTTCCATTGGTCTATATCTCTGTTTTGGTACCAGTACCATGCTGTTTTGGTTACTGTAGCCTTGGAGTATAGTTTGAAGGTAGCGTGATGCCTCCAGCTTTGTTCTTTTGGCTTAGGATTGACTTGGCAATGTGGGCTCTTTTTTGGTTCCATATGAAATTTAAAGTTCATATGGAATTTTCCAATTCTGTGAAGAAAGTCATGGTAGCTTGATGGGGATGGCATTGACTCTATAAATTACCTTGGGCAGTATGGCCATTTTCACAATATTGATTCTTCCTACCCATGAGCATGGAATGTTCTTCCATTTGTTTGTGTCCTCTTTTATTTCATTGAGCAGTGGTTTGTAGTTCTCCTTGAAGAGGTCCTTCACATCCCTTGTAAGTTGGATTCCTAGGTATTTTATTCTCTTTGAAGCAATTGTGAATGGGAGTTCACTCATGATTTGGCTCTCTGTTTGTCTGTTATTGGTGTATAAGAATGCTTGTGATTTTTGCACATTGATTTTGTATCCTGAGACTTTGCTGAAGTTGCTTATCAGCTTAAGAAGATTTTGGGCTGAGACAATGGGGTTTTCTAGATATACAATCATGTAATCTGCAAACAGGGACAATTTGACTTCCTCTTTTCCTAACTGAATGTCCTTTATTTCCTTCTCCTGCCTGATTGCCCTGGCCAGAACTTCCAACACTACGTTGAATAGGAGTGGTGAGAGGGGCATCCCTGTCTTGTGCCAGTTTTCAAAGGGAATGCTTCCAGTTTTTGTCCATTCAGTATGATATTGGCTGTGGGTTTGTCATAGATAGCTCTTATTATTTTGAGATACGTCCCATCAATACCTAATTTATTGAGAGTTTTTAGCATGAAGGCTGTTGAATTTTGTCAAAGGCCTTTTCTGCATCTGTTGAGAAAATCATGTGGTTTTTGTCTTTGGTTCTGTTTACATGCTGGATTACATTTATTGATTTGTGTATGTTGAACCAGCCTTGCATCCCAGGGATGAAGCCCATTTGATCATGGTGGATAAACTTTTTGATGTGCTGCTGGATTCAGTTTGCCAGTATTTTATTCAGGATTTTTGCATTGATGTTCATCAGGGATATTGGTCTAAAATTCTCTTTTTTTGTTGTGTCTCTGCCAGGCTTTGGTATCAGGATGATGCTGGCCTCATAAAATGAGTTAGGGAGGATTCCCTCTTTTTCTACTGATTGGAATAGTTTCAGAAGGAATGGTACCAGCTCCTCCTTGTACCTCTGGTAGAATTCGGCTGTAAATCCGTCTGGTCCAGGACTTTTTTTGGTTGGTAGGCTGTTAATTATTGCCTTAATTTCAGAGCCTGTTATTGGTCTATTCAGGGATTCAACTTCTTCCTGGTTTAGTTTTGCGGGAGTGTATGTGTCCAGGAATTTATCAATTTCTTCTAGATTTTCTAGTTTATTTGCATAGAGTTGTTTATAGTATTCTCTGATGGTAGTTTGTATTTCTGTGGGATCGGTGGTGATATCCCCTTTATCATTTTTTATTGCGTCCAGTTGATTCTTCTCTCTTTTCTTCTTTATTAGTCTTGCTAGTGGTCTATCAATTTTGTTGATCTTTTCAAAAAACCAGCTCCTGGATTCATCTTAAAGGAAGGAGAAGGTTCTCTGACTGCCCACATTGAAGGCTGTTATCCAACCCAGAATATCATCATTAGACTTTGCATGACAGCAAAAAGTAAACTTCTGTTGTAGTAAGCCACTGACATTTTGAGATTTGACTGTCACAGCAACTAGCGTTACTTATCCTAGTACAATGAGGAAAGGGAAGCAGTTTTACACAATATGAAAAATTTTTAACCTTTATACCTTTGCTAAGGCTGCCCCCTTTTTGTTTAAACTATTTTCAACAGAATGAGGGCTCTTGGTACTTATTAGATAGCTGAAGAACAGCTATTTTTAGCAGGAAAACAAAAGACATTAAGGAGGTTCAGAGGAGAGAAAGGTGCAGACAAACATAAAATGTCTGACTCTTGATGATTTTATTGTATGATGATACACATACAAATCATGGAAAACCTAAGTACACAGGCAGTTATCATTTTGTAAACAATAAAGGGATAGAAGAGAATATGACCCAACAGAGGAAATAAATAGGATAAAATAATACTGTACAGGATTACATTCTACAGGCACACCATTTTAAATTATAAAATTAGAAGAGATTTCTTTTAACAATTATTCTGATAAGAAGCCTCTCAAACTTGCTATGGGTAAATATAATTTCTTTTTTAAAAAAGGAGTCAGTAAACAACATACGAATTAATCAATAAACTGACAGTAAATAGCATTAAACTGCTAATCCCAAACATGTACTTCTATAGCCTAAGGAAAAATAATATTAAAAAGTTACTTGTCAGTAAAATTTCCAATCAGTGTGATAGCAATTTTTTAATCTAAAATTCCTAAGATACTGGATTCTTGAATGTTTTTTTCATTTATTTTTGTTCTGTTATTCAGAAAAGTACTTAGTTATATAAATTCACAACTTATTGGCACATCTAAAATATACAGCCATACCAAACGTTTAAGTTTGACTAACATAAAGTGTGCGTATGTAAAAGGAAACCAAGTGGAAGAAAATTATTTCTGAATTGTCATTTAATTCTACTACAATTTGAAGATGTTAATGAAAAATTGAAAAACCACTAAATTATAATACAAATAAGTTTCATACTTAATAGCCAACAAACTCCAATATCCAATGAGCTACTAATTTCAATTTGAATCTGTTTACTTCTCTATTTTAAAGCATGGTTTTAAAGATTTAAAAAGCTGATGTTTCACACCTGTAATCCCAGCACTTTAGGGGGCCGAGGCGTGCAGATCACGAGGTCAGGAGTTTGAGACCAGCCTGACCAACATGGTGAAACCCCGTCTCTACTAAAAATACAAAATTTAGCCAGTCATGGTGGGGTGCGTCTGTAATCCCAGCTACTCAGGAGGCTGAAGCAGGAGAATAGCTTGAACTTGGGAGGTGGAGGTTGCAGTGAGCCAAGATCGCACCATTGCACTCCAGCCTGGGCGACAGAGCGAGACACCGTCTTAAAAAAAAAATACAAAGCTGATGTTTTTTGAAAGCGTCTTCTAAACTAGAAAGCATTATATGAATATAGTGTAAGATATCATTCAGCACTTCAGGAGGCCGAGGCAGGAAGATTGCTTGAGCTCAGGAGTTCGAGGCCAGCCTGGGCAACATGGCAAAATCCCTTCTCTACAAAATATATAAAAATTAGCCAGGCATGGTGGCATGTGCCTGTAATCCCAGCTACTCAGGAGACTGAGGCACGAGAATCACTTGAACCCAAGAGGTTGCAGTGAGCCATAATCGCACCACTGCACTCCAGCATGGGAGACAGAGGGAGACTGTCTCAAAAAAAAAAAAAAAGGTATCATTCAATCTAGATGATTTAGGGACAATTTCATAACTTAACATGTAATAAAGATAAATGAAATGTAAACTTCCTCCTTTTACCCCAGAGTCCTACCTTCACATCTGGGAACATGAAGATTTTGAGATGCTGTTTCATTTATTCAAATAACATCTGTGTAGGTGTGGCAAATCACCTACTCACTCCTTCTCACTTTATTTTTTTTCCCAAAAGAGAGAAATAGAAAGGAACCACAAGATAAAGATACCAAGTAAATCTTTACCAATTAACAAAATGAGAACTAGCCCTGTGAGATTTCCTAAGAGTCACATAATCCTGCGAAATTTCTACACGTTCACTGCCCTGTTTCACATGTATAAAACAGTCATATATTGGCACAAAGCTTCTTAACATTAACCAATTTTGTGTGTGTGTGTGTGTGTGTGTGTGTGTGTGTGTGTGTGTGTGTGTGACGAGTCTCGCTCTGTCACCCAGGCTGGAGTACAGTGGCGTGATCTCAGCTCACTGCAGCCTCCACCTCCTGGGCCCAAGCAATTCTCCCATCCCAGCCTCCCAATTAGCTGGGACTACAGGCAAGTGTCACCACGCCCAGCTAACATTAACCAATATTATCTCCATAATCTCTCAATTTTTCCATTATATTGTTAAGATAGCTATTAAGTATTATTTAGGAAATAAAGAAAAACGTCTTTTTGTTATCGTGGATGCCTCTGTCTACTTGAAGCTTTAGAATATGATGTACTTTTCTGAAGATGAGCACACTGGACTTGTTAAAACTAATTTTTTAACAGCTCTGTCACTGTAGTTTATTTTATTTTTATATATGTACATTGACACCATCATAATATTGTTCTTGCCAATTACACTGTTGCAGGGATCTTTAATTTTTTGGCTAGAGAAAGATCAATGGGATAAACTGGCTTTCACCGATAAATTATCTCTTACAGGCATACAAACATAACGGAAAGACGTTCTGAGGGAATAAACATGATGATTAGATAAAAGATGAGAAGTTGGCCTATATAACTGTAAAGACCTTAATAAACTCTTTGTTTCATAAGGACTTTAAGGATTAAGCTCATTTATATTACATGACATTGACAACATGACAATATGCCTGAAACCAATACATGTCTAACATTAATTCCTTCACAACATGGTTCAGCCTTCCAAAAAGAAAAAATTAAAAAAAAAAAATGTTCCCAGTTCTGAGTCTGTGAAGTGAGGTTGTTAATCACTCAGGCTCTGATGTCCATCAGACCTGTTTTGAATCCAGCCTCTGCTACTTATCAATGACCTAGGCACTACTTGACCTCTTCAAGACTCTGCTCCTTCCTCTGCATAATGAAGATTAACAGTGTTTGCCTCATCGGGCTGCAGTGAGGATTAAACAGCATAATCTATGAACACCTCTTAGTCTGTTGCTGGTACATAAGAAGCACTCGGTAAGTGTTCGTGGTTTAACTATTGTTGTTGCTTTTGTCATCATTATTACTATAATACAGCCAATAGTTCAAATTTGCTGATGTCAGAACCATGAGATACTAGTGCAAATGTATTTATGAAGTCTATAATGTGATTTTTAAATTTTTCTAAAACCTGTTTCCCACTGAATTATTTTAAAATAGTTTCTCATTGTAACCAAAAGAAGCAACCTCTGCCACCTAGTGGCTCCTTAACACCAGTCAAGAAAAACATAAAAAGACACCAGAACAAAACACAAAAAACAAAATCCATACTTACTTTAAAAAAAGAACCCATGCTGTAGATAAAAAGACGCAATACATGAAAGAAAAAATATAAATTTAAAATAATGAAATCCTATTATTTTCTCCATAGTATTATACTGTTCAAATTGCATTTGATTAATTCTTAATAGCACACCTGCAGAGTGACTACGAACTTTTTTTTTTTAATTTCCTCTATTTTTGTTTGTTTTCTTTTTCTTTTTTTAAAAAATTATACTTTAAGTTTTAGGGTACATGTGCACAACGTGCAGGTTTGTTACATATGTATACATGTGCCATGTTGGTATGCTGCACCCATTAACTCGTCATTTACATTAGGTATATCTCCTAATGCTATACCTCCCCCCTCCCCCCACCCCACAACAGGCCCTGGTGTGTGATGTTCCCCTTCCCATGTCCATGTGTTCTCATTGTTCAGTTCCCACCTATCAGTAAGAACATGTGGTGTTTGGTTTTTTGTCCTTGCGATAGTTTGCTGAGAATGATGGTTTCCAGCTTCATCCATGTCCCTACAAAGGACATGAACTCATCATTTTTTATGGCTGCATAGTATTCCATGGTGTATATGTGCCACATTTTCTTAATCCAGTCTATCATTGTTGGACATTTGGGTTGGTTCCAAGTGTTTGCTATTGTGAATAGTGCCGCAATAAACATACGTGTGCATGTGTCTTTATAGCAGCATGATTCACAATCCTTTGGGTATATACCCAGTAACGGGATGGCTGGGTCAAATGGTATTTCTAGTGACTACGAAACTTTATAGCTTTTAGGGCACAGTTAAGTTCCTTGGTTTCTTCAAGTCAGAGGTGATATAATGATTTTATCCTTTATGCTTTTAAAATACAAATAAAAAAATACTGATGTAAAAAATATAGAGAGTGGTCAAGGGCCTTCTATTTGTTTCTTGGAGGGTCAGTACATGTTTATTTTATTGTTATTATTTAAACTAAATACATGTGTTTACATAAGAATGAATGAAATTTGCTGGACAAAAGCAGTAAGAAGGGTTGTCTAGAGAGAGGGAACATTGGATGTAAAGACAGATGTATCAGTCAGGTTTCTCTAGAAAAACAGAACCAATAGGATGCACGCATATATATGTACATACATATACATATACATATACAGATAAATCTTACCAGAAATTGGCTCAGGTAATTACAGAGTCTGGCAGATCCGAAGATCTGCAGAGTAAGTCAGCAAGCTGGAACCCAGGATAACTGAGAGTTTAAGTTTGAGTTCTAAGGCCTGATAACCAGGAGAATTGGTGCTGTAGCTCTAGTCAAAAGGCCCGCAAGGCTTGAAATTGTAGAAGAGTTGATGTTACAGTTGAAGTCTGAAGGCAGAAAAAAATCCTATTTTCTAGTTGGAAGTCCATCAGGCAGAGAGAATTGCTTCCTCCTCAGGGGAGGGTCAGCCTTTTTGTTCTACTCAGGCCTTCAACTTATTGGCTGAAGCTTATTCACAGTAGAAAGAATAATCTGCTTTACTTGATCTACTGATTTAAATGTTAATTTCACCCTAAAATACCCACAGAAGCACCCAGAATCATGTTTGAACAAATATATCTGGGCAACCCATGGCCCAAATTGATACACAAAATTAATCATCACAGCAAAGGACCTGTAATGGCAGGTTCTGGAACTTTCAGGAAGCGCCATGTTTGGGCTCTAAGGTTCACAGGTTAGGGGAGTGGATAGAAGGTGTATTAGTCTGCTTCCACACTGCTGATAAAGACATACCCGAGACTGGGCAATTTACAGAGGAGAGAGAGGTTTAATGCACTCACAGTTCCATATGGCTGGGGAGACCTCATAATCATGGTGGAAGGCAAGGAGAAGCAAGTCACGTCTTACATGGATGGCAGACAAGAGAAGAGAGCTCATACAGGGAAACTCCCATTTTTAAAACCATCAGATCCATGAGACTTATTCACTATCACCAGAACAGCATGGGAAAGACCTGCCCCCATGATTCAATTATCTCCTACCAGGTATCTCCTACAACATGTGGGAATTCAAGATGAGATTTGGGTGGGGACACAGCCAAACCATATCATTCTGCCCCGGCCCCTCCCAAATCTGATGTCCTCACATTTCAAAACTAATCATGCCTTCCCAACAGTCCCCCAAAGTCTTAACTCATTTCAGCATTAACTCAAAAGTCCATAGTCCAAAGTCTCATCTGAGACAAGGCAAGTCCCTTCTGCCTATGAGCCTGTAAAATCAAAAGAAAGTTAGTTACTTCCTAGAAACAATGGGGATACAGGCATTGGGTAAATACAGCCATTCCAAATGAGAGAAATTGGCCAAAAAAAGGGGGCTACAGGCCCCATGCAAGTCTGAAATCCTAGCTGGGATTAGAGGGATGTGCCACCATGCCTGGCTAATTTTTTGTACTTTTAGTAGAGACAGGGTTTCTCCATGTTGGTCAGCCTGGTCTCAAACTCCCAACCTCAGGTGATCCGCAAAAGTGCTGGGATTACAGGCTTGAGCCACTGCACCCAGCCAAGGCGGTCAAATCTTAAAGTTCCAAAATGATCTCCTTTGACTCCATGTCTCATATCCAGGTCACGTTGATGCAAGAGGTGAATTCCCATGGTCTTGGGCAGCTCTACCCTGTGGCTTTGCCAGGTACAACCTCCCTCCTGGCTGCTTTCATGGGCTGGCATTGAGTGTCTGTGGCTTTTCCAGGTGCATGATGCAAGCTGTCAATGGATCTACCATTCTGGGATCTGGAGGATGGTGGCCTTTTGTCACAGCTCCACTAGGCGGTGCCCCAGTAGGGAGTATGTGTGGGGACTCTGACTCTACATTTCCCTTCTGCACTGCCCTAGCAGAGTTTCTCCCTGAGGGCCCTGCCCCTGCAGCAAACTTCTGCCTGGACATCCAGGCATTTCCATACGTCCTCTGAAATCTAGGCAGAGGTTCCCAAACCCCAGTTCTTGACTTCTGTGCACTCGCAAGCTCAACACCACATGGATGCTTGAGGCTTGCACACTCTGAAGTCACGGCCCAAGCTCCATGTTGGCTCATTTCAGCCATGGCTGGAGGGGCTGGGATGTAGGGCACCAAGTCCTTAGGCTGCACACAGCACAGCGACCCTGGGCCTGGCCCACAAAACCACTTTTTCCTCCTAGGCCTCTGGGCCTGTGATGTGAGGGGCTGCTGTGAAGACCTCTGACATGCCCTGGAGACATTTTCCCCACTATCTTGGGGATTAACATTCAGCTCCTCGTTTCTTATGCAAATTTCTGCAGCAGGCTTGGATTTCTCCTCAGAAAATAGGATTTTCTTTTCTATTGCATTGTCAAGCTGCAAATTTTATGAACTTTTATGCTCTGCTTCCCTTATAAAACTGAATTCCTTTAACAGCACCCAAGTCACCTCTTGAATGCTTTGCTGCTTAGAAATTCCTTTTGCTAGATACCCTAAATCATTTCTCTCAAGTTCAAAGTTCCACAAATCTCTAGGGCAGGGGCAAAGTGCTGCCAGTCTCTTTGCTAAAACATAACAAGAGTCACCTTTGCTCCAGTTTCCCACAAGTTCCTCATTCCTATTTGAGTCCACTTCAGCCTGGACTTTATTGTCCATATCATTATTAGCATTCTTGGCAAAGCCATTCAACAAGTCTCTAGGAAGTTCCAAACTTTCTCACATTTTTCTGTCTTCTTCTGAACCCTCCTAACTATTCCAACTTCTGCCTGTTACCCAGTTCCAAAGTCGCTTCCACATTTTTGGGTACCTTTTTAGCAGTGCCTCACTCTACTGGTACCAATTTACTGTACTAGTCCGTTTTCACACTGCTCTTAAAGACATACCCGAGACTGGGCAATTTATGGAAGAAAGAGAGGATTAGGGGACTTACAGGCCTCTGCAGAGGCCTCACAATCATGGTGGAGGGCAAGGAGAAGCATCAGATTTTTAAAACCATCAGATCTCGTGAGACTTATTCACTATCATGAGAACAGCATGGGAAAGACCCGCCCCCATGATTAAATTACCTCCTACCGGGTCCCTCCCATGACACGTGGGAATTCAAGATGAGATTTGGGTGGGGACACAGCCATATCAGAAGGGTAGGTGAGGGCCAGATTCTCAAAGGTATTGAATGTTATGCATCTGGACTTTAAACTGTGGACTATTGGGAGCCACCATAGTTCTCTACAAAGGAAATTAGATGGTGATAATAGAAAATATTGATAAGGACAAAAGCTGCCATTGATTAAGTATCTCCTATGTGCCAGAAATATTTTTGTTTCCAAATACTATCTCAATCCTTACAATAACGCTTGAAACTTTTGTTTTACTTTATTTTACCATTTAGGAAACTGAGGCTCAGAGGAGTTAAGTAACTTATTTGAGGTCACATAGCCAATAAGAGAGGGAGGCTGGATTCAAAGATGACCTATCTGTAAAGCACATGTTCATTCTAGTAAACCAGAAGGCCTATGCCATGCTTGTTGATATGGTCACATTTTACGACAATAAATACTGTTCTCTTATTTTGATTGTTTTGAGAATTAGGGAACATATTTTGAGGGGTGAACATTGTTTCTTAAAATATTTTTGTCTACCACTGTGCACAGTAAGTGTTCAAATGCTTGCTGAATGATTCAGTGCTGTGTGCCAGCTTCCAGGAAGGGTGGGTGGAAGGTATTAAGCCTTCTCAGATGGAATTACACTTTCATCTAGTTGCTCATAATTGCATGAGGAAGCAATATTTGAACAACTCTCTCAGGATTTGTGTGCTACCAGACATTAATAAATAATGTGTATTGAGTATGTGTTATAGATATTAACTCATGTTAGCCTTACAATAAGCCAAGACTGAAGCACAGAAAGATTGGATAACTAGTTTAAGATCTCAGTCTATTCGTTGATAGAGGCAAGATTCAAAGCCAAGACATTTGACTTTAGAATTCCCACTCCTAAGCACTTTACTATGCAGTTCCACTGCACTAGACTGCCTCTCAGTGAATATTTGTTATATCCCATATGATTTAGCGGGGCTGTCATCTCCTAGGACAATACTGGAGACACCAGCAGCCTATGGGCAACACAGAGAGAAGAGAGAGTTTTGATGCATGCTACTGTGCTCTGGGGCCTCCAGCCATTGGGTGAGTGGGGGCTCAAATTCAGTCTGTGCTCTGCTAGCAAAGTGCTGTGCTCTGGCCACTGTTCTTACCAAATCAGGTGCCCTGCAGGGCTGCCTTTGCCATGAGGAAAGAATGCCCTTTCCTAATTTATATGAAGGTACCATACAGGCAAAGCAGCCCTGCATGGGGATCTTATTTGGCAGGGGCAGTAAGGGGCAAATGGAGGGGACAGTGAGAAATTAATAACCTTATAGGAGAACCTCAAAAGTTGGAGAGTTCATAAAACATGATCCTCGGCTTCAGAGATTGACCTAGAATGATCCAGCACACTGTTCAACCACTAAAGACTCAAGAGTCAAGTCTTAAATAATTTAAAATGACCAGTTTATAATATATGGTTTTCCCTGAAAACTGCTTGTCTAATAAGTGTTATCCAAATAGAAAAAAGTTGGAAAGGTTACATTAATATTCCAATTTGTCTGAAAACAGAAATAATCATAACTAGAATACAGGTAGGAGTTAATTTAGGAGATTCTCATAATCCTGCATTGGATTATATGGGCAAGCCTGAATTTGAAAACAAACAAACAAACATAAAACTTTAGCAAAACATGATTATTTATTAAGACTACCATTATTATTTAACTGTTGCAAATTTTCTGCCTTGGTACATTCCTTGAACATCAGCCATTAGATGTGTACATCTGTTAGATATCAAATGTTAACGTAATAAGAGTCAAATATGTAAACAGCTTGTGGTCATGAAGTTCACTTCAAAACAACGCTGAAATTCAAATAACAGAATAATGAAGCAAAGAAACAGTTGGGAACATGTAACTTATCTAGAACTGTTTCTAGCTAGGACAAGGTTCTTCAAGGTGTTCTTCTACTCCAACCCCTGTCCTATCCATCAGATGCCTGATTCCTGACTACTATTTTCTTTTTTTTTTCTCTCTTTTTTTTAATTATTATTATACTTTAAGTTTTAGGGTACACGTGCACAATGTGCCAGTTAGTTACATATGTAAACATGTGCCATGCTGGTGTGCTCACCCATTAACTCGTCATTTAGCATTAGGTATATCTCCTAATGCTATCCCTCCCCCCTCCCCCCACCCCATAACAGTCCCCAGAGTGTGATGTTCCCCTTCCTGTGTCCATGTGTTCTCATTGTTCAATTCCCATCTATGAGTGAGAATATGTGGTGTTTGGTCTTTTGTCCCTGCGACAGTTTACTGAGAATGATGATTTCCAATTTCATTCATGTCCCTACAAGGGACATGAACTCATCATTTTTTATGGCTGCATAGTATTCCATGGTGTATATGTGCCACATTTTCTTAATCCAGTCTATCATTGTTGGACATTTGGGTTGGTTCCAAGTCTTTGCTATTATGAATAGTGCAGCAATAAACATTTGAGGCAGGCACCATTGCAGAATCTATCTTTAAAAGGTTCTTTCACTGTGTATTTCATGAGTAAAGTGAAATGACTAATTAAAAATGATCAAACTCCCACTATGCAATGAGAACTTAAAGTCTATTAAAGTTTTAATTTGACTAACACAAACATACACCTGCATGGTAGTTGATACTTTTTAAATCTCCCTTCTCCCTATGTATTGTTTGTATCTGACTTAACATTATACTCTCTCAGAGGTTATTGTGTTGTAACTCAATGGACAACTCTTTCGAAAGCATCACTCTTTTGTCCTGAGGAAAGCCTGGTTATTTGGTTGGAAAAGACCAATTTTTGGGGAGGGCCATCTGAAAAAAAGAAGTCACTTATAGGAGATAAATCCTTCCCCTGCACTTCTCAGTTTCATTTCTTATCAGAGCATGCCCAACTATAGCTACATCCTTACAGCTCTTCTTTTAAAAGCATTATTACTTACTCTTTGTAAATGACAAAAGTATCATAGACATGTGAGATATTAGGTTAGTAAGGGGATGATGAGGATGATGTTGATAAAGTCAGAGAGCATTTATTGAACTCTTGTGATGGTGTGGATCAAGCAATGGGCTAATTTACATGCATTATTTAATTTTTAAACAAATATGTATGGAGCACCGACTGTAAGACTGGCACACTTCTAGGCATTAGAAGTGATGAACGAGACAAAGTCTTCATGGAACTGACATACTAGGGGAGGAGGGCAACAATAATCAAAATTAGTAAACAATTACAGTTATCCCTCAGGATATGCAAGGGATTTGTTCCAGGACTCCCTCAATACCAAAATCCTTGCATACTCAAGTCCCACAGTCAACCCTGTGGAAGTTGGCCCTCCATGTATGCAGGTTTTACACCTTGCGAATAGTGTATTTGGTTGAAAAAAATCCATATATGTGTGGACCCCCGCAGTTCAGACCTGTGTTATTCAAGAGTCAACTGTATATAATAAAATACCGGGTAGTAATAAGTGTTATGAATTTTAAAGAATGGATAAAGTAATGAAAGGAGTAGTCGGAGAACTCTGAGGAGGTAAAATTTAGGTAGAGACTTGAATGAAGTGAGCAAATGACCCATGAAAACATAGGGAAAAACATTCCAGGCACAGAGAAGAGCAGGTGGAAAGGCTGAGCTGGGAGTGGCTTAGAAAGTCTGAAGAACAAGGAGGCCACTGGATGGAGCAGAGTGAGGAAGGGAGACATTGAAAACAAACACGATCAGCATGGTAGTTACTTGCTAGATCAGGTTCTGCTATATCTTAAATTTCTAAGTCTGATGGGAAGCCACTGGAGAATTTTGAGCTGTGAAATAACATGATCTGGCAGAAAGGATCATTCTTTGTGTGCTAACTCATTTACTTCTTTAAGCAAACTTACGAGGTGGATCCATCATTTCTGTATAACAGATGAGGAAACTGAGGATTGGAAAGAGTAAGTAGGTAGTGAAATCAAGATTGGAAAGCTGTTCCATCTGACTCTGGAACCAGATGCTTGACCACCAGACTTAAACTAGCATGACCATCAAAATGGAGCTGTTAGGTTTAGTAGCCAGTTTCCATGATGGCCTTCAGTGATTTATGTCTGCTTGCATCATATACTTGTGTGGTCTTCTCCCACATTAAAAACGTGTAATTGTTCAGACCAATAGGACTGATGGCAAGTGGCTTCTAAGGCTAGGCCATAAAAGACATTGCAACTTCTGCCTTGCTCTCTCAGATGGCTTGCTCTGGAGGAAGCCAATCATGAAGTCCTCAAGCAATCCTGAGAGAGAGGCCTAGGAGGAAAGGTGCTGAAGCTTCCCACCAACAGCTCCCACTGATTTGCCAGTAGTATGAGATCCACTTTGGAAGTGGATCCTCTAGCCTCAGTAAAGCCTTCACATAACTGCATCCTGACTGACATCTTGGCAACAACCTCATAAAACACTTCAAGCCAGAACCACCAGAAATTAAGCCACTCCTGACTCACTGACACACAGAAAGTGTGAGAGATAATGTTTACTATTGCTTTAACTTACTAAATCTTGAGAGAATTTGAGGCAGCAATAGATAACTAATATATTAAGCTTTTGTAAAAACAGATGGCCCTTATACTATTGGGTCCAAATATTATATACAATGGGAATACTAAAAATCTAAAGCATATTGACTTGTTGCCTTTTTTTAAATGATTAAGTGGTCATTTTCTATACTTATTGAATTTCTAAGACATCTATAATTAATATATGTAACTATAAATTAATATGCAATGTTGTTCTTTATTAACTGCTAATAATCATGGACAGGGAAACAGTACTATCCATGGCCAGATGTGCTCAGATAATGATCCCTGTCCTGGTCCAGTTCAAGCATTTCTTGTCTTGGCTCTGCATCATTTATCATCCACTTCTATGCCTCAGGCCATCTGCATGGGAAGAGCTGCTACTTGTGCCAGAGATTTTAATGCTATGTGCACACAATGCTCGTTCTCCTGAAACTGACCAGACTTCATAATTTAATTCTGATGTCTATAACTTTAGTTTTCTTCCTGCTTTTTTGACAATTACAATCACACATATTAAACTAATCTTGAGCTCCAAATCCCTGTAACTTGCCACATAATTACAGCAGTGATTTAGTAACCTTTCAGATGGCCAAATGTTGTTTATATACTTTAATTCAGGGTTTTAAATGATAAGATCCATTTCAACAGCTAGATTTTTCTCTAGTTATGTTTAAAAATTTTATGCATGAACAAGAACATTATAAAATATTTAAAGCTTCTTTGAAGTTAAATTTTAAAGCCAATCTCATAAATTCAAAATGACCCTTACTTTTGTCTTTCTGCATCTAGATGGGAGAGGACTAGTCAATAATCCTAATCTTGGCCTACGGAGCTGTGAGATTGTCTGAAGAGCCATGTCCTTTTGTGATGACACATGGCGTCATACTTCTCCAATTGTGTTTTGTTTCTAGTTTTAGCGATAGTCTTTTGCTGCCACTAACTATATATATGAAAGGATTTCTTTTCCAAGCTGATATACAAAAGGCTTTCCCCTTTCAGGATATCAGTGATACTGTTTACTACAATATCTGTGAGATAATATCTTTTCTCTTATTCATCTGTAATTATAAACATACATGAAGATTTTTTCGCATACATGTTGGAAAAAGGTCCCACTTTTCAGTTCATTCCATGTGATGAAGTACCTAGAGTAGGGTTCCAGAATGTAGGAACTTTTTTTTTAAATTTGAGACAGGGTCTCACTCTGTCATCCAGATTGGAATGCAGTGGCACGATCTCGGCTCACTGCAACCTCTGCCTCCCAGGCTCAAGTGATTCTCCTGCCTCAGCCTCCCGAGTAGCTGGGATAACAGGCACACACCACTACCGCCCAGCTAATTTTTGTATTTTTAGTAGAGATGGGGTTTCACTATGTTGGCCAGGCTGGTCTTGAACTCCTGACCTCAAATGATTCGCCTGCCTCAGCCTCCCAAAGTGCTGGGATTACAGGCATGAGCCACCGTGCCTGGCCTGTATGAACCATATTTCTAATTCTTAAAATATATTGCCAAATTATTTCCAAAAGTGCTGTTCTGATTTATCAGGCTAATAGTCATGTTTTGTTTGATGACTAGTGTTCCAAGTATCGGTTACCTTCTAAATTTTAAAAACTTAAAAGGTAAAAGAAATCTATACTTTCCATTTACGTTTATGTTATAAATATACAGAAAAATTTCATTACATTGACTTTATATATGTATGTATATATGACTTAATATATGTGTCTGTGTGTCTGTGTGTGTATACATACAGAGACATTGATGTCTGTTGAGTTAAGCACATAGAACTTCTATGTTTTTATGTAATCTTGGTGTCTCTAACTCTTTGGGCTATAGATTTAATTAGCCTGCAGAATCTGGTAATACCAATGACCTATAGGTACTGAAGAAACAATGATAAACATGATAGACACAGTTCATAATCTGGAGTCACAATCCTGTGGGGGAGACACAAGTAAGTAGGCAAATACAATACAGTATACTAAATGTGAAGTTAGAAGTTCAGGGTTCAGAGAGTGTACCAGGGAAGACATCATACCCAAACTAATTGGCTTAGGAAAGACTTTCTGAAGAAAGGGATACATAGGTAAAATCTGAAGATTGAATAGTTATGTGGCAATGAAGCAGGGCAGTTGGGGAATGAGGGGAGCAGTATACCTTCCACAAAAACCTAGAAGAGAAAATATAGCTTGGTCAAGGTACTGTAAGAAACCTAGTATGACTTTATCAGACAGTACAAAAGAGGTCAAAAACTGAGGCTTGGTCATTAGAAAAGGCCAGATACAGTATGATTTTGGAGACTATATTAAGAAAGTTGAACTTTATGCTAAGGATAATAGAAAGCATGTTACCTAGCCATTAAACAGTTTTAAGTAGGGGATGACATGGTCAGCCTTGTGTTTCAGGAATACCACTTTGGTTTTAGACAGGAAAATATACTTGGTGAGCTGGGAGGATGCAAGTATAAAAGCATTGAGACTAGTTAAGAACCTTGCATGTTGTAATAATCCACATGAGACAAGATGATGGCTTGGGTTGGGCTTCCAGATGGCAGTGTAGACCCATCCCAGCAAAACAAGCATAATTGGTTGTATGAGTTTGCTGGGGCTGCCATAACAAAGTACCAAAAACTGGGTGGCTTAAACAACAGAAATTTGCTTTCTCATAGTTCTGAAGGCTAGAAGTTTGAAATCAAGATTTTGACAGGGTTGGTTTCTTCTGTGGTGTTTCTTTTTGGCTTGTAGATGGCAATCTTCTCCTTGTGTCTTCACATGGTCTTCCCTCTGTACTGTACAAGTCTGTTTTCTAATTTCCTCTTCTTACAAGGATACCAGTCATTCTGGATTAGGGCTCACCCTAATGACCTCATTTTAACTTACTTGACTCTTTACAGACCCTATCTCAAAATACAGTTACACTATGAGTTACTAGAGGTTAGGACTTCAACACATGAATTTGGAGGGGGCACACAACTTCATCCCATAATACTGTTGAAAACTATAAAAACAAAAACAACCATCTAAAGTCTGTGGAAATTGTCCTAAGGGCATACAGCAAATGAAGAAGCATTCTTTTTTTTCAAGAAAATCCACTAAAACTGAGTAAGAACAGTAACAGTCTATGGCGTCTGAGCCATACACTCGATTCCTACCCATCTTCCTCACCCCCTGAGCTCATCTTGGTCAAAACTCTACTCTGGGTGAGTGTGACCAAGAACATAGGGCTCCCTGTCTCCTCAACTCTCAATCAAGAGAGGCAATATCTCACCAGGAGGAAAAGGCCACCAGCATTTTTCATCCATTCCAACTCTGAGTTGCAAAGGCTAAATTCCTGGTAAGTGTGGCCCCATACAGGGGACAAAAGTTCTATGCCAGGTGCAGCAGAGTGAGAACACTGGGAACTCCAATCACCCTTAACCCAGCTTGCTCATATGGCAGAGGTTCCACTTCAGAAGCAAGTCAAGAAGATCAGAGCCTCCTGTTCTACCCAGTGCCCAGAATAATAACTAAGCAATTTTGCCCATGAGTAGACGCAGCCCATAAAAACAGAGAGCCCTGAAGCTCTCCCCAGAGGACTTACCTTTATTTGAAACAGAGTGTGGGTGATGGTCAAGCCTCGGGTTGCTCTAAAAAAAACAATAGTTTCCTGTAATAAAAAGCAACAAGCTAAACCATAAGCTAGCTAGTTTACCAGAGAGAACCAGGGAAGGAGACAACTAAGAAGAGCCCTCTTGAGGTTAGAGGAAACCTCCAAGACTGGCCTCAAAAACTACCAATGCCTGAATTTTATTGGATTAGACTGTGGAGCAATTTATGCCCCAGGGGGTATCTTCTTAAACAGAGAAATCATCCTACACTTAGTGTAGCACAACAGCTAGAGGTAACACCAAACGAGACAGAAAGTTTAACAGAGAGATCAAGGAAAGAGACAGTCAAAGAGAGCCTTGCTAGAACCACTGATATCCCCTGGTGACGGTGCACATGTCCAAGGCTGCACTCTCTGAGAAATGGGAGCAGAGGCCTTCCGCTACTGGAGAAATAGACTTCACCAAAATAGCCTAGCCAAGTCACTAAACAAACCACAATCAAATAAAAACAAAAGACAAGTCCAAACCATATAGAGGGAATCAGTACTCAGAATTGCTATAATGTATTACCTAAAATGTCCAGTTTTCAATGAAAAAATTGTCATGCAGCGAAATAGCAAAGTATGACCCATAGATCAGAGAAAAAAGTAGGCAACAGAAACTACCTGTGACAGAGCCAAAATGTCAGATTTAACAAAGATATCAAAGCATTCATTATAAACATATTCAACAAACTTAAATAAATCGTGCTTAAAGAACTTAAAGGAAGGTATGATGACAATGTTGCATCGAAAAGAGAATATCAATAAATAGAAATTATTTTTAAGAAGCACCAAATGGAATGTCTAGAGTTAAAAAGTACAATAACTGTAATAAAAAAAATCACTACAGGCGCTCACCAGTAATTTGGAGGCAGAAGAAAGAATCTGTAAACTTGAGATAGATTCACAGAGATTATGCAATCAGAAGAACGGAAGAAAAAAGAATAAAGAAAAATGAGCAATAAATGTGGGACACCATTTAGTTTACCAACATATGCTTAACGAGATTACCAGAAGGAAAGGAGGGAGAAAGGAGCAAAAAATACATGGATTTGAAGAAATAATGACTGAAACCTTCATATTTTCCAGAAAACATTAATCTAAATGTACAAGAAGTTCAACAAATGCCAATAGGACAAATGCAAAGAGCTCCACACCCAGATACATCATAGTAAAAATGCTAACAAAGACAAAAAAAAAACTTGAATGCAGCCACAGAAAAACAACTTGTCACGTACAAGTGAACCTTGATAAGATTATTAGATACCTCTCATCAGAAATAATGGAGATCAGAAGACAGTGGATGACATATTCAAAGCACTGGAAGAAAAAACTATACACCAAATATCTTATATAGAACAAAACCATCTTTCAAAAATGAAGGTTAAATGAAGACATTCCCAGATAAACATAAACTGAGAAAAGTGGTTGCAAACAGATCTTCCTTATAAGAAATACTAAAGGAAGCTTCTCAAGTTAAAAGCAAGTGTGCCTAGATGGTAATTTAAAGCCACAAGAAAAACAAAGAGAATGGGCAAAGGTGATTATGTAATTATAAAAGGCAGTATAAATGTATATTTATTTTCCTTTTGTCTCTTAGCTGATTTAAAAAACAATTGTATAAAACAATTTTTTACAATTGCATTGTTAGGCCTATAACATACAGAAATGTAATATAATTAACAACAACAGCATAAAGATGGTGGGTGGGAGCAAAGTTGTATTGGAGGAAGGAAATTATACCAGATGATAATTTAAATCCACAGGAACAAATGAAGATAACCAAAAATGATAATATGAATATTAATATAATAAACACTAAATATATACTTGTTCTTGTTTCTTTCCTCAGCTTCTTTATTAAACATAAAAGTACATAAATTAATAATTATAACAATATATTACTGAATTTATAACATAGATACAATATATAACAATAACACAAAAAGTAGAAAGAGTAAACAGTTACATAGGAGTAATGTTTCTGTATCCCACTAGAATTAAGTTAGTATAAATCTGAAGTAGATTCTGATAAATTAATATATATAGTAAACTTTAAAGAAAATGCTAAAAAAAACTTTCAAAATATACACTATAAGAAATTCTTATAGGATTATATGTTATACTAGAAAGTGTTTATTGTAAAAGACGTAGTAAAGGAGGAATAGAGGAATGAAGTAGTCATAAAACATATAGAAAACATAAAGTAAAATGACAGAAATCCAACCATATTAACAATAACATGCCAGTTGTGGTAGCTAATGCCTGTAATCCCAGCACTTTAGGAGGCTGAGGCAGGCAGATCACTTGAGGTCAGGAGTTCAAGACCAGCCTGGCCAACATGGTGAAACCCCATCTCTCTAAAAATACAAAAATTAGCTCTGCATAGTGGCGCATGCCTGTAGTCCCTGCTACTTGGGAGGCTGAGACAGGAGAATTGCTTGAACCCGTGAGGCAGAGGTTGCAGTGAGCTGAGATTGCACCACTGCACTCTAGCCTGGGTGACAGAGCAAGACTCTTTCTCAAAAAAGCCAAACAAACAAACAAACAAACAAAACAATAACATTACCAGTAAGTGGAGTGTCCAGGCACTCCATCCCGGACAACAGAATGAGACCCTGTCCCCCACCAAAAAAGAAAAAAAAAAAAGCAAATGGATTAAATATGTAATCAATCAAAGGGCAATCATTGTTAGACTAGGTAGAAAGAAATAAAAACAAAAACAAAAACCCTCAAGGTCTAGTTATATGCTGTCTACAGGAGACACACTTTTCAGATTAAAAAATACAAATGGTTGAAAGTAAAAGGATGGAAAAGATATATCATACAAATAGCAGCAATAAGAAAGCTGAAGTGGTTATGCTAATATCAGGCAAAATGAATATAAAACCAATAAAAAATTCTAGGTGTAAAGAAGGAAATTTTATGATGAGAAGGGTCAATCCTCAGGAATATATAACAATTATAAAGATATATGTCAGAGCCCCAAAATACATGAAACACAAACTTTCAGAACGAAGAGCAAAATAGACAATTCAACAATATTTGGAGAACTTCAATACTCCACTTTCAACAATGGACAGAACAAGTAGGCAGAATATCAACAAGAAACTAGAAGACTTGAACAACACTATACACCAATCAGACCTAACAGACATCTAACTATAGAACACCCAGTGATGGAAGAATGCAAATTCTTCTCAAGTGATGGAATATTCTCTGGGATAGGCCATATACCAGGCCATAAAACAAATCTCAATAAATTTTAAAAAGATTGAAATCATACAAGGTATGTTCTCTGACCACAATAGAATGAAATTAGAAATTAATAACAAAAATAAATTTGGGAATTCACAAACGTGAAAATGAAAAACACACTCCTAAATAGCCAATTGACAAAAAAGGGTATCAAAAGAGAAAATTAGTATATGCTTTGAGATGAATGAAATGATGACACAACAAAACAAAAGTTATGGGATACAGCTAAAGCAGGGTTGGGAAATTTAGAGCTTAAACACATACGTTAAAAAAATAAAGATCTCAAATCAATAATCATAACTTTCATCTTAAAACAATCAGGGTAAAAGGGGGCATAAACCCAAAGCATAAAGAAGAAGGAAATAATCAAGAAGAGAATAGAAAAATGGTAGAGAAAACCAACAAAACTAAAAGTTGGTGCTTTGGAAAGGTCAACAAAATTGAGAAACCTTTAGCTATACTGACTTTGTTTTGTGTTGCTATAACAGAAGGCTGGGTAATTTATAAACAAAATAGGTCATGATTATTAGCTCGTGGTGCAAATGGCTGGGAAGCTCAAGGGCATGGCCCTGGCTTCTGGTGAGGTCTTCTGTGCTGGGTCATAACATGGCACAGAAGGTCAAAAGGGAAGCGGACAAGTGCAAAGAGAGAAAACCTAAGGGGTATCCTGGCTTTATAACAACCCATTCTCAAGGGAACTAATTCATTCCCAAGAGAACTAATCCAGTCTCATCAGAGTGAGAACTCACTCACTATGAGAACAACACCAGGGCCAGCATTGAGGCTATCACCTTTACTTGGGAGGCTGAACTGGAGGAGCACTTGAGACCAGGAGTTTGAGGTTGTAGTGAGTCATGATTGCACCATCTCTCCCCAGCCTGAGTGACAGAGAGATACCCTATATATTTTTTTTAAAAAAGAACAGCACCAAGCCATTCACAAGATCCACCCCCTTTATTCAAATCCCTCCCAATAGGCCCCACCTCCCAATACCATCACATGGGGAATCAAATTTCAACATGAGTTTTGATGGAGACAAACTCAAACCATATCCAAACCATAACACTGACCAATAAATAAAAGAAAGAAGACTCAAATTACTAAAACCAGCAATAAAGAGAGGACATTAATATCAATGTTACAGATATAAAAAGGATTATAATACTATGAACAACGTTAGGCCAACAAATTAGACAACTTACATGAAATGGACGTATTCCTAGAAAGATGCAAACTACCACAACCAACTCAAGAAGAAATAGAAAATCATAGTAGACTTATAACAAGAGATTGAATTAGTAATTTAAAAGCTACCTACAAAGGAAAGCCCAGGCCTAGGTGACTTCACTGCTAGACTCTATCAGACAGTTAAAGAAGAGTTAATACAAATTCTTCACAAACACTTCCAAAAAATAGAAAAGGAGGGAACACTTCCCAGCTTATTTTACGAGGCCAGTTATATCCTGATAGCAAAACCAAAGACATTACAAGAAAACTACAGACCAATATCTCTAAGGAATATAGACATAAAAATATGCAACAAAATACTAGCAAACTGAATGTGGCAATATATAAAAAGAATTATACACCATGGCTAAGTGGGATTTATACCAAGAATGCAAGGTTGATTTCATGTCCCAAAATCAATCAATGTAATACACTGTATCTTTGGGAGGCTGAGGCAGGCAGATCATGAGGTCAAGAGAAAGAGACCATCCTGGCCAACATGGTGAAACCCCGTCTCTACTAAAAATATAAAAATTACCTGGGCGTGGTGGCACGTGCCTGTAATCCCAGCTACTCGGGAGTTGAGGCAAGAGAATTGCTTGAATCCAGGAGGCGGAGGTTGCAGTGCGCTGAGATCACACCACTGCACTCTAGCCTAATGACAGAGCAAGACTCCGTCTCAAAAAAAAAAAAAAAAAAAAAACAAAAAAAACACCATATCAATAGAGTAAAGGACAAAAACCACATGGTCATTTCAATAAATGCAGAAAAAGGATTTGTCAAAATTCAACACTTCTTCAAGATAAAAACAGACGACCTTCTAGGAATAGAAGGAAACTTCCTCACCTGTATAAAAGGCAACTATTTAGAATTCACATTAACATCATACTTAGTGGTAAAAGACAACGCTTTTCTCCTAAGAACAGGAACAAGATAAGTATGTTTGGCCACTCTTGCCATTTCTATTCAACATTGTAATGGAGGTCTAGTGTCTTAGCTTGGGCTGCCATAATAAAATATCATAGACTGGGTGGCTTAAACAATAGAAATTTATTTTCTCACAAATTTAGGAAGTTCTCATTGTACTCAAGGCAAGAAAACTCTGGACTAGGGTGTTGGCTGTTGAGATGGAAATTGGTGGTCAGATTCAGGATACGTTTTGAAGGTAACGTTTACAAGATTTGCTCATAGGTTACAAGAGGAGAAGGTGAAGAGAGAGAACAATAAAGAATTAACATGTACATGTTTGGCTAGAGAAACCTGGTGAACCTCGGGGCTCTTTAGTGGATGGAAGACCAGGAGAGGAAGAATCAAGAATTATCTTTTTTGGCCGTTTGATGTTTGAGCTTCTGAACCCCCAAAATCTGAGACAGGTCTCAGTCAATTTAGGAAGTTTATTTTGCCAAAATTAAGAATGCGCGCCCATGACATAGCCTGAGGAGGTGCTGAGGACATGTGCCTAAGGTGGGTGGAGCACAGCTTGATTTTATATTATATATTTTAGGGAGACATGAGACATCAATCAACATATGTAAGATGAACATTGTATTGGCCTGGAAAGGTGGGACAACTCAAAGCAAAGGCGGGACAAACTCGAAGCCAGGAAGGGGCTTCCAGGTCATAGGTGGGTAAGAGACAAATGGTGGCATTCTTCTAAGTTTCTGATTAGCCTTCCAAAGGAGGCAATCAGATATGCATTTATCTCAGTGAGAAGAAGGATGAGAGGCAGGTTTGCCCTAAGCAGTTCCCAGCTTGACTTTTCCCTTTAGCTTAATGATTTTGGGGCCCCAAGATTTCTTTTCCTTTCACCAGCTATTACATACCCAAGAGATGTTTAGCAAGGAGTTGAATACATATGCCTGTAGTTCCCAGAAGGATCAGAGTCTGAATGATATACAGTTGAATACATATGCCTGTAGTTCCCAGAAAGATCAGAGTCTGAATGATATACAGTTGAATACATATGCCTGTAGTTCCCAGAAAGATGAGAGCCTGATGATATGAAGAGAAAGGTGGCGGGAGATGGGGGGCGGGGGGCAGTAAAGCATCCTGGAGATGCCGATGTCCGGAAGTAAAGGAGGACCAGCCAAGAAGTTTGAGAAGAATCAGCTACTGTAGGACAGAAAAAAAAGCGAGCTGCCCAGACAGCAAGATAGTAAAGTGTTTCAAGGGTGTGGTAGAATGGGGCTAGGAGTCATGCTAGATGCATTGAGAAGAAACAATTGGGATTTATCTTGCTGGTCGCTGGTGTCCTTGAGAGGGCTATTCAGTGGAGGGGTGGGGAAGGGGACTAATTGGGGTTAATTAAGTTGAAAAGGTGAGGTAAGATAGTGGCAACTATTTCCTTGAGACTTAGTCTCTCTCTATAGCCCAGATTGGAGTGCAGTGGAATGATCTCGGTTCACTGCAACCTCCGCCTCCCGGGTTCAAGCGATTCTCCTGCCTCAGCCTCCTGAGTAGCTGGGACTACAGGCGCCTGCCACCACGCCTGGCTAATTTTTGTATTTTTAGTAGAGACGGGGTTTCACTATGTTGGTCAGGCTGGTCACAAACTCCTGACCTCAAGTGATCCGCCTGCCTTGGCCTCCCTGTTTTGCTAGGATTACAGGCGTGAGCCACCGCACCTGCAACTATTTTCATTTGACTGATGGGGCAGTGCACATTTTGGTTTGCATTTGTATTTACGAATGTTTGAGAGAAAAAACTCAAATATCTTACAAGCCTATGTGTCTGGTTCCATTTTGAAGTACTGACCTAGGATCTCTGTACCTACTGAATTTTTTTTGAGAGATAACATACACCTGAAAGTGCATAAAGTGCACTGTCTTAAAATGTACAGCTTGATCCTTCTTTAAAAAAAATCATATACGTACGCCCATGTAACTACTGTTCATATCTAGATGTTGAACACCTCCAACACATCCAACATAACCATAATGTTCCTCTGCACCTTCCCTGTCTATAATCTCTCAGAAGTAAACCAATATTCCGACTCCTATAAAATCCATTAGCTTTACTACATGTTTCAAAGAAAACAAATGAGAACTCTGAAGGACATTTAATTGGAAAACTGCTTTAGCACATTATAAACTTACCAATTTGCTTGTAAACGCTAACCATTTGGCGCCAAAATCCTGGGAGGGTCTTTTAAACCGTTCTTCCTCAAAGCACCGCCCCACTTTTTACACCACGCCTCCTTTTGCTCTGTTCCTTCCCCCACAATATTGGGACACCCTAGGCGGTAGAAGCAGCCGCTTTTCTGTCATGCGCATTGCGGAGAGTCGTTCTTCCCTCTTTCCCGACTTCACCACTCACTGGGATCAGACCCCTGTCATGCGCATTGAGAGTCCTCTAGACAGGCGCTCCTCGCAGCACCGTAGTGCGCTTGCGCTGAGCAGCCCGCGAGGGCGGAAGTGGGAGCTGCGACCGCGCTCCCTGTGAGGTGGGCAAGCGGCGAAATGGCGCCCTCCGGGAGTCTTGCAGTTCCCCTGGCAGTCCTGGTGCTGTTGCTTTGGGGTGCTCCCTGGACGCACGGGCGGCGGAGCAACGTTCGCGTCATCACGGACGAGAACTGGAGAGAACTGCTGGAAGGAGACTGGATGATAGAATTGTGAGTGCGGGGCGGCCAGGGTCCTACGTCCGTGCCTGGACACACGACTTCACCCCGCACGTTCCTCGTGCGGGTCGCAGGCTCCCCAGGACTGCGCCTCCGAGTTGCGGAGCGAGCGTCCCCGACTTCTGCAGCTCCCCAAACTCTTGGGATCTGCCGCCAGCTTGGTCCCACCCCCTCGTCTCTTACCCGTGAATGTTAAGTTTCTTCTGGGGTGCACCCTCGTTTCGTTTCTTGGGTTGTGGTGCGCCCAAAGGGTTAGTGCCAATGCGAATTCTGACATTTTTCATGACTTTGAGGATGCGACTGGGGCGCGGGGAGGGAGGTGTCCGACTCGTGTCTAAGTAGTTAAAGTGATTCTTCACAGACTTCTACACTTATTTTCACCACATTTTACATAAGAGAATATTGAGCAAAATTTCTCCTCTCGTTTTGTCTGTCCTTAAAAGATAGTCTCTTTATGGTGTTGGAATTTGGCGCTTTTAAGCTTTTTTTAATGGATTGGGTACGTTTCTTTTTTATTGTAAATACTGAGTCAATTCAAGTTGGGTTATTTTTAAGTTTTCGTTTTCTCTTTTTGCCTCCTCTTTTGCTTTCTCTTTTTTTCACTCCTCATCTCATTTTTCCTTTGGGTGTCTTTGTAGTGTAGAGAATACCTTGGGTTGTGACTCCTAGGTCTTTGTAAATGGTATTACATTAAAAGATAATGTATTAATGTATACACTCTCAAGAGCGCCAGGTCATCATTTATTGCTCGAACGAAATCATGTATTTTGTGTGGTGATTTCAATTTAATAATATCTGTTCTGCCGCGGTGGGAAATAAAGTATCTGTCTTTGCTTTAGATGCTAAGTCGTTGTTGATGGTGGTATTATACATATTAGCAGTATTTACTGATAATAGTAAAAGCATAATTATTAACAGTGTACTGGACACCACTAAGCACCTTTACACGAATACCATATTTAATTCCCTACAAATTCTCTATGACAGGTGTTTTTCACGTTTTACAAATGAGTAACAAGATACCTAAATACTTTAGTTAACCTATGCAGATATTGCTGTGCTGGCTTTCTTTGGGTCTTCAGAGTAGGCATACAATAATTGTTGTTAGAACACCTTCTTCTTTAAAAAGGTTCAGCTGGAAGTGGCGTACGCTACCCAGGAGATTGAGGTATGAGGATGACTTGAGCCCAGGGGTTCAAGAGATCCTGGGCAACTAGCAAAATAAATAAGTAAATAAATAAAAATGAAAAGACAACAGGGTTCAGGTGAGTGTTTTCTTGTGTCACGAATACAGCAAGGGTTGTCAAGTTAAGGAGGCCAGTGAAAGTGACATCCCCAAGGGAGAACCCAGAAGGCTAAATCAGTAAGTCCTGTGTTATTTTTTAAAAAAACAAAACTGGCCGGCGCGGTGGCTCACGCCTGTAATCCCAGCACTTTGGGAGGCCGAGGCCGGTGGATCACGAGGTGAGGAGATCGAGACCATCCTGGCTAACACGGTGAAACGCCGTTTGTACTAAAAATACAAAAAATTACCTGGGCGTGGTGGCACGCGCCTGTAGTCCCAGCTACTCGGGAGGCTGAGGCAGAAGAATCGCTTGAATCTGGGAGTCAGAGGTTGCAGTGAGCCGAGGTCGCACCACTGCACTCCAGCCTGGGCGACAGAGTGAGACTCAATCTCAAAAAAAAAGTAGAACATTTATATGGAGGGTAAGATAAAGGGAAATTTTCATAGTATGCATGTAGTCTGCAATTCTGAAATGAATTTTCATTCAGGCACCATTGAAAGCTTCAGGGGAGAGGAACTGTGACACTTTTTCAGTCATCATCATGAGTAACTTGTTTTAGATCGTGCCTGTAAAATAGTGTTATAAGCAATATATTAAGCAATAGTGATCGTGTGTGTATATGCAAAATACAGTCAAGTATTACTCAAGGATATTTTTTAACTCATTATGGTCCAACTATATAAATACAGCAATCAGAAGTAGTATTAAGGAGAACAAGACTAACAAAACATTGAGTATGAGGTAAATCCACATTGGAGCATCTATCTGAAATTATGCTATAGAGTAGTAGTTTTTCTTTTTCCTTAAGTAGAGATTCTAAAGTAAGTTTTTAGAAAGCAACTGACAGCCTGGGCAACATGGCAAAAACCAGTCTCTACAAAAAAATACGAAAAATTAGCTGGGCGTGTGGGCAGGCATCTGTAGTCCCAGCTACTTGGGCTGAGGTGGGAGGATGTCTTGAGCCCGGGAGGTTGAGGTTGCAGTGAGCCCAGATGGCGCCACTGCCCTCCAGCCTGGGTAACAAAGCGAGACCCTGTTTCAAAAAATAAAAAAGCAACTGAGCAACAAAACGAACCTGAAAAAGAAGGACTCTAGTAGTTTTAGTAATAGTCTGCTCCTAATTACAAGTGAATTATCTACAGTAAATCCATTTCTGCTCAGAAGTTTTGTCATGGAGATATTTTCATTGTAATACGATTTATTGTTAGGAGCTTGGCTTTTATACTACCAGTTTGTCTTGTTCTACAATGTCTATTTTAGGAGTTTGGTTTTCATAAAACAAGTGAAGAAAATGTGAAGTACAGAAAGTATAGTTTTGTGTTTAACTGCTTTAGGCTTTATTCTTCCTGGTTCTGTTAAAAAAAAAAAAAAAAAAAGAACAACCCTGTGGTGTATTATAAGATAAAATACAATAAAGTGGAAAAATAAGATCCTCAGGAGATAATACCAGAGGAGTAATTTAAATGCTAATATGCTTGCATTTGTAAATCCAAGGTCTTGGAAACAGGATGACCTAACTGGCCAAGAGTTTTGTTTGGCCTGCTTAGTATTTGTGTGTGGGTTATTTTTTGAGGTAACATTCTCATATAAAAATGCAGCTCTCCATCTTCTTTTAAATATGAATAGCCAGCCTTAGTGTGCCAGCATCCTTAGTGGCAATCCTACTTAATAATGGTTGCCACTTTAAGATGGAATATGTGCTTTCTTATTCACCACAGCCCAGGACACTTCTGTTTTTCCAACACCTTGCATTTGTGACTCTGCATTATAAATTATTAAAATTGGTAAGCTCTAACTTTGGTCTTGAGCTTTCTGGTGGCCACACCGTTAATAGAGAAATGCAAAAGTTTTCTAAAGAGCTGTTTTGCATGTGAAAAAATCCTGTGTCTTATTCTCAGAATTTTATTTGATTAGCATCATCAGTTCATCATTCTTGATTTCCGGATTGTTAGATCTACCCTTAAAAGTTTTTCATCTGCATAAAATTAACCACCTTATCATCTTCAGTGTTTTCATATGAAATATTCTTCATAAATTATACATTTAAATTTTTTATCCCAAGATAAATGGTCATACTAAAGTGCTTAACTTTTTTTAAAAAAAAATCTGTATTTCTTAGTTATGCCCCGTGGTGCCCTGCTTGTCAAAATCTTCAACCGGAATGGGAAAGTTTTGCTGAATGGGGAGAAGATCTTGAGGTTAATATTGCGAAAGTAGATGTCACAGAGCAGCCAGGTACTGTAAGTCTTTGGTTAGTTTTGTTTCTTTGCTGTTTGGGTTGATATATTTATCCTTTTTTCTACATTGCATAGTCTTAATTCTACCTTTCTTTAGGTTTTGAAAACCTAACAGTCTGCAGCTAGTTAACCTGACTTGTCCACCTCCCTGCTGGGGGCTCAGTGTGCAATGGTTGCAAAATGGAGATTCCCTGGTTGTGTATACACCTCATTTCTTGAATGTGTTGCTTTAAGGGTTCTTGAAGACATTACCCTCTTTTTATTCTTGCCCACATAACTGCCTCTGATTTGTTGTTCTTTGCATCCCAGGCCCCAGACTAGTATGTAAGATGCCTTTGAGAAGTCCTAGGACACTGTGGTTCAGGTGAACATTGGCCAAGCCACATTTGCATCCATACCAGGCTTCAGAATAAGGAGCATGTGGTTGAGTGTTTTTCTGGAGTCAAGGTCACGTTCCCTGACAAAAGAAGACCTGAATCTCTGAAATTGAGTTTTAAATTTAGTACCTATGATTTGAGGATGTGGGCTTCTAAATATAAAGCCCTCGTGGTTGTGAGGTCAAGTGCACTCCTGACTTGGTCCCTGGACAAGTGGCAGGTCCTGCCCTTAAGGAGGTTCCTTCCACAGACCAATCTCATCTTACCGTTCTCGGTAGTCACACTACCCTTGGATTCTTGGCTGTCCCATCCCAAATGGTAATAATAGGTAATATTTATCGAGCGCTTGCCTATTATAGCACTCTTCCAAATATCTTGTGTTTATTATTTAATCCTTATACAACCCCGTGAAATATGTAATGTCCCCATTTCACAGATAAGAAAACTGAGGCACAGGTCAATTCTCTGTAATATCAGTGCTTGACACATGGCTAACAATAAATGTTAGCTGCTATTATTTTTGCCTGTCTCATGAAAGATTCATAGTATTTTCCATTTTTAGCAGCACCATAAACTGCCTTTGTTTGTTGAATGTCAAGTACAATTCCATTGGATTTTAGATCTAAGACCCTATTACCTTGTGCTCTCCCATGAGCACAAGGTGCTCTTATTACTAGTAGTCTTAATTTTGACAGTGATATAAATGTTGAAGTGTTTTTATTTAAAAATGTATTCAGTACTCTAGTTCTACATACTTTTTAACTGAGATAATGTGCAGTATTGTGTTTTTTAAAGTTGCTTTAAGTACATAATTCATTTTTAAATTATGTATTACGAAGCTCAACTATTAGGTATAATTTCATATTCTTTCCTATTAGTATGTATTTAAATAATTCAAAGTCACGTTTTAAGTAGTCAGTGATTGGCCTATGTAAAACCTGCTGTGTGTTCTTTATTTGTAGGACTGAGTGGACGGTTTATCATAACTGCTCTTCCTACTATTTATCAGTAAGTATTTGAAGATTCTAAATTATGGAGAAGGATGCATTATAGTGTAATCAGAAGTAGTAGGCCTCTGGCTTGGATCATGCTGGAAGAGCTGAGGTAATCTCATTATATTCAGCAGGTATTTTAGAGGGCTTGTTTTGCTTAGTGTTATCCTAGGTGCCTTTAGGTAGTTGAGTGATGTGTGAAACAGTCTCTGTTCTCAAAGATTTACAGTTGTTTTGGAAAGTGATGTTCTTGTGAAATGGTGTGATCCTGTTCAGCGTGTTAAGTCATTATGCATCCAAAGTAGTGGTGAGTCCTGT
The DNA here is from genome assembly GCF_000001405.40 of Homo sapiens. Lineage (NCBI taxonomy): Eukaryota > Metazoa > Chordata > Mammalia > Primates > Hominidae > Homo > Homo sapiens. Next base: position 51,245,661 of record NC_000014.9, read on the forward strand.
AGGTAATTGGATAAAGGAGAAATCACAGTTACCTGGATTGGTTCCCAGAGAATATGGGGTTTAAATGAAACCTTGGAAGTAGAATTTTAAGAGTGGAGCGTAAGCATTTTATTGTGAGGACAATCTCATAAACAGTCATTAACAGGAACATGTTATGTCCAAAAAGTAGCTAAGAAAGTGCTGTTGTACAGCCTTGGGTAGAGTAATAGGTGACAGTTGGGTAATAAAACAGAATGAGCAAGATTATGTAGTCTTCAGTGTCAGGTCTATTAGTTTGACTTTATCTTCTAAATTGAGGGTATGAAATCTCAAGTCTGTGTACCCCAACATCATGTAGCTGGTAGGTTAAATACCAGGAGGTACTGAAAATAAGTTGACAATTCTTTGTATTTATAGCTTGCTTTTCTTTGCCCTTTTTTCTTTTTTTTATGGTTTTAAAATTCACCCCTACTCCCTTTACATCTATATAAATTTCTGTTCGCTGTCTCCATAAGTGCTTCTGTCCTGCCCTTCTCATTCAGTCCTTTTCCCCACGTGCCCCTTCAGTCTCTCCCTTTGCTTTTCACTTCTTAGTGCCCTGTGACCTTATTTGGAATTTCCTGCCCTTTTTCTTTTAGTCAAAATTGTTTACCATATCCTTTCTCCTGTTTCCTGCCTGTCGAAATCTTACCTATGCTTCAAATAATAGCTCAAATGACACTTCACAAAAACTTTGTGTTTTGGGGTGGGGGGCTTCCTCGTGGTTTTTACCTCTGAGTGGATAAAGGGTCCCTTAACCCTACTTAACAGGTCCCTAGTAGGGAGCTGATGAGTTTTTGCACTTAAAGATGTTGGAGCCAAGAGAACATTTGTGACTCTGACAGAACTTTCTACATTGGGAATGGGAAGGAGGAGGTGGATCTAAGGAAGGCTGCAAAGCTCACTAAATAGTCACTGAAATGAGAGGAAGGGAAGCACCATACCAGATGCCTCCAGTGATTTAAAGCAGGGTGTCTGAGGTGATGCTATTATAGCCAAAAGTACTAGAAAAATGCCTTAAAATTTTAAGTTATAGCTTAACAGCTAATAATTACTATGTGCCAAGCACTATTCTAATAATTTTTATATAATTCTTTTAATATGTGTATTACACATAAGGCTTAAAAGTACTTTCCTGAGATTTATCTACTTACTGTATTTCATAGTTTCATTACTTGGAAGAATAACAGTAATTACATTTTAAGGCTTATGATTTAAAAAAATGTAACCTCATTGTTAAATTGGGGGCTAAAATGTCATGAGTAGGTAAATAGTATAATTTGCTATTAATACTTGTACATTGCTAATGCTTTTGAATGTTAGAATTGACTGTAAAGTGAAGTGAAAAAATAGCAAAATAAATATTAAATTATTTCTCAGTGCTGGATAATATTTAATTCTGATTCTCTTTAGTTGTAAAGATGGTGAATTTAGGCGCTATCAGGGTCCAAGGACTAAGAAGGACTTCATAAACTTTATAAGTGATAAAGAGTGGAAGAGTATTGAGCCCGTTTCATCATGGTTTGGTCCAGGTTCTGTTCTGTAAGTATGAGGGCTTTTTCTCTTACCCATTTCATAATTAATTGGAACAGATAATTATATTTTATGTAAAGCATTCATACTCAGTTTGTTTCTTGAGCTGTTAAGGTATATCCACATTTATTACATGTTTGATTTTTTTTTTTTTTTTTTTTTTGAGATGGAGTCTTGCTCTGTCGCCCAGGCTGGAGTGCAGTGGCGCAATCTCGGCTCACTGCAAGCTCTGCCTCCTGGGTTCACGCCATTCTCCTGCCTCAGCCTCCCGAGTAGCTGGGACTACAGGTGCCCACCGCCACACGTGGCTAATTTTTTTGTATTTTTAGTAGAGACGGGGTTTCACTGTGTTAGCCAGGATGGTCTTGATCTCCTGACCTCGTGATTTGCCCACCTCGGCCTCCCAGAGTGCTGGGATTACAGGTGTGAGCCACTATGCACGGCCTACATGTTTGATCTTTTTAGTTTGACCTTCTAAGTCAAACATATTTTCATGCTTCTTGAGTTAGAGAAGGCATTTTATAGAAGTAAGTTGTACACCTTTTCAGGAATATTTTAGCTTGCTAGATTTGGTCATATGTATCATCAAAAACTAAATGCCCCTAAGAGTCTTCACAGTGTAATGGGTAAAGCTATCACTCGAGTGTAATAATTTGAATGAGTAGGCTCAAACTTGTACTCATGCTACCTCCAGACTTCAATTTGTCTTTTAATGTTCTGTCTCCATAGAGACCGTCAATAATTGCCGATACCAACTAAATTAATTACATAAACTTCAACTCTTGATGTCAAGCGACTGAATTATGTTTGGTTGGTTATTCCACCTGTCTGATAACTTCTTATATGAATAGTGTGTATAAACGGTGACCGTAATAGTGTGCCTAAGCACTGAGCTTTATAGATATCTAGAGGGTAGATGAATTTCCTCGTAGCAACTGGCTATGGAGTGATAAGGATTGGAAGTAGCAAGCATGCTTTCTGCTTTGCTGTTGGAGTACAAGGCCTCACTGGTCATGTGAGAGACCTCTGGGAACAGTGAGTTTTGCTGAGGTCACCATGGACTGATCCTGTGTGGCCATCTGTCTCTTCCTGTCCTCTCACCACACTTACCTTTGGAGGATAGGGAGTTGGGACAGTAATCACATAAGAGAAAAATGCTCTAGATTCTGGGGATGGGAGAAAGATTAGCCCTGTTAACACTCACCCATTGAACTACCATGCCCAACTCAATTTTGGATCCTACTGTTTCTGAAATAAATTACTGCAGACTACAGTGAGGCTATACAGTGCTTTATGTTTCAGTTCCTTGTTTCTCTTCTCACTTGGCTTTTAAACAACAGAAGCAACATGATTAAAATACCTTTCTGTGTCGAACTAAAAGTATAACTGATTTTTGTTCTCTGAAATCTCATCTCATAAATGAATCTTGTCCTTCCAGTAGAAGAAAGTAGTTGCTTGTAAGTCTATTTTCAAGCAGCTACAATTGGGAACTCACAGACCTTTCTTATTTCTGAAACATGCCTTTTTAAAACTGGCCATTTAATTATGTAAAATACTAATTTTTGCTTATATGATGACTTAGCATTTATTTCCTATGTAATAATTTTGTATATCATTAAAAGATGTCAAACTAATGCTCTTGTAAATTTTAATTAATTTCAATAAAAAAGAGGGATAGTTCTTAAATGGAAAGAATTGGCTTGACAATTGTTTCCAGTCCTTACTTTAGCCTCCCTTTGGTCTTGCTTTGAAGGCTTTTAAGGGTGAGTAAGAGTTGCCTTTTCCAACTGGTTTCATGGAACTTGTAACCCTTTACTCAGTGTATTGGAGAAATCATCAGATGAAATACAAAATATTAACATCAAAACAGTGGGAGAAAAGGAAAAAAATACTGTCAAGTATTTTTATTTATGAGGCTGTCACATGGTAGTGTCAATTTAGAAACAGTTTTCATGAAGAAGGCTTATTACAGGCATGAAATCAGTGATGTGTCACTAGTCTTGATTAACAGCAATAAAATCTGTCATATTGGGGAAATTATAGAGTAGAAAATAGTATGTATAGACAAATCTGTGTATGTTACTCAGTTTTTTAATCATCTCTTTTATTTTTAGGATGAGTAGTATGTCAGCACTCTTTCAGCTATCTATGTGGATCAGGGTATGGACTAAAATATTTTTATCTTAAACATTTTTACCACTATCACTTTAACAAAAATGAACAGATTTTTAGTTTTTTTTTTTCTTTTGATTTTAGACTTGCCATAACTACTTTATTGAAGACCTTGGATTGCCAGTGTGGGGATCATATACTGTTTTTGCTTTAGCAACTCTGTTTTCCGGACTGTTATTAGGACTCGTAAGTATTTCATTTTTGGAGTGCTAGGAAGAAAGATATTTAAAAATGTGATTATTTAAAATAGTTACATTAGCTGTGGCATATATTCTACATTCAGATTTCTTACAATGTTTATTTTTACAGTGTATGATATTTGTGGCAGATTGCCTTTGTCCTTCAAAAAGGCGCAGACCACAGCCGTACCCATACCCTTCAAGTAAGTATATTTTAAAATGTTTATTTTTTATTCACGATAGTCCTATTCATTTCTGTAATCACAATCACACATTTCACAGGTTGCTCTTCCAGCTTAGAATTCTAACTGTGGATTGTTGGTCTTTATCAGCTATGGCATAAAGGAAGGTAGAGGAGATGTATATTTCATATAAGAATGTAGCCCAGTGGATTTTGGAACATTGTTATTTTCTTGACTCTTATATTATGGGGAATTTTAACATTGCATATAGCATGTAGCTATTTAATAATATTTATTTGGTGTCGTTTTATAAGTGGAGTATATTCTACTCTTGAAGTCTTTCATTAGTATACCGGCCGCCACATTTGAAGATTATTCTTTGAATGCCAGCCAACTGTAAGTTTTTTCTGGTAGGATATTGGGAAAAGCAATCCCTATAGTTGATTTAGGATGCCACTGACACTGAACTGTACTACAGAACAATTTAAATAATTACAAGCATTTACCAATCTTGTAATTGTACTGTTAATGGAAGCATTTATATTTGCAGTTCTTAAAGAACTTTTACTTATCTGTTACCTCGTTTGCTCTTCAGCACCTCTGTAGTAGAGTGCATAGGTGTTACTGCTCCCATTTTGTACTTGAGGAGACTAAGGTTCACAGTCACACAGAAGTGACAAAGCTGATTTTAACTAAATCAGACTTGTGGCCTGATATTCCTTCATTTATTATGTCTTTTGTTTGTTTGTTTGTTTGTTTGTTTTTGAGACGGAGTCTCGCTCTGTTGCCCAGGCTGGAGTGCAGTGGCGCGATCTTGGCTCACTGCAACCTCTGCCTTCCGGGTTCATGCTATTCTCCTGCCTTGCCCTGCCGAGTAGCTGGGACTACAGGTGCCCACCACCACGCCCGGCTAATTTTTTGTGTTTTTAGTAGAGACGGGGTTTCACTGTGTTAGCCAGGATGGTCTCGATCTCCTGACCTCGTGATCCGCCAGCCTCGGCCTCCCAAAGTGCTGGGATTACAGGCGTGAGCCACTGCGCCCAGCCATGATGTCTTTCTTAACTTAGCTTATTGAGATCAAAATTTCCGAAATGAAGTCTATGGAGATTGAATTTATAGTGTACCTTGTCCTTTCATACTGGTAGGTCATCTTTTCATTTCTTAGATAGTTGCATTGATACTAAAAAGGACATGCATAGGGGATGGAATCATTTTATCCAAAAAGGGCCACTGATGTCTAGGAAAAAAACGTAAGCACAGATTACTTAAAAGACAAATGTATTGTTAGGTTTAAGGTTTTTGAAGTGAAATGAATATAAAATGTTTACTCACCAACTTTTAAATTGTGAATAAAATGTAAGATATAATTTAGTAGATACAAAAGATAGATATATAAAAGTAGCTATACCGATGGTCCCTGACCTACAATCATTCAACTTAAAATTGACTTTACGATGGTGCAAAATGAATATGCGTTCAGTAGAAACCGTACTTTAAATTTTGAATTTTGACCTATTCTGGGCTACTGGTATGGAGTACTTTTGTGATGCTGGGCAGATTAGGTTAGGTTAGGTGTATTAATGTATTTCAACTTATGTAAGGATAGGTTAGTTGTATTAAATGCCTTTTTGACTTATGATATTTTCAGCTTATGATGATTTATCAGGGTATAACCCCATCATAAGTCAAGGAGCATCTGTATTATGTTTTGTTTTTTTATATTCTGTCTTCACCCTCACATAAATCATATGGCCGTCAGAAAATCCGTTGTGTGATAAGTGTGCAACTAGCATTGGATCCCATAAATGTACCAAAGTACCTACTAAGTCATGTGATGTGCAGGCTGTTACTGCCACTGTTGCCAGGTCGTCCTCCTGTCTCCCAAGAGTTTACTTTGGGAGTCTGCATAGATTGATTTCTCTGAGGATGTAGGTGTTGGAGTCTGAGTCATCTTACCACTTAGAGCAAACTTGAGAGTGTCTGAGACTTGCCCGAAGAACTTGTTCAAACAGATTGCTGATTCCCCACCCTGGGTTTTGGACTCAGAAGTTCTGTATTGGGGCCAAGAATTTCCATTTCTTAAAATTCCCAGGTGAAGTTGATGTTGCTGGTCTGAGGACCACTATTTGAGAACCCCTGTCTTAGAGAAAGTGGTTACCAATGGGAAAATCTATAGGCCCCGGGGCCTGAAATAACTTGTCTTTTGGTGTTGACCATACAAACTTTTTAAAAGAATACTGACTCTGATAGAATCCTTTCTGTGCAATATCGTGGAATACGTAACTGGTGTACACAAAGAGGTAAGTGTTCTCAAACAAGATGGGTAAGTCAGTGAATAGGCACAATTTTAGAAACTTTAAAAGAGTTGAACCTAAGGAAATGACAGAGATAATACTCTACCTCTTTTAGGAAGTTACAAGGGAATTCATTTCTTGGAAATGAAATTTTTAAAATGACTTGGCTAATTAATGTCAAGCTACTTAAGTTTTTCTGTCCTCTATTATGATCCACAGTAAAAGTCACTAAAGAAATCTTTCCCTTTAAATATCTGTTAATTTGGAGGGATTGAAAGGTATAAAGTAAAGGGTTTTTTGAATGCCTTTCCAAATCATTCAAAAAGAAGGCAAGCATGGTCTATGAGCCAGAGAGATCTGATTGGGCATCCCAACTCTACCACTTAGTAGCAAAGCAGTATGACAGACATTTTTTACCCTCTGAGCGTGTAACCTCCTTTGTGAAATGAAAGTAATTAAATTTGCCCCTTTGGATCATTATGACACTTAGGAGATAGGTATGTAATGCTCACATTATCCTAGTAACATATAAGCAGTAAGCACTATGTATATGATTGTGTAATTTATTTTTCTTTAGTAATACAACTGATATTAATCCAGACTTTAAAGTGATATTGCCATGCCCCTTCCGTAATGGAACACATGATTTGAATTGTTTTTCAGTATGTGTGCTTGTCTTGATTTTGAGTTGCTAGGGTTGCTAAGGAAACCCAACTCAATCTACTGTTAAGCAAAATTGGAATTTATTGGTTTATGTAGGGATGAAGTCTGAGGTCAGGGTTGACTGGATCCTTAAGGCTCAAATGATGTTGTTAAGATGCTGTTTCTGAGTTACTCAGTTCTCCACACCTTGACTTGTTCAATTCTCAGTTGAGTGTTTAGAATTTTTTATTTTTTATTTTTCTAGTTTTTTTCTGCTCACAAGGACATCTGGATCAGTTTGGCCCTTTCCAGTCACTAGCATAAGGTGGTTAGAGAAAACCATAGTCACAATCTAAGAATAAGAAGGAAATTCATTTTTTTTCTACACCCACCTATTTTTTGGAGAAATTCTGGTGCACTCTGCTTGTGTAAAGGTCTCATTTTTTGGAAACCAGGGTTTCTCAGCCTTGACACTATTGACGTTTTTGGCCAGATGATTCTTAGTTGTGATGGACTGCCTTTTATACACTGTTGAATATTTAATAGCATTCTACTTGCCAATAGCACTGCCCTTCTGAGGTGTGAAAAAACAAATATCTCTAGACATTGTTAAGTGTTCCTTGAGGAGGGCGAGAACTTACCCTTGGTAGGGAACCACTGCTGTAAACTAGTATTCACCAGGACCGCCTGGGGTGTGGCATAGAAAAGGGGCTGTTAGCCCAAAATAAAGATGGATGCCAGGCAGACTAAACAACAGATGGTTCATTACTGGTAATTTTTCCCCATGGTTTATTCTGCCTTATTAACCCAATCCTTCCTTGCGGGTGTCCCCTCCCTGGCCCCACCATTCTTGATTGCCTAGGATTGGGGGCAGTCTGAGATCATTGAACAGAGTAAAGCTCTTTGACCCAGTTCTGTCTCCTGTATCTCACCATGGTGTGCTCTAAGCTTAAGTTAACTAGCAGCTGGCCATATAAAACATCGAAAGGGTGTGTATTTATTCATTGAGATGTACACTTAAGATTTGTACATTTTATTCTTGTAACTATGTTGTAATAAAATCATACATATGGGGGATGAGTAAGGGGAAGCACATTTATAAGACCAGAAGAAGATATGGACAGAAATACAACCTTCAACTGTAAATGTGTGATTTCTGTTCCCCTGGGAACTGAAACAAGGATACTGTTTAAGTTTTAGTATACTTGTTGACCAGAAGTTTAATAGCAAATTAATATGAGATAGTTTTTTTAAAAGGCAGTCAAATTTAGCAGTGGGGGTTGTGTATCACCATTAGTGACAGTAATAGTAAGTTCTGATAACCTACTACCATTGGACCAACCAGTTTTTTTTAATGCTGTATATTTTCTCACAACTTCCATATTCACAACATTAATGCTGATTCATTAATTTCAGTTCAGTTTATAAATAGGTGGGTAATTAGAATGACTTTGATAACTAAAATGGCTCAAACAATTTTTATTTTTATAATATTCATGGTTTTTTTTATCTTATCTTGAATAACTTTCCTTTTGGACATCCAAACATGATAAATTTATGCCAAAGCAGTTTTGGGGCATATGAGACATTGTATCTTGATTTTACTCTAAAGCAAATCTAATACATCAACAAAAATACATTTTTGGTCTTTGTCTTTAAGAAAAATTATTATCAGAATCTGCACAACCTTTGAAAAAAGTGGAGGAGGAACAAGAGGCGGATGAAGAAGATGTTTCAGAAGAAGAAGCTGAAAGTAAAGAAGGAACAAACAAAGACTTTCCACAGAATGCCATAAGACAACGCTCTCTGGGTCCATCATTGGCCACAGATAAATCCTAGTTAAATTTTATAGTTATCTTAATATTATGATTTTGATAAAAACAGAAGATTGATCATTTTGTTTGGTTTGAAGTGAACTGTGACTTTTTTGAATATTGCAGGGTTCAGTCTAGATTGTCATTAAATTGAAGAGTCTACATTCAGAACATAAAAGCACTAGGTATACAAGTTTGAAATATGATTTAAGCACAGTATGATGGTTTAAATAGTTCTCTAATTTTTGAAAAATCGTGCCAAGCAATAAGATTTATGTATATTTGTTTAATAATAACCTATTTCAAGTCTGAGTTTTGAAAATTTACATTTCCCAAGTATTGCATTATTGAGGTATTTAAGAAGATTATTTTAGAGAAAAATATTTCTCATTTGATATAATTTTTCTCTGTTTCACTGTGTGAAAAAAAGAAGATATTTCCCATAAATGGGAAGTTTGCCCATTGTCTCAAGAAATGTGTATTTCAGTGACAATTTCGTGGTCTTTTTAGAGGTATATTCCAAAATTTCCTTGTATTTTTAGGTTATGCAACTAATAAAAACTACCTTACATTAATTAATTACAGTTTTCTACACATGGTAATACAGGATATGCTACTGATTTAGGAAGTTTTTAAGTTCATGGTATTCTCTTGATTCCAACAAAGTTTGATTTTCTCTTGTATTTTTCTTACTTACTATGGGTTACATTTTTTATTTTTCAAATTGGATGATAATTTCTTGGAAACATTTTTTATGTTTTAGTAAACAGTATTTTTTTGTTGTTTCAAACTGAAGTTTACTGAGAGATCCATCAAATTGAACAATCTGTTGTAATTTAAAATTTTGGCCACTTTTTTCAGATTTTACATCATTCTTGCTGAACTTCAACTTGAAATTGTTTTTTTTTTTTTTTCTTTTTGGATGTGAAGGTGAACATTCCTGATTTTTGTCTGATGTGAAAAAGCCTTGGTATTTTACATTTTGAAAATTCAAAGAAGCTTAATATAAAAGTTTGCATTCTACTCAGGAAAAAGCATCTTCTTGTATATGTCTTAAATGTATTTTTGTCCTCATATACAGAAAGTTCTTAATTGATTTTACAGTCTGTAATGCTTGATGTTTTAAAATAATAACATTTTTATATTTTTTAAAAGACAAACTTCATATTATCCTGTGTTCTTTCCTGACTGGTAATATTGTGTGGGATTTCACAGGTAAAAGTCAGTAGGATGGAACATTTTAGTGTATTTTTACTCCTTAAAGAGCTAGAATACATAGTTTTCACCTTAAAAGAAGGGGGAAAATCATAAATACAATGAATCAACTGACCATTACGTAGTAGACAATTTCTGTAATGTCCCCTTCTTTCTAGGCTCTGTTGCTGTGTGAATCCATTAGATTTACAGTATCGTAATATACAAGTTTTCTTTAAAGCCCTCTCCTTTAGAATTTAAAATATTGTACCATTGAAGAGTTTGGATGTGTAACTTGTGATGCCTTAGAAAAATATCCTAAGCACAAAATAAACCTTTCTAACCACTTCATTAAAGCTGAAGACCAGTATGATTTCTGGTTGCTTTTTGAAGGTATGCTTTATTACTTTGTATTTAACGATGTTCAGATGAGTAGTTGTGTGTTCCTATATATGTACTTGATATGTGTAATCAAAAGACTGCCTTCTTTTTCTATTGAGATGTTTAAGGACAGTAATGCTCATTAATCAAGCATTTTTTTTTTTTAGTGTTCTAGTATATGTGACATGGCCAATTTTTTTATTAGAAAATATGTGACCAGAAAGATTCTATAGAGTAAAAAATCAAAGCAAAACAAAAACCACAAAAAGACCCCTGTACTATAGAAAATGTAAAGTTGGCTGAACAGATAGGGTCTTGAAATTTCAGGAAACATATAATCTCACGGTTCTTAAAGATTGTCACTGTAGACATCTGAGTAATTAATTTTCAGTTAGTAACAGGCTTATAGAAACTTTGGGATTATTTACAAATGGTTTAGGAAAGAATAAGGTATAGTAAAAGTAATATCCTGGAGAATTCTGGGCCACCTACCCACCATAATCAATTCAGCTGTACTACTGAAGTATTGTAAAATCTGATCTCTAGAGGAAAATACAGTATTCTACCTTACGTTGTGTAAATACTTAATGATTATCAGAAAGACTGAAAAAAGTTTTAATGAAGAATTCTGGCTACATCTAACAGCTGCCATTTACCAAGTACCTACTGGAGCTTTGTTGTTTTCTTGTATTTATTAATTTAGTCCTAATGACAACTGCAAGACAGGTAAGCATTGCACATCTTTCAGGTGAGTCAGCCCAGAGGTGTGGTACAAATAGGTAAAATTTGAATCTAATTCTTGTTCCAAATCTTTTTTTGTTTGTTTTTGTTTTTGTTTTTTTTCTTCAGTGTGGGTACATGAAATTCAGCAATCTCTTATTTTGGTCTTTTTTTTTTTTTTGAGACAGAGTTTCACTCTTGTTGCCCAGGCTGGAGTGCAATGGCATGATCTTGGCTCACTGCAACCTCCACCTCCTGGGTTCAAGCAGTTCTTCTGCCTCAGCCTCCCAAGTAGCTGGGATTACAGGCATGTGCCACCATGCCCGGCTATTATTTTGGTCTTAAAATTTCACTCCTGTCAGAATGTAGGAGTGAATAAATGCTATTCATAAATAACCATAATTATTCAGTATTTGCAGTCTCGTGATGTTGGTTATTGCATAAAGTAAGTTATTGCAGTAAATGATGCTTTAGAAAGCAATTTTCTCTCATCAGTTTCGTCCTTATTCAGCCTTACACAAAAAAAGGCATAGTTCTGGGCTTAATTGTGATGTAATTAAAATTATTGAGTGAACATTTTGGCTCATATTTTATGACATTGTAGTTCATCCCCATGGTCAATTTAAGGTAGAGTTCTTACAATATATTACTTTCAATATAGGTATTTTATTAATAAGAATTTATTTCAGTTGGACTTATTAAATGAGTGGTTTTGCTGAGTGTATGAGTCTATAAATAAAATTTTAATTGAACATCATTGGAGATTTAGATATGTTGGTACTGCTTATCTAGCAACTTTTGTATTTGTGAAACCATTAAAACTAGAGTAACAATAAATTTAAGTTGGAATTTTGGTAATATGTAAATAGCAAAGTCAGATTATATATTTGAACAGGTGTAACATATCCCCTTTTTTCTTATTTATTTATTTATATTTTTGAGATGGAGTCTCACTCTGTTGCCCCGGCTGGAGTGCAGTGGCATGATCTCGGCTCACTGCAACCTCCGCCTCCAGGGTTCACGCCATTCTCCTGCCTCAGCCTCCCGAGTAGCTGGGACTACAGGCGCAGGTGCCCACCACCATGCTCGGCTAATTTTTTGTATTTTTACTGGAGTTGGGGTTTCACCATGTTAGCCAGGATGGTCTCGATCTCCTGACCTCATGATCCGCCCACCTCGGCCTCCCAAAGTGCTGGGATTACAGGCGTGAGGCACTGTGCCTGGCCTTTGTCATTTATTTTTAACTGACAGGAAATAATTGTGTATATTTATAGGATACAATGTGATGTTTTTATCTGTGTACATGTAGAAAGATTTGACCAAGCTAATATATCCATCACTTCACCAGTTTATCATTTTTTTTGTGGAGAAAATGTTAAAAATATAAGTTAGCTATTTTGAAATATGCATTAACTGTGGTCACCATGCCATGCAATAGATCACTAAAATGTATTCCTGTTGTCTAACTGGAACTCAGTACTGTTTGATCAACATCTTCTCTTTCTCCATTCCTCCCTTACTTCCCAGCCTCTTGTAACCACCTTTGTATTGTTTCTATGAGATTAACTTTTTTAGGTTCTACATATAAGTGAGATCATACAGTATTTCTTTCTCTTCCTGGCTTATTTCACTTAGCATAATGTCCTTCAATTCTGTCTATGTTACTGCAAGTGACAGAATTTCCTTCCTTTTTTAAGGCTGTATAGTATTCCAGCATGTATACTACATTTTCTTTACCCATTCATTCATTGACAGAAACTTAGGTTACTTCCCTATCTTGGCTACTGTGAATAATGCTGAAATGAACATGGGAGTGCAAATATCTCTTCAACATACTGATTTCAGTTCCTTGGATACATATCCAGAATTGGGATTGCCGGGATACAGGGTAATTCTGTTTTTTTTAGTTTTTTGAGGAAACTTCATACTATTTTCCAAAATGGCTGTACTAATTTACATTCCCACCAAGAGTGTACAAGGGTTCCCTTTTCTCAAAATTCTCACTAATACTTATTTGTCTTTTTGATCATAACCATTGTTAACAGGTGATCTCTGATTGGGTTTTAATATGTGTTTCCTTGATAATTAGAGATGTTGAGCATTTCTTATATCTGTTAGCTATTTGTGTGTTTTGAGAAATATCTGTTTATCTTTTGCCCATTTAAAAAAGTTATTTTTCTTAATAACTGGAATTGATTTATTAATAAATCATTAGAAATTATTAGACATTAATAAGAAATTATTTCTAAATAAATAGAATTTAGTTCCTTATATGTTTTAGATATTGGCTCTTTATCAGTTATATGGTTTGCAAATATTTTCTCCCAATATATGGATTATGCCTTTTCCTGTGCAGGAGCTTTTCAGTTTGATGCAACCCCATTTGTCTGGTTTTGCTTTTGTTGCCTGTGCTTCTGGAGTTCTGTTCAAAAAATCATTGCCCAGATGAATGTTGTAGAGCTTCCAGTAACTTTATAGTTACAGGTCTTAGGTTTAAGTCTTTCATCCATTTTGAGTTGATTATGGTGTGAGATAAGAATTCCATTTCATTCCTCTGCATGTTGGTAAAAGCACTTATTCCAAACACCATTTGTTGAAGAAACTCTTTTTCCCATTGTGTGTTCTTGGCATCCTCTTTGGAAATCAATTGACTATAAATACTTGGGTTTATTTCTGTGCTATCTATCCTATTCCGTTGGTTGATGTGACTGTTTTTATGCCATTACCATACTGTTTTGCCTTTTTGCTTTACATTTTCATGGAATATCTTTTTTCATACCTTCACTTTCAGTCTATATATGTCCTTAGAAGTGAAGTCAGTCTCTTTTAGGCAGTATGTAGTTGGGTCTTTTTTTCTTTTTTCTTTTTTTTTTAAAACCATTCATCTGCTCTGCTTTTTGATTGGAGTGTTTAATCCATTTATATTTAAAGTAACTATTGATAGGTAAGAACTTAATACTGTCATTTTGTTAATTGTTTTCTGGTCAATATTGTGGATCAGTTGTTCCTCTCTTCCTCTATTGCTGTCTTCCTTTGTGGTTCCTTGACTTTTTATAGTGGTATGCTTTAATATTTACTTTTTATTTTTTGTATATCTACTAAGGATCTTTGCTTTGTGGTTACCACAAGGCTTGCGTAAAACATACTAATAACGGGCTATTTTAAGCTGATAACACCTTAATTTTGATCACTTGCACAAATTACACTTTTACTCCCTACTAGTGTTTTTCTTGACATGTTTTATATATTTTATAGTTTGTGTTCCTTAAGAAATTATTCTAGCTATGGTTTTTTTAATAGTTTTGTCTTTTAGCCTTTGTACTAGATATATAATTGTTTTTTATACCACCATCAGAGTATGAGTGTTCTGAATTTGACTGTATACTTTTACCAGTGAGTTTTCTATCTTGATATATTTTCATGTTGCTACTTAGCGGTATTTTTTGAAGAGTCCTTTTGGGATTTCTTGTAAGGCAGGTCTAGCGGTGATAAATCATTAGCTTTTGTTTTTCAGGTAAAGTTTTTGGAAGACAGGATTGCTGGGTATAGATAGTATCTTGGTTGGTAAGGTTTTTTCCTTTCAGCTTTTTGAATATATCATCCTATTTCCTTCTGGTTGGCAGGGTTTCTTTTGAAAAACCCAGTGATAGTCTTATGGGGCAGCCCCTTTGAATGTAGCGAGTCACTTTTTCCTTGCAGCTTTCAATATCTTCTCTTTGTCTTTAACTTCTGAACAGTTTGATTATAATATGTTTTGGTGTTGGTCTCTGGATTCATCCTTTTACATCATTGAACTTCCTGGACCTGGCTTTCTATTTCCTTCTTCAGACTTCGGAAATTTTTTACCATTATTTGTTTGAATGTTTTGTCCCTTTCTCTCTTTTCCTGGCACAATGATAATGCATAAATTCTGCTTGATGATGTCCTGTATGTCCCTTAGGCTGTCTTCACTCCTTCTTATCCTTTTTTTTTCCTCTCTTCAGGCTGAATGATTTCCAATGACCTGTCTTCAAATTTGCTAATCCTGCTGCTTGATCTAATCTGTTGTTGAACCATTCTGAGTTTTTTAGTTTAGTTATTGTATTTTTCAGCTTGATGATTTCTGTTTGGTACTTGTTAATATTTTCTATCTTTTTATTGAATTTCTCTCTTTAAGAATGGCTCTCCTTACCTTGGTGAGCATCTTTATGACTGTCCTTTTGAATTTTTGTCAGGCAAATGACATATCTCCATTTCCTTAGGGTTGGCTTCTGGAGATTTATCTTTTTTTTTTTTTTACTTGGAATACATTTCCCTTTTTCTTCATTGTCCGTAATTTTTGTGTTAGTTTTTGCTCATTAGATAAAAGAATCCCCCTCCAAGTCTTGGTAGACTGGCCTCATGTAGATGTTCTCCCTCAGTCAGCCCCACCAGAGATTCTAAGTGCCTCTAAACTCTTTGTGCTTGTCCAAAGAATCTTTGTTCTTAGTGGACCCCAAGAAATTAGAGAGCATCAAGTCATACTATTGCCTTGTAAGAGGCAGGATAGAAGGCAGTCCTTTGGAATGCAACTGCAGAGGTTGGAGTGTGAGATATGATTCAGTTCTTCCCTTGCAGAGAAGCTGAGAGCCAGAGTTTATCTCTGACTCTTTCTATCTTACATCAAGGACGGGTCAGAAGCAGATCCTTAAAGTCTTGTTCAGGTTGTGCACTTTGAACCTGGGGAGATAGCTGCTGAACGTACAAGTTTAAAAGTCATCTGTTTGTTCTCTATGGTCCAGAAGACTCAGGAATACAGAGCTCTGTCAGTTTCCAGAACTAGGTGATGTAGGTGCCAGTAAAGGCTTAGTGAAGGCTTTACAAGTTGGGGTGCTAGATGCATGTGGAAACTTTCCACAGAGTTTGCAGGTTGGATCTGTTGTTGGAACAAGCCAGAGAAGATGATGTTGGGAGTGCTCACTCTCCTGTTAGAGCAAACAGAAGTTTCACAACCTCCTAGCAGGGGGAGACTTTCCTGGAGTTGTCACTGAAGTAAGCCAGGGAGGAAGGCAGGGAGTGTCTGCTTTCCCTTTTATACATAGAGAGGTACCCCTTGCTGGTCAAGAAGGTGCAGGGGATGCTATCGCTCCCATTCTTGCTGGCAGAAGTCTCCAACCTCTTTCCCTGGAGAGCTATAGCAAGTTAAGGAAGGTGACATAGGGAGTGCCATGCTTCCCGTTTAGACTTGAAGAGATTTATTTATTTATTTATATATTTTTTGAGACAGGGCCTCACTGTTGCCCAGGCTGGAGTGTAGTGGCATGATCATGGTTCACTTCAGCTTCAACGTCCTTGGGCTCAGGTGATCCTCCACCTCAGCCTCCCGAGTAGCTGGGGCTACAGGTGCATGCCACCATGCCCAGCTAAATTTTGGGGGTTTTTTTTTAGAGATGAGGTCTGAACTATGTTGCCTAGGCTGGTCTTGAACTCCTGGGCTCAAGCAGTCATCCTGCCTTGGCCTCCCAAAGTGCTGAGATTATAAGTGTGAGCCACCACACCTAGCCTTATATATATATATATGTTTTGGAGACAGGGTCCTGCTCTGTCACCCAGGCTTTAATGCAGTCGCAGCTTCATAACTTACTGCAGCCTCAAACTCCTGGGCTCAAGTGATCCTTCTGCCTCAGCCTTCCAAGTAGCTAGGATTACAGGCACACACCACCACACCCAGCTAATTTTAAAATTTTAAGTAGAAACAGCATCTTGCTATGTTGCCCAGGCTGGTCTTGAACTCCTGGTTTCATCCTCCTGCCTCAGCCTCCCAAAGTGAGGTTTATTCTTTATTTTGCTATGTAGGTTACCAGGTACAGGTTTGTTAGAAGCCAGAATCTCAGGGAGCTGCTGGAAAAGTGTGTGTTCAAACCCTTTCAGGAACAAGTTGGGAGCTGAGCTGATCCTGGGGACTGCAGCAACTGGGAGTGTTTGTTTGGTTCAAAAGCCCCCTTTGTTGTTTGTGCTTGAAGGAAATCTGATGCCATGCCCTCCTGTTTCCCAAGCAAAGTAATTTTAAGTGTCAGACTTTAAGGCAGGGACTGTAAATGTTGAGCACATGTGGTATAAGTCCCTCACCCATCAGGAAGAAGCTAGGATTTGGAGTTTCCTTTCTGTTTTTAAGGTGCCATGCTCACGGTAGGGTTAGTGTGCTGGTGTATCTCCACTTTTCCTACCTGTTTTGATGTGGATATTTTCTCAGTCATATGGTGTGTAGGTGTCTTTCAGCTGGATTCTGGCTTTCTCTTGAGAGCTGATCCATGTGTAGGTGTTTACCCAGTGTGTCTGTGGGATGAAGGACAGTCAGGAGCCTTCTATTCTGCCCTGTTGCTGACATCATTCCCCTCTCTCTCTTTTAAAGTAATTGTTTATTTTGATTCATTAATTACAAATGGTGATAATATCAGTATTTTGCCTGGTAATGAAATCCGCTTGTATCTTCTACCCACTTGGGTGTGACATTACTTTTAAGCTTGTTTTCCTAGTGGTGTTATAACTCAGACTGGTTGTGTCCAAAACATGAGAAATGAAAACACCAGAAGTAAATTGACCAAATAGAGGTTTGACTTATCTGAAACTTCTTTTAAATGTAAATATAATTAAGAGTCATCGTTTTAAGTTCAGTGGAAACATACTTAATTTTTAAGAGTAACTTAAGCAATGTATTTTTTTCAAGCCTTCCTATTTTCAGTGTTTTTAATAAAGCAGGTCAGAAATAAGGTTACCTAGTGGATTTGAGTATATCAGTTCAAGTCCTTAGGATGATTGGCATATTGCTACCTGGGCTTTTATTTATTTATTTATTTTTTTGAGACAGTCTTACTCTGTAGTCCAGGCTGGAGTGCAGTGACGCAATCTCACCTCACTGCAACCTCTGCCTCTTGGGTTCAAGCGATTCTCCTGCCTCAGCCTCCTGTGTAGCTGGGACCACAGGCGTGGACCACCACACCTGGCTAATTTTTTTTTTTTTTTTTTTTTGAGGTAGCAGGGCATTCTTAAGAAATGTTCTCTAAACTTTAGATATCTCCCATGTTCCACAGAATCAAATATATATTTCTTGGTTGGAAATTTTAAATGTTCTTAACTATCTGCCTACCATCCACCTCAATTAATATTCTTGAGACCACTTTAACAAATCAGCTCTTCAGTGAATGTTCCTCACATTGTCTGTTGGTTCATAAGTCAGCTGAAATCCGTTTAAAGTCCTTTCCGGCCCACAAGTGTAGGTTTTATCATCCTCTGGCAGTTAAGTCACATTTGTCTTGTAATGTTTCTTCTCTTGCATTTATTATACCAATTAGCTAAGTGACATTGAGCAAAGACCATACATCTCTTGTCCTCAATTTATGTGTAAAATGATTACTGAAGTTTCTTCTCTACCTTTAAGAAGACAATTATTAGATTCATACTTGTCTCCAAAACCTGACTGTCAGCTCCTTGAGGCCTGAAACTTGTTAGTTTGAAACAAACTGTAGTGATGTAGTGGGAGACTTCCGAGCATTAATGTTCACATTTGTAAAACGAAACAGGTCACTAGGAAATAATCACACCCTGAGTCTGCTGAGAATGGGGAGCCAGAAATGAAAAAGGCTGCCCTGCCCTTTACTCTCATAGACAATACTGTTGTGTTGTGTCACTGTACTAGCATCATCCCATCCTTCACTGCAAAAGCCAGATTTTAAGTCCTCCATCTGTGTCTCCCCTGCGTTCATATGCTTCAGGGGCAGTTGACTCCATCTTTGCCTGCTAGATTGAGTTTAGATTATGAACACACATGCTAATCCAATCCAGCAATTGACATGGTCAATGGATGTGTGCTCCAAATAGAGCCATTGAGATATTGCGGTATTCTGGCAAGGCCTCTTAAAAATGAGACTCAGCAAAGAGATAGTTCTCTCTCTTCTGGAGTTTGGCATTATCTGAATGTGATGCACAGAATTTTGAGGTCATCTCACAGCCTGAGGATGAAGCCAATAAACAGGATGGCAGAGCCAAGAGGATCTCAGAAAAGCAAAGGGAAAGTCCTGGTGTAATACCCCTTACCTCTGGACATCTTACTTGAGATAATTTTTCTTACTACCTAACCATTTTGAGTAAGACTTTTCAGTTGAAATTATGAGCATGGCTGTTACCTCTCGACTTTGTGAACAATGGTGTCTTGATTTAACTTAACCCAGTTCATTCCATATGTATTTCATTATCTGAGAATGCTCATTTCAAGCCTATGGTTTACTTCTCTCACTGTGACATTCCAAGGTTAGGGGGAACAAAGAGTACATGTATGTGGTAAAAAGTAATTCTTGGGCCAAATCAGACACAACAAACACTGGGTAATGAAAGGTGAAATGAGTATAGTTTTCCTTTCAGGGATCTATTTTTTATTATAGCTCATAATTCATTACACTAATGTTATGCTCTGTAAGCATTAGAGATGAAATCCTGGAAGCTAAAAATAGTATATATTGGGTTCAAATATAGCTGTTTAGTGTGAAAGCAGGCTTTGAACCTAAAAGAGCCTTGCTTGACTTGTTTAATAGAACTTTTATATTTGGATTTTATGTTTAGTGAGCAAATTCTTACAAATCGTTTTGGACAGTTACTTTAGTTGTCTTCTGAGAATGGGAACAATATAAGTTTGAAGGTGGTAGGAATTATTTTGCTATTTTGTTTCCTTTGAGGAGGAGGAAGGAAAGGATGAGAAATGTTTATGTTATCACGAATGTTTCTTAGTCTAATGTTTATAAAGGTGGATTGCAGTTGAATAAGACTACTGCTTAATAGTCTGTAACTTGCACTGTAACTGGAACCATTTTTTAAACTATTATTTTGTAAACCTGTCAAGAATGTGATTCCTTTTTTTTTTTTTATGTATTTGCAAGCTCCTTGTCAGTGCATGCTTTGACACCTTACTGCTGGAGAAGCCAAACTGCTTGATAACTTTTAGTAATATATTGCATATAAACATTTTTAGTTACATTCAATGTTAACACATAAATTCAGATTCTTAAATGGTCCCAGTTTTCAGGCTGATTTTTAGCTGAGTACGTGCAAACTGCATAAAATGATCTGTTACTTATTCTCATCTTGGATATGAGCTTCCAAAGAAATCATAGTCCACAAAAATAGGGCATTGTGGTATATTTTTATTAATCCTTCGGGCAGTCCTTTATTCTAAGATGATATCTTTCTACTTCTTAGTGTTTCTAAAATGAAAAATGATGGTAATTTTTAAAAATGACCTTAGTAAAGTTAGAAGTTGACAGTTTCTTGTGTCTAACATTTGGAGGAGAATGTTACTGGTTTATAACATTTTGAAGTCTGGGAACAATACGTCTAGGGGGAGATGAATAAACTGAAGTTTCCTCATTAGCTCATTTAAAGGCAGATAGATAGAAAGCAAGTATTAGAATCTCCTCCCAATCAGTAGATTTCTTCATCCTTCACAAAGTTTTGTTTGAGTGGAGTTACTGGAAGCCATGCTATGTGATACAACTGTAAAGTTAAATGCTCTAGTCACATTGTTAAATAGAACTCATTTTTGATCAAAAAGGGCTATTGACTTAAGAGATCTATCAGGTGACAGTTTGTATTATTGTGACACCCATGCCTGTAGTAATTTCATTACTCTTTGTGTCTGTGTTAAGAAAAGATAGACTCACAAGGTGAATGATTATCTTGGCATTTTAGTTACATCAGTGACACTTCCTCCTGTACATATGGGGAGATCAGATTTAATCTGATGCTTGGCACTCACTAAGGAAGAAAAAGGTCAGTTGGGTTACTGAGGGTTTTTGTTTTGTTTTGTTTTAGAAGCATCATTATAAAATTTATCATAGCAAGGAGAAGTATCCAAATTCAAATGGAATCATATTAGTGTCTTGGCACTGTCATCTTAATAAGTTCTTGCTGAATATATTTTTTCATTCGGCTGTTTACCACTGATCTTGAGTTAAGCCACCAAAGAAGGCCCCAATTGTGCTAGTTATCCAACTTTGCAAAAAAAAACAGCTTTTTTTTGAGACGGAGTCTCACTCTGTCACTCAGGCTGGAGTGCAGTGGTGCAATCTTGGCTCACTGCAAGCTCCGCCTCCCGGGTTCACGCCATTCTCCTGCCTTAGGCTCCCGAGTAGCTGGGACTACAGGCGCCGGCCACGACGCCCAGCTAATTTTTAGTATTTTTAGTAGAGACGGGGTTTCACCGTGTTAGCCAGGATGGTCTCGATCTCCTGACCTCGTGATCCACCCGCCTCGGCCTCCTAAAGCGCTGGGATTACAGGTATGAGCCACTGCGCCCGGCCACAAAAAACAACTTTTAATAAAATATTTTCCATTTTATTTCACCAATAATACTGTCTCATGATCCCCATGGATTTCCCTTATCTCTAATGTGAGATATTGTAAAAACCTTTTGTTCACCACACACACCTGTAATCCCAGCACTTTGGGAGGGTGAGGCAGGCGGATCGCTTGAGGTCAGGAGTTTGAGACTAGCGTGGCCCACGTGGTGAAACCTCTTCTGTACCAAAAATACAAAAATGAGCCGGGCATGGTGGTGTGCACCTGTGGTCCCAGCTACTCAGGAGGTTGAGGCAGGAGAATCGCTTGAAGCCAGGAGGTGGAGGTTACAGTGAGCCAAGACCAGACAACTGTACTCTGGCCTGGGCAGCAGAGTGAGACTCCGTCTCTAAAACAAAACAAAAAAAAACATTTTATTCATGTGTACGTTGCTTTAGAGTTTACAAAGGGCTTTCATGTTCTTTATCTCATGTGACTCTAACAACAACCTTTATTAGTAGACAGAGCGCATATTTTTTATTATTATGAATATTATTATTATTTTACAGATAAGGAAACTGAGAGGCTAAAAGACTTGGGTGAGGTTACACCATAAGTAAGTGTTGGAATGAAGACTTGAACCTAGGATCATTGACTTTAGTAGAGTTCAATGTTTCTCAAAATATTTTCTGTAGAAAACTAATCCCACAAGATATTTATGAGGACAATGCTCGTGGTCAAATGAGTTTGATATGTATGTCAATACAGTATGTTCCAGCTGGATGTTTACAGTACCTATTACCAATAAGACCAGTTTACCTTTGTTCAACCTGGTATTAATCAAGTTTGTTTGAATATAGAATCCCTTTTGAAAGCAACAACTTTAAATATCCTAAGAGATCAGTATTTCTTAAAGTACACTTTGGGAGAATGTTAGTGTAGTAACTTCTCCTATGCTATGCTACCCTAATCTTGCATGGGACTTTTCTGTATGGCACCTTGTACTTTAAACTTCCTACTCTATTGTAAAATCCTGTCTTCCTGAAGTACACCAAAATAATCCTATTGATCACTACATTGACAGCATATTGGTAATGTCTTAGAGGGAGAGCAAAGGCAGGATATTTTGGGTTCCTTGGGGCTCTGGCTTATGGTGGGTCTTTTCATTTGGGGGCTTATGCTTAGACAAATTTGTGGATAGGATCTGAAAGTGAATCTTGGCCAGGCACGGTAGCTCACGCCTGTAATCCCAGTGCTTTGGAAGGCCAAGTAATCCCGGCGCTTTTCGAGACCAGCCTGGCCAACATGGTGAAATCCGTCTCTACTAAAATTACAAAAATTAGCTAGATGTGGTGGCACATGCCTGTAGTCCTAACTACTTGGGAGGCTAAGGCTGGAGAATCGCTTGAACCCAAGAGGCAGAAGTTGGAGTGAGCCGAGATTGCACCACTGCACTCCAGCCTGGGCAACAAGAGTGAAACTCCATCTGAAAGGTAAAATAAAATAAAAATAAAGTGAATCTTGAGAAGTAGACATTCATTGCTGTATTCTGAGAAAGGAGTATATACTTTGATGAGGGTAAGTTCAGTAGTTTAGTGTTCAGATAAATGATTATGATATGTTCAGTAGTTGAGTGTTCAGATAAATGATTATGACTATGTCTTGAAATGAACAAATAAAATTATTTGCAGATTTACCTTCCTGGGTAAATTTCCTAGAATATTAATGCTATGTGAATGAAGACAGTTGTTGATATTGACGGTAAACTGTGTGGGTGCAGATGGTTTCAGCTTTTAGTGTATCCCCTTGTAACATAATATGAAATATATATTTGGTCTTTGCCCCCCAGTTCCTGACACAGAGTTCCTAAAACTCTTGCAATTTCCTTAGTGGTGGGGTGATAGGAGTATCTTTTTAAATCTTATTCCTTGTTCTTGACACAAGAGCTTCTCAGAAACTTGCGATCTCCGGAGTGAATGGTGAGTGTCTTTTAATATTTTCATGAAAAGAGTGGTGCTAAAAGCCCCTAAATATTATAGCTTCAGAATAGGGACTGGTTACCAGGGGAATCAACCTTGTGATTAGAAGACTGAAACTTCGAAGCTTTCTCCCGACCAGTGATTGAATTAATCATACCTATGTAATGGAACCTCCTTAAAAACCCTTAATAAAGGGGCTCGAGGAGTTTCTGGGTTGGTGAACACATGAAGGTGCAGGGAGGGTGGTATGCTTAGAGAGCACATGGAAACTTATATCCCTTCCCACATACCTTGCTGCCCAATACCTCTCTTCTCTGGCCATTCCTGAGTTGTATCCTTTATAATAAGCCAGAAATAATAAGCATTTCCTGAGTTCAGTGAACCATTCTAGTAAGTTATTGAACCTTAGGAGGGGTTCTTAGGAACTGCTGATTTATAGATGTCAGAAATATGGGAGGCTTGGATTTTTGATTGGCATTTGAAGTGGGGAAAGGGAGGCAGTCTTGTGGGAATGAGCCCTTAACCTGTGGGGTCTGCACTGTCTCTGTACAGTCAGTGTCAGAATTAAATTGTAGGACACCCTGTTGGTATCCACAGAGAACTGGAGAATTGCTTGGTGTGGAAAGCTTCTATACATTTGATGTCAGAAGTGTGAATATAGAGGAAACAGTTTTTCCTTTTCACCCCCTTATTGCCATTCTTTGGCCTGAGCTGATGGATTCACTACTGGGGATGTGATCAGTCTAGATCTTCTCTGCTATATATAGTCTCTTAGTCATGTATCATTTCCCAGATGGTTGTTTCAACATTCAAGTGTTAGGTTTTTCTGTTCTTTTTGTTGGATGATCATTTGTTTAATCATGTGGTAAGACAACAGTTGGACAGCAGCATTTAAAACTTGAGGACACACCATCTGAGCCCCTGTAAATAAAATATACCAAGAGAAGGATTATGATCAGTTTGTTGTCTTCCTCTAAGCCGTGACTCAAGAGTGTCCAAATTAAGCTAGAAGAACAGATTTTATCTCCTATATAATGAGGAGATGCAGTACCAGGTATGGGATTATTAGTCAAATCATAAAGTTAATTAATTTTATGATTTTTTGGTTAGCTTACCAGATCTTTTTAGTATTGTTAAAGATGCCAGAGACATCTGCAGGGCTATAAGCATACCATTTCCCCCTAAAACAGCACGTTTTCTCTCAAGACACCAATATTATAATTAATGGGCTCTTTTTGAGTTCCATTTTCTGAACCTCTTGGGCAAAGAGTTCTGTAGTTGTGGTAGCATTGTTTATTATAGCTTTCCTGCTTTTCTCTGAACCATAGCATGCCGGAGACTCTCTACCTCTAGGCCTCTTATAAAGTGAAGAGGATTGAAGACAGCAGAAAGCAATCCAGAATTTGAGTGATTAGGGTTTCGATTCTCAAACCAAGACCCACTTTTTCTCCTTTCATGAAGCTATCTCTTTTTCTAAGAGGGTAAATTGATGAATCAAAACAGATCTTGGATGATAACAGGGACTATCCTGAGGTTAGTTAGGAGTTTACCAAAGTAACAAGCCTCTGTCCGATTTGCAGGTAGTAGCCAGTAGGTTTTTGTGTTACAAATCCACTCACTGGTGGCCACTCAGTCGTCTGTTTTTGGTCAAAATACTCCTGTGGTTATTGTCAAATCCTTTTGCTATGCTCTAGGGCCACTTATGAAGAGTGGTCTGGCTCCAGGCAGTGAAATTTATGGTGTCAAGACTATTAATTTGGTTGTTCTAAAGTGAAAGAGAAGTAGTGTGTTTTACTTGTCAGATCGGGTAAAGTGAGATAGTCTCCAAATATGCATAATCTGTTCCCTAGTTCTCTTTCAAGCTTTCTATCTGTGAAAGTTTGTGTACAAAAGCTAGCTCCCACAAAAGGTCCCAAAGGTCTCAAGCATAGTTTTGGTGGAGACAGGAACATTTTGTTGTTTTGTTTTGGTTTTTGATAGGCTATTTATCCTTGTATTTTACCCAGAAAATCATTTGATCTCATTACAAGGAAATGGAACCAACGGAAGCTGGGTGGCTCCTCCAAAAGGAAAATGTATATAATCCCAACTCTCAGTTTGAGTGTATGCTTTATTTAGCTAATTCATGAGTAAATTGTTTCTTTCAGAAGACCAAGTCTTTGGGTTTCAGGTTGTATGAAGTTTGTTTGGGAGGATTTGGGGGAAAGGCTGCTCATACCTATTGATAAGACTGGATGTTTAGCATGAGTTCCTTGTAATACTTGGTCCTGTCTGCTTGCCAGTTGTGTCTGGAGTCTAGAATCAGATGTAATATTCCTAGATGCCTGGGCAGGCCTGTATTTACTCATAAAGCAAGAGTTGATAGACTCCAGTGGACTCATTAAAGCTTATGGGAATATCTTAGACCGTAGAACTTTGAGAGTCTCTGGGAACTTTGCAAAATTGAGATTCAGAGTTATATTTATTCTTTACCTTTCTTGGATATTGGGGCAATATAGATAGGGAACTTTCTGATTAAGTGGAGGGGCCTTGCAAAGCTCTTTAATAACAATCCTAGAAAAATTGGGACCCCTGCCACTAGAGAGATGTTTGAATTCCACAGGTTGGCAATATGACATCAGATAATATTTTTTCTACCATAGAGCCATAGCTCCCTAGCAAGGAAAGGCTTAGTCTATCCTGAGAATAAGCAAACAGTGGACAGGACATATTAAAAACTCACTGCAGGATGTACTTGTATGAATCCATTTGGAGGTGCACAAAGAGGACCTTTGTGGTTTTGGGGTTTCATGGGTGCTAGGAGCTTAGCAAAAGATGCCTGTCTTCCATAGTGACCAGCCAGAACACCTTGTTTAGCATTTGTGTTATCCCTTTTTGGGATGAATTTCAACCTTGATAATAACTACCACCTTAGGAAGTATTAGAGCACTTAAAAGTTGTTTTAATCTGCCAATCTTAATTGGATTTCCTGCTGATGTCAAAATCCTGTATTGTAGCCAAAGCATTCTAAAATCATGGACTACCTGCAAAAGCATATCCGCTATAAGTGTATATATTAAGCTCCTTTATTGCTAAATAACCAACAAGCTAAGCAATAGGATTTCATAGGAGGTAAGCCCACTTGCGAGAAATGTGTGTTTCCAGAAAGCAACAAAGGTTGTATAACATGGGACACCTTCAAGACTACCATCAGAACTGTAGACTTGGTTTTAGGGACACCGTTAAACTTGATGATGCCTCATACTATACAACTTGCAGGCTTTATAAGGGCAGAAGGTTTTACCAGTAGTAAAGAGAAAGATTGTAGTAAGCCATTGGCATCTAGAAATTCATATGGGCTTGAGTCAGAACATTAAAAGCTTGTTCAGATCTTTCTTGTACAAATAGGCACAATGAATAGGCACAATGATTTATGATGAGAAAACCCAGAATATGATGTTGGTGAAGAGCACAACTTGGCTGTTTTATCACAGAAATAGCCATGACAGTATGTAAATGAATGAGTGTTGCTATATTACAGTAATACTTTATTTACAAAACAGGTGGCTAGACATGGGCCTTACAATGAAATGTATTTTCTCTTTCTGAAGAATTTACTCCTTTAACATTTATTGTGGTTACTGATACATTTGCAGTCATTTCTACCGTCTTACGTTGTGCTTTGTAATTGTCCTATTGTTTATATACATACTTTTTCTCTTGAATTGTTGGAGAATTTTTTTTCCAATTTTTTAATTAAAACTTTTTTTAGAATTCCATTTTCCCCCTTATTGAAAATGATGCCATTTTAATTTTTTCGTGGATCTCTTAAAGTTCTAACAAGCATATTAATCACTATTTTTGCCTACCTCCTAATTTACATGCTATTGTTTTAATTCTCTCTATATATAAAATATATATTTGTTTAAAATATATATTTTAAATTATATATTATAATTTATATATATATTTATATATATTTTAAATTATATATTATAATTTATATATATATTTAAATATATATATATATTTGTTTTGGTTTTGTTTTGAGATGGAGTCTTGCTCTGTCACCCAGGCTGGGGTGCAGTGGCGTGATCTCAGCTCACTGCAACCTCCGCCTCCTGGGTTCAAGTGATCTTCCTGCCTCAGCCTCCCGAGTAGCTGGGATTACAGGTGCCCAATACCACACCTGGATGATTTTTGTATATATATATGTATTTTTTTTTTTGAGACAGAGTTTCACTCTTGTTGCCCAGGCTGGAGTACTGTGGTGCTATCTCGGCTCACTGCAACCTCCACCTCCTGTGTTCAAGCGATTCTCCCACCTCAGCCTCCTGAGTAGCTGGGATTGCAGGCACCCGCCATCTCACCCCGCTAAATTTTGTATTTTTAGTAGAGATGGGGTTTCACCATGTTGGCCAGGCTCGTCTCAAACTGCTGACCTCAGGTGATCCTGCTGTCTTGGCCTCCCGAAGTGCTGGGATTACAGGCATATATTTTCAGTAGAGATGGGGTATCACCATGTTGCTCAGCTGGTTCTCAAACTCCTGACGTCAAGTGATCCTCCTGCCTCAGCCTCCCAAAGTGCTGGGATTACAGGTGTGAGCCACCACACCTGAGCCTAATTCTCTATTTTAACCCCACAATTTAGGTATTACTATTGTTGGTGCCTTATGCAGTCAATATTAGTCTAGATTCCCCTACTTATTTTGCATTTATTATGCTCATCATTGGTTCTTGCATCATGGACCTTCTTTTTGGGCTCATTTTACTTCTTTCTGGAGCAGACCCTCTGAAGTTT
This sequence comes from Homo sapiens, assembly GCF_000001405.40. Classification (NCBI taxonomy): domain Eukaryota; kingdom Metazoa; phylum Chordata; class Mammalia; order Primates; family Hominidae; genus Homo; species Homo sapiens. The sequence continues at coordinate 51,273,833 of NC_000014.9, forward strand.
TGAAGCCAGTCATTAAACTAACTTTTTTATATGCAGTCTGTCTTTTGTTGTTCTGTAGTGTCTAGGTGTAATTTTTTTATTCAGTCTTTTTAGGATTCATCAGGATTCTTGAATCTGAAGATTTTTGGCTTTCAACAGTTTTAGAAATGTTTCCACTATTATGTCTTTGAATATTGCCTCATTCCTGTATTCTCTACTAATTTCTTATTAGAGGTATGTTAAACATTCTCCCCCTGTCCCCAATATTGATTAATTTTTCTTTTATATTTTTCATCTCTTTATTACTCTTTATCCTAAACAATTTCTTTAGAACTAGCTTCAAGTTTATTATTTCTTCAACCATGCCTAATCTTTCATCTCTTTATTGAGTTTCTAAATTCAATGATATATTTTAAATTTATAGATGCTCTACATATGATGAAATCTGCCTCTCCATACTTAAAGTACTATCTTTTTATATTTAAATATGTTCAATGAAATTATATTCTTTATTTCTGTATATGTAGTCACGGTGAGTCTGATAGGGTTGTTGGTGTTCTGCTGAGTGTCAGTCATGTTAATTTGTCTCCTCTTGTGTGTACAGGTTTTTGAGCTTAACTTGGTTTGTCATCTGTATAAATTTTTGGAGACCAGACTTCAAGGTGTGTTCCTCTAGGATTTGTACTTATTTCTACCAGTCACTTGGAGGTGTTTTAAATTCTCACCTTGGGGTTTTTCATACCTAAGGGTTATACAAATTTTGCCTTGGTGTGCAGGGCCAGTTTGTGGATAGAAACTCATGGAGGAAATTTTTTTCTCTTTCTTTTCCAGAGCCAAGGCAAAATAGGCACATTTTTTTTTGTTTGTTTTGCTATCTCCGTCTCTGGGGGATATTTCCTGGTTCCACTGAGGGAGTTGCTGGTGGGTCTCATCTGACCTCTCTCTTGCTAGGCTTTTCCTCCAGTGCCTCTGTTTGTATAAAGACCAATGAACTAAAAGACCCAGTCCATCAGTGACCAGCAGAAACTCCGTGGTAGCTGTTAGCTCTTAGACTTGGCTGCTTCACTGGATTCACGTTTTTCTTCATTTTTAGCTTTGAGGAGATTCTCAAATGCCCAGCTGTGAATTTAAGGAGATTTAAAAATTTTTTACCCAGAACTTTTAGGCATCTGTCCTAGGAGTTTTTCTCAAATTATTCACTCCACTAAATTACCTGAAACAGAAGTACTCCTCTGTTTTTTTTAATTTTTTTTTGTTTTTTTAATTTTTTTTTGAGACAGCCTCTCACTCTGTCACCCAGACTGCAGTGGTGCAATCTTGCCTCACTGCAACCTCTGCCCCCAAGGCTCAAGCGATCCTCCCATCTCATATGAGTAGCTGGGATCTCAGGCACGCACCATCACACCTGGCTATTGTTTTGTATTTTTAGTAGAGACGGTGTCTCACTACATTTCCCAGGCTAGTCTCAAACCCCCGAGCTCAAGTGATCTACCCGCCTCGGCTTCCCAATGTGCTGGGATTACAGGCATGAGCCACTGTGCTGGGCCTACTCCTCTGTTCTTTTTGTATTTTTGGTGTATACTTCAAAAAATCTTTTCGCTATGACTTTAGCGGTGTTTTGGAAAATTAAAGATTAACAAAAAGCTTTTATTATTGAAGGTCGTTCAAATATTGGGGCCCTCTTTATACTAAAGCACAGGGATGATGTTGTCACAAACACAATTGAGTTTAAGGTTATAGCTGCATCCAGAAATTAAGTGTGATGCTTTTTTCCTCCCTTTTACTATCGATTATTAAGTTACTTGGGTTTGGCAGCTCAGTCTGTGTGTGTTAGGGTGTGTTCTTATATCATTTCACTCATTTAAACTATTATAACCAATAGCTTCAATTGATACATTTTACTCACTTTAGTAAAAATTTAAAATGCTATAAAATAAGTATTGCAAAGTTATAAATGTCGGGACTTCTGGATATGCTTTCCATAATGTTAGTCTTAAAAGGCAAGAGAGTGACCTTTTTATGGGGCAGAAGATAAATTGCAGAGAAAATGCTTGAAAGCTATCATCTGAAGATCTTATTTAGATAAAACTGTAAGTTGTGCAGCAGAGGACAATATAGTTTATTAAGCTGGTAAAAATAAAATTTCTTTTACCTTGAAAAGGGCACGTTTGTAATGAGTTTTATACCTAATTTAGGACTGACTCAGCAACAAATTCTCAATCAGTATGGTAAAGTACAAACCTTATTTATTTGGGTTGAACAATAGAGTAGGGAGTTCTGAACCTGTGATCTGGGTTTCATAGGACCTAAGATCCCTGAAATTATGTGAAGTTTTGCAAATATATTTATATTCATGCATTTTCCTGGGACCAACCCTCCTTGGCCCTCACTCCCGCTTTGGCCGGATACACTTGTGCATTGTTTGAATTATATGGTGCTCCTGGCCTTACTGAAGTGGGGTTTACTATTTGAGAAAACATTTTAGAAAATGTTAAGTTTGCATCTCATAGTTTGAGAAACTGTAAAAGATAAATGGAAACAACATGATTTGACATATTGAGGAAACATGCCTTATGGGTTTGGGATTTAGAAACTCAAGTCGTCCTTACCAGGTGCATTAAATATGGAGGTGAGGAAAGTGAACTCATCTGAGTCAAACAGTGTTTTTATCCTTTTCATTTACACTAAAATCCTTTGTGTATGTGTTTACCGTACTTTGGAGGGGACATTCACTCCAGGAGAAGAAGCCCTTTTGCCCAATTATTACTGGTTGAGGGTGTCCCGGTTCTTGGTGTCTTGAACAAAGAATTGGACAAAATGCACAAAGCAAGGAAAGAATGAAGCAGCACAGGCAGAGATTTACTGAAAATGATACCACACTCCACAGGTTGGGAGCAGGCCTGAGCAAGCGGCTCAAGGGCCCAGTTACAGAATTTTCTGGGATTTAAATACCCTGTAGATGCTTCCATTGGTTACTTGATGTATGCCCTATGTAAATGAACAGGCTAAAGTGAAGTTACAAAGTTATTTACTCTGTGTATGCCCTATGTAAATGAAGAGGATATTTCCTGTCTTAGGTGGAGTGTTTCCATTTGATTTAGTTCTAGGAAGTCCTTAGGTTCCCTGCCTCCAGGCCCTATTCTCCTGCCTCACAATTATCCTCAAAACCTTGCCTGATTCCTTGAAGCAGATTTAAGACACACTATGCTTAGTGGTTGACTATTTCCAGCTGATTTTTCAGAGTAGCAAGGAACTTGGAAACTGGCTATCTGTAGTCTTACTTTATAATTCCTATTTTTTTTCTTAAGTAGCTAATAGATTTTTTTTTTAAAAAAGAACAAACATCATAAAGCAAACCTGGGGAGAAAAAAAGCAACAAAAAGTTTTGTGTGCAAATTACAAAATAATATGATTGCAATTGGTTTAAGTTGTTAGGCAGCTGTTTTGTCAAAAACTAACAATAGGGCTGAATTTATTTTTGTTAACAAATTAGAGTTTTGCTTTGATTGTGTTTCTTTTAGGCTTTTCTGCTTTTTTCTTCCTCGCATAAATGAACCAAATATTTTCTCTCTGATATTCCACAAGAGAAATCTCTCACTTAAAAAAAAAATTGTAGGACTTGTCTTTCATATAAAAAAAATCTGAAATACATCTTTTTCTGTTCCAGGTCAAAATGATTTCATTTTTCATCTTTGTTGTTGACTAATGGTAGACTTCTTGTAGGAGCTTACATGCATAAGAAGTTTTTGAGCAGTGCTCATGAAGTCTTTTGTTAGCCTTTTTTTCTATGTGGCATAAAGTAAACCCAACCTGATTTGGTTCCTGAGCTCTCTTCATGGGCAAAGAATGCCATCTTTGCTTGTTCTATCTGGAATGATTGGCCTATATCTGGTATAGATGGTTCACTGTTTAGAATTCTCATTTGCAGACATTTTTATGAGTATTTTGTGAATTTAATAATGTACTCCCACTGATTGGTATCTGTTCCATATTTGTCCTTGACAAGTTTGTCCTGAAACTTGTCCTTAAGGGCAAGCTTGTATCTTTTTCTTGGCTTGAGTCTCTATCATCCTCTTCCCACTTCCTACAACCCCCTACCGTCCTCCAAAGCAGAACAAGCTTGCACAACTTGTGGCCTGCCGGCCCCATGAGGCCCAGGGCAGCTTTGAATGTGGCCCAACACCAATTCCTAAACTTTCTTAAAACATTATGAGATTTTTTAAAATTTATTTTTATTTTTTAGCTTATCAGCTATCAGTAGTGTTAGTGTATTTTATGTGTGGCCCAAGACAATTCTTCCACGTGGCCCAGGGAAGCCAAAAGATTGGACATCCCCTGATCTAGAACAAAGGCTAATGAGCAAGAAGTTTACTTGGTAGTGATCCCATTGTGCTAAAGTGAGGGATCAGGGGAATTGAACAGGAAATGGCGGTGGTGGTGGGTGGGGTATACTGTGATGTATTATTGAGCTGTTAAATTGGATGACTGATACTCAATGTTTATGGAATCTTCTTTTAAATGTGTCTCAGAACTGTTTGCTTGGGGAACAAAAGGAAGAAACATGTATCTATTGACATCTGTCTGCTATTGCTTAAGTCTGTCCAGGCAAGCATTAACTCCAAGGAGTGAGACCAAAAGGATTTGCGCCTCTCATTTGTGGTACTTAAGAGATGTCCAATAAAATTTTGTGTACTTATTAGGACCAAGCTCAAATCTATGTGCATTCAGACTACTTTACTGACTTGAAAGTTATAGCTCTGAAAATAGAAAAAGCACAAGTAGCACATTATTATTTCTATTTTTCCCAAATCTGCTAAACAAATAGGTTATATTTTATGGTGTTTTAAGCAAAATGTTGTTCTGGTTTCTGGTGTCCAACATTCTTCCTACATAATTTATACGTTAATATCTGTAGAACTTCAGTAACAGTAAGCTCTTCCACATGGCCACTCCCTTCAGAAATGTACCACATGGCAATGTTTTCACCTTATGGAACCACTTTTTTTTTTTTTTTTTTGAGATGGAGTCTCGCTCTGTCCCCCAGGCTGGAGTGCAGTGGCACGATCTCGGCTCACTGCAACCTCTGCCTCCCAGGTTCAAGTGATTCTCCTGCCTCAGCCTCCTGAGTAGCTGGAATTACAGGTGTGCGCCACCACGCCCAGCTAATTTTTGTATTTTTAGTAGAGACGGGGTTTCACCATGTTGGTCAGGCTGGTTTCGAACTCTTTATGTCGTGATCCACCTGCCTCGGCCTCCTAAAGTGCTGGGATTACAGGTGTGAGCTACCATGCCCGGCTGAAACCACTTTTTTCCCTTAGCTTTAAAAAAACTTTTACTTGGAAATATGTATAGACTTACAGAAAAGACTTCTAAAAATAAGGAAATTAACATTGACATCATAAACTAATCTGCAAACAATTCAAACTCTAACAATTTCCCTACTAATGTACTTCTTCTGGTCTGGGATCTAACCAGAATTCCACAATACATTTAGTTGTCATGTCTCTGTAGTCTCTGTAATCAGTCTTTGTCCTTCATGACCTTGACACTTTTGGAGAGCGCTGGTCAGTTATTGTCTAGACCGTCCCTCTGTTGGGGTTTGTTTGTTGTTTCCTCATGATTAGAGTGAGATTATGCATTTTTTGCAATAATGCCACAGAAATGATGGTATGCCCTTCTCAGGGCATGATGTCAGGGAGTACATGATTTCAAATGTCTTATTACTGGTGATGTTTACTTTTTTTTGAGACAGAGTCTCACTCTTACCCAGGCTGGAGTGCAGTGGCAGGATCTCGGCTCACTGCAACCTCCACCTCCTGGGTTCAAGCAATTCTCTTGCCTCAGCCACCAGAATTACAGATGTGTGCCACCATACCCAGCTAATTTTTTTTTATTTTTCATAGAGACGGGGTTTCACCATGTTGGCCAGGCTGGTCTCGAACTCCTGATCTCAAATGATCTGCCCACCTCAGCCTCCCAAAGTGCTGGGATTACAGGCGTGAGCCACTGTGCCTAGCCTAGGTGATGTTTACTTTGCTCACTTTACTTAGATAGTGTTTGTCAGGTTTCTGCACTATAAGGTGACTATTTTTCCCTTTGTAATTAATAAGTACCTTTTAGGGAGATACTTTGACACTATGGAAATATCCTGTTTCTCATACTTTTGTCCACTAATTTTAGCATCCATTGATGGTTCCCTGCAACAGTTATTAGCTATGATATTTGCTTAGTAGTGATTATTTATTTCCATCATTTCTTCCACTTTGAATTCCACTTTCAAATTTATTAATTTGAAACGCTAATTTATTTTTTATCAATTTGGACTTACGGGCATAATCTATTACTATCATTATATATATTATTGCTCAAAATGTTTCCACCTAAGCCATTAAGAGGTCCCTCTAGTTAGCTCCTATATCCTTTTTTAGCTACCCCTGTCATTTTTTGAGCACTCCTTTTTGGCATCAGAAGCTGTTCCAGGCTCATCTATATTTTATGTTCTAAGCCTGAAATCAACTGTTTCTCCAAGGAGCGTTGGTTCCTTATATTATAGACTGGTATTTAGAAACCAAGATCATAGAGCTAGATGTGCTTACTGCTTCTCAGAAGACATTGGAAATGTATGTATGTGTATTAACCCATGTATACACACATATATAGTTCTTTTGGTTTTTCTTTTTGTAATAGTCAAAATACTTACGATAGCTCTTTCTATCTCACCCTCTTCATTTGTCATGTTATTCGTCTGCGGTACAATTACGTTCACTGGTTACTGTTTATTCTATTTTGGGTTGTCCTCCTCACATCCTGGTTTATTTATTTTGGGGGTATGTAAAACATTGTATGATTTTAAGAGTCAGAATTATTTTAAAAGGTATACTTAGAAAGGTTTTACTCCTCCTTTATGACTATTACTCTGTTTCTTTTTCCCATTCCCTTCTGCCCTGTTCCCACTTACTCTTAACCAGTCTCATTAATTTATGATTTATTCTTTTTTTTTCTTTTTTCTTTTTTTTGAGATGGAGTCTCACTGTTGTTGCCCAGGCTGAAGTGGAATGGCATGATCTTGGCTCACTGAAACGTCTGCCTCCCAGGTTCAAGTGATTCTCCTGCCTCAGCCTCCCAAATAGCTGGGATTACAGGCACCTGCCACCATGCCTGGCTAATTTTTTGTATTTTTAAAACACAAAACATTTTTAGTAGAGATGGGGTTTCACTTTGTTGGCCAGGCTGGTCTCGAACTCCTGACCTCATGATCCGCCTGCCTCGGCCTCCCAAAGTGCTGGGATTACAGGCGTGAGCCTCCACACCTGGCCAGTTTATTCTTTTGTACAAATGAATATACATATGAAAGAAAAATATATATATATTTACATTCCTTTCTGTTTTTCATGAAAGGTAGCATACTATAGATACTCTTTCACATTTTGCATTTTAAATTTAATGTGTCCTGGAAATCACTCAATATAAGTTCATAGAGATCTTCATTCTTCTTTATAGCTGTATAGTATCCCATTGTGTTGGATACATTGTAGTTTATTCAACCACTCTTACATATGAACATTGAGCATCTAGGTCGCTTCCAATATTTCGTAATTACAATGCTGTAGTGGATAACCTTGTGCATATTAATTTTGTATTGTTGGAGGTTTAACTTCAGAGTAGATTCGTAGAAGTAGAATTGCCAGGACGAAAGCTAAATGCATCCATAATTTTTACTAAGGGTTGTTAAATTTCCTTCCAGGAGGGCTCTACCAATCTTCATTCTCACCAGCAGTGTTCAAGAATATTCTCCCACAGCCTTGATAACAGAATATATTGTCATACTTTTTAATTTTTGCCAATCTGATAAAGAAGAAATGGTATCTCAGTGTTGTTTTAATGTCCATTTTTCTTTTTTTTTTTTTAATTTTTGTGACAGAGTGTTATTCTGTTGCCCAGGCTGGAGTGCAGTGGCATGATGCAGCTTTGAACTCCTGGACTCACGTGATCCCCTATCTCAGCCTCCCAAATAGCGGGGACTACAGATGTGCACCACCACACTCTGCTAATTTTTAAAATTTTTTCTGTAAACGTAGGGTCTTGCTACGTTGCCCAGGCTGGTCTCAAACTCCTGGGCTCGTGCAATCCTCCTCCCTCAGCCTCCCAAAAGACTGTGATTACAGGTGTGAGCTACCATGCCTGGCTGCATTTTTGTAACTATAACATTTTTTTTCATATATTTAAGGGCCATTTTGTGTATTTCATTTTATATATTTTTGGTTCACTTGTCTGTTGATATCGGGTTTTTGGTCCTTTCTCCCTTGATATTCAAAAGCTCTTTACATATTAGGGGAATGTCTGTTGCAAATATTTTCTCCTAGTTTGTCAGTTGTCTTTTGACTTTGTTTATGGTAATGATGGTGTTGCTGTTTTACCATGTGTTATATTTCATTTTTATGTGGTCAAATTATCTTTTTTTGCCTCTATTTTAAGTCAGTCTCTACACTGAGATCAGAGAGTAATTTACTCATGGTTTCTTCCAGTAATTGTATAATTTTATTTTTTGTACTTGGGTCTCTGGTACATTTGGAGTTTATTCTTTTGTACGGCATGAAATGCAGATCTAATTTTATTTCATTTTTTTCCAACTGGCTACCCAGTTGTCCTGACACCATTTATTAAAAAGTACATCTTTGCCCCAGTGGCTTGAGATGCCACTTTCATCACATGCTAAATTGGACGGAATCACCTGTAAAGTTCCCTTTTTGCTATTTTTACTTTGTCATGGTGTGATTTGTCTTTTGCTATCTGTTCATTGCCTGTGGTGACAAATGTTTGTTCTGAAAGAATAGTTAATTATTGCAGCAATAATCTTGAAAGCTAAAGCAATTTACCGTCTGGCTCTGTGTTTATAAAACACTGTTACCCAAATTGAACCCACAGCTCTGAGATATTACTCCTTCTGTCTAAATGTTATCAGTGTCTGTTCTATTGTAAAATCATTAGGCTGAAATGAAGCTTTTTAAAATTAGTCTCAGTTCTACTTTGGAACCATTGTACTGAAACCTTGGAGAACAGTCTTATGAGAACTGGCTTTATTCATGTTTATTGTCTTTGACTCCTGGACTTGTTTCCTTCATTCAGCTGCTGGATCTAGGTAGACAAATTGTTATACCAGGCTATTGTCAGAGTAGATTCATTAGAATAATAAGGTAATTTAACTTTCATGTGCACCTATATCCAGAGTACAAAGTTGCCTGGCAAGAATGATGTCCTCATTAAAATTCAGAAAACCTCAAACAAAGTCCAGCCATTATTCTTCTAAAATGAATTTACATGTGAAGGAACACCATCTTACAGAATCCTCCTGTTTTCAGAATAAATAATTAGCTCTTTAGAGAAATAGATTAATAAAAGCAATGCAATATTGTACCATTTCTCCATCTTATAAGGCCAGTCTTAAGTATTTGATTAGTGCCATAGAGCTGACTTTGCTTGCAAAGCACCCCCATTTCTTGGGCTTCAAATGTCAGAGTATGTGGAAAGTGCCAGAGGAATTTTAATTCATTTCCTTTATTTTGTCTCTCTCTTAAAATACTTATTTCAAAGTGATGAAGAAAGGTGCAGGTAAAAATGAAGCCATGGCTTCTATTACGGTTTTTTTCTTTACAGTCACGTTATTCATACCTTTGCCCTCTAGAGGGAGCAAGAAGGTTATAGTTGTTAAGTAGTCATAGTTCCTGAAAAAACTCCAATCTTACCTCCCTTACCTCCCCAACCCAGATGGAAATTTGTTTCAGTAGGTGGGGCTATTTCCTTGGAAATAGTATTATTTATTTCACTCCTCAAGCTCCCCACTGTGGTCCTTTTCCTCCATTAAGGTAGAGAGACCTGTAAATTCTTTTCTCCCGATTCCTACCAGCAACAAAAATGTTAGAGAACATGGCCAAAGACTAAACCATAGTTTAATTTGACTAGTTAGAGAACCAACCCTCCAGGTGGCTTCTGGGCTGAAAAGTTGATGTATCACAAGATCCTTCGTTGATAGAAAAGTCCAAGCTATTAGAAAATGCTGTTTCTCATTGGTCTCCTGCTTCACAGGAAGCTTTCTCCGTGACGACTGGTCCCAAATAAACACTTAACAACTTTCTCTGAAACAAAATCCTGTACAATAATGATGACCTAATTTCAACGTATACATTTTCTCTCTCTTGTGGTTATTGGTAAATTCAAGATGGGTTTGTGGCGCCTGATTCTGGATCTTAAATGTTATGCTGAATCTGAGAGCTTGGCTTGAGGAGGTTTGGGAGTGGTTGGGTTTTTTCTTCTTTGGCCTGACATGGGCTGGCCTATGGAGGATTTCAGCCCCGGTGCCTTCCATGCACAGAAGAAACCTTTCTTCATACTCTACAGTGGGCTTGACGTACCATCTGTATGCTGCTGATTCCCAAATTTTTATCCTCATCTCTGACCTCTCATCAGAGTGGCCTGTTTCATATTACTTGAATATCTCATTGGAATTTCAAATTTAATAAGTTCAAAACAGAATCCCTGACTTTTCCCACTGCACACCAGTTTCTTGCCCAGGATTCCCCATTTCTGTAAAAATGGACAACCAACTGTCTATTACTGACTTATGAGTCATTTTTGGTTCCTCAGCTTTCTTCACCCCTACCATCTAATCCATCAGCCAATTCTGCTGATTCTACCTCCAAAATATTTCCTCATCCTGCCTCCTTTTACTTATCTCTCCTACTCTCTACTCCACTTCCAACAGGTATCAAGCTATGGTTATTTCTCACCCAGAACATTAGGATAGGTTCTTAGCAGATGTAATGATGGCCATGGTTTGGAACAATTTCATGTGCTTTTCTCTTTTTCCTGAATATATCTGCCTCTGAGATGAGATAAATGAATGCAAACTAAAAGGAAGAGTTAAGATTTGGCTTGTGACATTCAAAAACGGGGTTCTGCAGAAAGACAGTAGGCTTAAAAACTAGTCCGTGTAGGGAGAGAAAAGATTTTTAAATGTTTTTATTTTTTATTTTCGTAGCAAGGAGTAGGCCTGGAAAATTAGACTGTAAATTTCTATGATAACATATATTAATAGAATGTTTATTCTATTCACCATTAATGCTCTGCACTCATTGAGGCTGCAGTTCAGAAGATGATGACTATGATAATGAAGGCTGCACTCCAGCCTGAATAGATTTTTGGAGGAGGAAGACAGAAGGGGGTCAGAAGAGGTAGATGGTGAGTTCAGCACTCTGATCTTCCTTCTGGTCTCAACCCTGGAGAGTGGGAAGTCTGTTAAATTCCTAAAGGGAAATGGGGCAGAGAGGTTCCTTCCTTGCTTCCAGCCTGGAACACTGGGAAGAGATCACCTGGAAGCTCCTTGAGGGACCTTCTTGGCAAACCTGGAGGGTGACCACATGAAATCAATTCAGAGATGTGGTCAGAGAGAGTGATGGTCTAATTTGCATCCCCAGTACTTCCTCTGTTCTCCCAAGACATGAATGCAGACTTGAGAGCTGACAAGGCCTACACAGGCCTGTTGAGATAGGGGATTTACAGAGACTTAAAGGGGTTTGTAATGCCCGTGAGAGCTGAAATGAATGAGGCTGTCATACAGGGAGTCACTGGGTCCAACTGAGCTGAGAGGGAGCATAGACCAAGATGCCTGCCAGCTGCAGCCTCAGCCATAGCCCCTAATGACACCATTGAGGGCTAATCACAAGGGGAATAAGGCACATTGCTGGGGAGCCAAAAGACCCTGCATGGTTTTGAGGACTTTTACCCCCAATCTGCAAGGTCATGTACACTTCTTTGCCCAGCACTGTCCTGGGGGCCAGGGATGTTGCTGAAATCTAGAGACTAAGTATGTTTAACCAAAGTGGCCGAGTTTTACCTAAAAGAAAGATTTAAATTATTGTATTGATCTAAATGTTATCCCCTGCTTTTTTGTTTTTCTATAGTGCATAGGAGCTAGCAAGCAAGAATAGATCAGATCTAGGCGAAGCAGAAGTGTAATTTCTCTGCACATGTGAGTTCTGGGGTGAGTGCTGCACTGGTTGCTTCCTGCCCCCACCCTTACCACTACTGTAGTACACACACAGCAGGCAAAGTGGTCTTTAAAAGTGAGATCTGGTTCTATGTCCTATCCCAACCTTCTAAAAAACTTCCTGTTGGGCACAGAATTAAATACCAGCACCTCACTATGGCATAAAAGGCCCCACATGATCAGGGTCCTGTCTTCTGTCTGTCACATCCTATACCTTGTCTAAGAAGCTCCAGCACAGTGGCCCCTCTACTCCTTGAACAGGCTGTGCTATTTCCCATTGCAAGCTTTTGCACTTGGTGTTTATGCTGATGCCTTCCATTTGCCCTTCTAGACCTAATCTTCAGTCTTTCTCATCTTGTTCTGTGTGCCAGTAGGCTGATGGTGTGAATTGCATCGATGAACACTCTTGCTTCCTGACTTCCTGTTGGAATTGGCCAATGGGAAGCACTAGCAGGAGATCAGAGAGAATGAGGAGGAGATATTTATTCAGGGTATTTACCACCCCACCCCTGCTCCTTCCTTGCTGGCTAGTTACCTGAGGATGGTTGCATCCCTTTACCAAAGGCCACAGCTCCTATCAGGGGTCTTCTCCATCTTTTGGTAGCCACTCCTCCCTTTGTCCCTGCAGGCCAGGGGTGCTCATGGTTCCCCCCACTTTTGGTAGCCCTGGGTAGCTAGTTTCATTAAGCTCTACCTGCGCTTTTGCACATCGTCCCTTGTGAGTGTCTTCTGCTTCCTATTAGGCCTCAGCTGTCACATTGCTCGTTCTGTAGGCTCTCTGCATGCTGGTTCATTCTTTTCCTTGAGCTCAGCTCAGATGTTACCTTCTGAGGCAGGAGTAAAGGGAGGGAAGAAAGGGCCCCCCGACTCCTCCTCATCTCCCTGCCCACTCCCATGTCCTGCTTTATGCTCTTCACTTATTTATTTATTTTATTTAACATCTTTTTCATTGTGGTAGGAATACTTAATGTGAAACCTACCCTCTTGCCAAGTTTTTAACAGTGCAATATAGCATTGTTTATAATAGGCATAATACTGTACCACAGATCTCCAGAACTTTCTTATCTCACGTAACTGAAACTTTATACCTGTTGAATAGACACTCCCTATCCCATCCTTCCCTCCCTGCAGCTCCTGGGAACCAGCATTCTACTCTCTGCTTCTATGTGTCTGACTATTGTAGATACCTTATATAAATAGTGGAATTACGCAGTGTTTGTCTTTCTGTGACTCTGGCCTTCACCCTTTTTTTTTTTTTTCGAGATGGAGTCTTCCTCTGTCCCCCAGACTGGAGTGCAGTGGCGTGATCTTGGCTTGCTGCAACCTCCGCCTTCCAGGTTCAAGTGATTATCCTGCCTCAGCCTCCCGAGTAGCTGGGACTACAGGTGCATGCCACCATGCCTGGCTAATTTTTTTTTGTATTTTTAGTAAAGATGAGGTTTCACCATATTGGCCAGGCTGGTCTCAAAATCCTGACCTTGTGACCTGCCCACCTTGGCCTCCCAAAGTGCTGGGATTACAGGTATGAGCCACCACGCCTGGCCCCTTCACTCTTTTTAACAACATATTTTTAATTTCTTGCATTGAAATCATAATTTGACACTATTTTTTGTTGTTGTTTTTTACTTGTCTCTTTTAACTGGACTGTAAGCCAACAATAGAAGGAAACTTTTGTGTTTCACTCACTACTGTGTCCCCAGTGCCTAGAACAGGGCTTGTACATAGGAAGCAGGAAATAAACTTTTTTTAAAAGAAATGAATGGGGAGCTGATTTTTCATGCCCTTGAGAAGCCAAGATCTCGAGGCAGGCATATGTGGGGGTGTCAAAAGCAGGTCAGGAGGTCGTCTCATTTCCTTGTACTTTCATTGCATCAAGGTGCTAACACTGCTTCTCAGGTACCATTTGTTAACTGAACCATCAATGCTTAGGAAGTAGAAAGGAAGAAATGAAATAATTATGTTTCAGATTGAGCCCTTTTCCTGGAAACTTGGAAGAGTGTTCCATACCATCCAGTCTTTCTGTCACTTTTACCTATTTCAGGTGTGTCCAGTCTCAGCTGGGAATGGAAGATGCTTTGCATATCTTTAAAATCTTCGGGCCATAGAGTTGGGGAGAGTACAGAAAGAATACCACAGAACTTTTATGCCAGAAAATGGCAGGTGCTCCAAGGGCTATGTTGGAATGCTTGGAGTGCATAAAAATACCAAGGTGAGTGCCTAGCAGAGGGTTCTCAACATTAGACCTAAGTCATAAACTCCAAAGGTTGTTTTCAGGAATCTGTACTTTTAAAAGTTCTGAAGATGCATCTGGGGCCAGGATGAGGGCCACTGGTCTGACATAAAGAGGATGGGCTCTGCTTAGTTCCATAAATTCAGGGAGTTAATTATGTTGTTTTAAATTTCTTGAACCATTAGCACAGGGCTGATGAGCCAAACACCTTTTATGTTTGAATCAATAGATGTTTCTTCCCATGTCTTTGGGAATATTTCACAGTAGAAGTTGGGGTCTTGAAAAGTTGGCATTTGAAGGCTAGTGTTATTTTTTGCTTACAAAATAAGAAATTGATCTTTGGAAAGCAATTTAGGAATCTTATTTGGCCACAGTGGCATTGAGACCACTCTCTTTCTCCCTTTAAGCTTCATTATAACTCGAGTCCATTGCATAAAGCTCTTTTTATTGTAAAATGAGACCCCCATCAGGATCCTATAGACAGTTTTATTTCCTCTTGTTGCTTTCGGTACTCCCATACCATATTTCTGTAAAGGGCAACCTTACATTGAGTTTGGCATTGCTGGGTAGGCATTGCTGTCTTCAGGAGCCTTCTTCAGCTCATTTCTTTTTTGTTTGTTGCTCATAAAATAGCAGGCATCTGTGCACCAAGCTGATGTATTCATTGGTCCATGTACCTTTTAGTCCTTGTGTGTACATTTAGGTTGTACAGACTTACAGTAATATTACTGCTAGAATTCTATTATATATCTCTTCCATTTATATTATGCCATGAGTTTTTTTTTGGAGACAGGGTCTTACTTTGTTACCTAGACTAGAATGCAGTGGCATGATGATGGCTCACTGCAGCCTTGACCCTCCCAGGCTCAAGCAATCCTCCCACCCCAGCCCCCCAAGTAAGCTAGAAGTACAAGTGTGTGCCACCACGCCCAGCTAATTTTTAAAAATTTTTGTAGAAACAGGGTCTCACTGTGTTGCCCAGGCTGGTATTGAACTCCTGGTCTGAAGCAGTCCTCTTATTTCAGCCTCCCAAAGTGCTAGGGTTACAGGTGTGAGCCACTGCTCCTAGCCCAAGTATTTTTCAGATCAACTTTACTGAGTATAATTTACATATAATAATAAACTAGTACAAATGATTGTACAAGTGGTTGAGGTTTTACAAATGTATTCATCTTGTAACTATTACCAAAATCAAGACACCAAATAGTTTTATTACCCCAGAAAGTTCCCTCATACCCTACTATGGTTAATCTCTCCTTCCATTTTTGGCCCCAGGCAACCACTGATATGCTTTCTGTCACTACAGATTAGTTTGCATTTTCTAGAATGTCACACAAATGACATCAGACATAGTTATGATTTTGTGTCTCAGTTTTTTTGCTCAGCAGAATATTTTCACATGTAAATATTTTTCATTTTGCTCATCTTTTTTCCATACCTAATCTTTCTACCACTATCACCATGACTGCTTTTTTTTTTTTTTTTTTTTTTTTTTTTTTTGTGACAGAGTCTTGCTCTGTCACCTAGGCTGGAGTGCAGTGACATGATCTCAGCTCACTGCAAACTCCGCTCCCCAGGTTCAAGTGATTCTCCTGCCTCAGCCTCCTGAGTAGCTGGGATTACAGGCACGTGCCAGCATTCCCAGCTGATTTTTTTGTATTTTTAGTAGAGACGGGGTTTTGCCATGTTGGCCAGGCTGGTCTTGAACTCCTGACCTCAGGCCTCCCAAAGTGCTGGAATTACACTTTGTTGCTCATAAAATAGCAACAAACTGTGCCCAGCCACCACTACTGCTTTCTTAAATCAGATAACTTAAGCTTGATATGTATATTTCCAGCCCTCTATCAATATTCCTACAAACATATACACATACAAGGGAGCCTAGGTGATTTGGTCTGTAAAAGTCATCCTTACAAGATACAAAATAAGATGGCAAAGGGAGGGCAGAGAATGGATTTGGAGGGGCAAAGGGAAAATAATCAACAGAGGTAGGTAGGTATTTCTGTTTAACAGATGAGAAAACTGGGAAACTCAGAAGGATCCTACAGTTAGTCAATGGCAAACCCAGCATTCCAACGCAACTCTTCTGACTCCAAATCTCATCTCTTATTTCCCTCCAAGAGGGTTTTTTGCTCCATAAAATTTTGAAGGCCCTGAGGGCAAAGAAATATAGGGCCTGGAAAAAAGGTAATGTTAGTGATGAGGATAATGATAATGATGATGATGGTGCTGATGGAGGTAATGATGATGATAGTGATGATGAAGATGGTGATGATGGCAGTGATTATGATGGTGATTGTGATGGTGGTACTTTAAAGCAATGATCCCCAACCTTTTTGGTACTAGGGACCAGTTTTGTGGAAAACAGTTTTTCCATGAACCAGAGTTGGGGATGGTTTTGGGGTGATTCAAGTGCATTACATTTATTGTGTACTTTATTTCTATTATTATTGCGTTGTAATATATATGATCAAATAATTATACACCTCACCATAATGTAGAATCAGTGGGAGCTCTGAGCTTGTTTCCTACCACTAGATGGTCCCATCTGGGAATGATGGGAGATAGTGACACCCAAAGTGTGTTGGTTATGTCCAGTCTACTCCATAATCTCGTTTGGGTTGCTGTCACTGCAGAAAACCCTGCTTCACAATGATAGAAAGTTGGAAATGGAAGGAGGATTTTCAGTGCTTTTATGGCAATCTCAGGACATTCCAACTTGACTTTAATCCAAAAGATACGGAGATTTGAAGTTGTCTCAAATGTGCTTTTAAGGCCACCAGATGCAGTTGTACAATTGAAGGACATCAACTCACTTGTTGCTATAAAGTCTGCCACCAGATGTAGCTTGTCACTTGCCACTCACTGATTTGATAGGAGTCTGCAAGTAATTGATTTATTATGGTCTCTGTGCAGTCAAACCTCCCTGCCAATGTTAATCTGTATTTGCAGCCACTACACAGCACTAGCATCACCACCTTAGGTTATCAGGCATTTGATTCTTCTAAGGAGCATGCAACCTGGATTCCTCACATGCGCAGTTGACAATAGGGTTCATGCTTCTGTGAGAATCTAATGTTGCAGCTGATCTGACAGGAGGCGGAGCTCAGGTGGTAATATGAGCAATGGAGAGTGGCTGTAAATACAGATGAAGCTTTGCTGGCTTGCCCCTCATTTCCTGCTGTGCGGCCTGGTTTCCAACAGACCATGGACCAGCGCTGGTCCATGGCCTGGGAGTTGGGGACCCCTGCTTTAAAGAACACCCAGATCCAGGGAAAGCTGAAGGTAACAGAAAATAAAACCCCCCCTTTCCACAGTGCTTTCACCTGTTTTTTTCTCATTTCATCCTTACTACAATCCTGTGTGATGTGTATTATGATCATTCCCATTTTAGAGAACTTGAATCCAAAGCAATTTTTCAACAATGAGCAAGAGAAGCAGGTGATAAACATTTATTCTGCTTTTTATATTCCTAGTGTTTGTAAAAATCAGTTCCAAGTCTTTTAATGGCACGTTAGGCTTTCAATAAATTTGGTAAAAATCACCAATTTTTCATGCTTAAAAGCAAATTTTGTTCATGCCAAGTTACTGCTAAACTGTTGAGAAGGAATGAATTGAAGTATATTAACTTAGAGGGATTTCAGTTTTATTGTCACTATTATCTTTAGATGGGGAGATGAAGATGCAGATAAAGGCATATTAGTAGGTCCCATTTTGATTAAATATATGTTAAACATTCCTTCTTAAGCTATGGTGACCAGCCGGTAGGGAGAGAGAAAGAAGTCAGGGGGTTTCTTCCCCCATCTCTGCCCCCTTCCCTCCTTGCTTGGCTGGGGTTTAAGCAGATGGCCACAGATCCTGCTGGGCAGCCCCTCTCCCACAGCCATGTCCCTAATGGCCCTGACAAGGTTCCCATAACATCATCCCTTCTTCTTGCCCCTTAGACTTAGGGGCAATAATTGCTTCCTGCTGTTCCTGGTTGCTGATTGTTTTACCATTCCCTTTACCCTGCCCATTACTAAGCTGATATTGCTCAGCTCCTCACCACCCTTTTTTATGCCCTGCTTTTTGGTACTGGGCTGTGATGTTCCAAAAGACATCCCTCTTTGTCAGCAGCTCTCTGTCGGTTCTGCCAATATAGGGTGCTGTGGGGAGCCTGCAAGACTGGAGGGAGGAGCAGGGACCCATTCCTCCTTTTGCTTGTGCTTCCCCTTAGACTATCCTCAGCAGCCATCCTTCCTACAGCAGCCTTGGGATGCAGCCTCCCGTGTTTTTCTGGCACTCTCAGGGCCGTCCTTGTGCTTGCTCTCAAGGACCTGTAATAACCGGGCAGCCCCTCTTCAGAGGCCTCAGACCCACATCTGCTGCCCTGCTCCGAGCTTCTGGGTGACAACACTAAGCTCTTCCCTTTGTTTCCTGGCCCGAGTGGTGCTAGCCTGTCCTTCACAGTTGCTTTTCTGTGTTACTTTTATGATTCCTTTCACATATTCAGATCTCCAACCCCTTTCTTTTTTTCTTTTTATTGTGAAAAACACATAAATGTTACCATCCTAACCTTTTTAAGTGCACAGTTCAGTGGTGTTAAGTAGCTTCACATTGTTTTGCATCTAATCTCCAGAACTTTTTCATCTTACAAAACCGAACCTCTCTGCCCTTGAAACAGATCCCCATTGCCCGTCCCCCAGCCCCTGATGACCACCATTCTACTCTCTGTCTCTACGAATTGACTACTTTAGATACTTCATATAAAGATCTCCAATCCTTTCTTTATATTTAATTCACCTTATTAAAATAATCAGCACAGTTTTTGTTTTCCTGATTGGACTCTGACTGATCCATCTCTGTAAATAGTCCCTTCTTTAAACAATTTTCAATTAAACTCTTTGAATGGCCATCTGATCCATGCTGGGACCGCAGCTGATACACTATGGAATTACTGGGGAGGTCAGATGAAGATTAGGTTAAAATAATAATAACAGTAAAAACTCTTTTAACTAAAAAGCACTATATATTATAATTCATAGTAGTAATAATTTAAGTGAGGCCACATCTGAGCTTCCCCTGCAGGGCCTTGAAACACTGACATCCAGAGAAGAAGAATAATAAACAAGAAAGTGGCTGCAATGCCAGAGTTTCAACAGATCCTTTGTGGCTCTAGAACTGGAACTCTGTCTCCTTTTCTAAGACAGGATGTGGGGAATCTTATAAAAAGCTTCATATTTGTATTCACAAGTTAATGTGGGAAAGAAACCAGGATTTCTGTGTCCTTAAGTGATACGGAGACTCTGGCTCCAGCAAGACAAGGCTCCGATCCCAGATGTCAGTCCCCAGCGATTCAGGGACACTTCAACATCCTGACTTCAAATGAAAAATCAGGTTGCTTTTCGAGAGTTGTAAAAGACTGGAAACTCCCTGACCACTCGCCAACTCACAGATGCCAGAAACTCTGCAGCCATAGCCCTGGCCAGAGATTTTTCTGGCAGAGTGGGGTCCCCTGACCTCTTTAAGAGGAGCACTGCTTTCTGAGGGCTCAGAAGGCAATCTGAGGCTCCAGCATCTTGGCCAGGGGCTGTGAAGAGACAAGTGGAGCACAGGGTGGGGTATGCAGGGAGCAGGAGGTATCATGGGCGGGCCCCTCAGGGAGGGCCGTGGATTATTCAAAAGTGCCCTGGCCTGCTGTGCATTCTGGAGGATATTCACCATCAACCCTGCCAGGAAAGAAGGCCTCACAAAACACCAGGTCTGAAGGAAGGATCAAGGAATTTCTTTGACAGATGTTAATCAAGAAAACCTGAACACCAAGGGAGGCTATTGCTTCCTCCTGAAACTATTTGACTGGCTTGGTCTCTTTGTACTTGGGTGGGACTAACCATGAGAAAAAGCTCATCTGTGTGAGTTTCGTGGCTCAATGTTATGGGGTACAGACGTGAGCTACTCCTCTAATGTCCAGGAGCTGTATCAATCCCAAGAAATGACTTGCAATATCCTGCATGTGTGTGTGTGTTTTCAGGGAGGGATCTGGAACAATTTTCTGGGGCCTGTAAATGTAAGCTGATTCACAAGATGAAGTGCCCCCTCCCTGCCTCTTCCCCCATCCCGGAATTGAGAACGGCTCTAGATTATGAGGCAGAGGAGGCTGGAGCAATGACTTTCCTCCCGGAATACCCGACAGTACCCTGCCTGGCAAGCCTTGTGTACTGTCTTTATAGGAGTACTTACTAAACTGAACATATAGAAGCAGCCTTCAACTTTTAGGAATCCACATACATTCCTCCCATCCAGAAGGTTAGCTTGTGATGAGAGATTCTTTTGGGGATCTCATTAACAGTTTCTTCTGTTTGTGGGATGGCTCTTCCCAAAGGGGTCTTAAAATCAGAGAACAGGCCTGGCGCAGTGGCTCATGCCTATTATCCCAGCACTTTGGGAGGCCAAGGTGGGCGGATCACGAGGTCAGGAGATTGACCATCCTGGCTAATGCAGTGAAACCCCGTCTCTACTAAAAATACAAAAAGATTAGCCAGGCGTGGTGGCGGGTGCCTGTAGTCCCATCTACTCCAGAGGCTGAGGCAGGAGAATGCCATGAACCCGGGAGGCGGAGCTTGCAGTGAGCCGAAATCAGCCACTGCACTCCAGCCTGGGCAACAGAGCGAGACTCCTTCTCAAAAAAACAAAACAAAACAGAACAACAGAGAACAAGATACTCAAGTTTGGGAGGCTAAGTGCTAATATTGGTTTTCCTACCAACTCTTTTTTGTCCCAGTTACATCATCCACAAATTCATAGTCTCTCCCCCTCTCTACTACTCAATAAAGTTATTATGGGGAATTGTGATTAAAAAATGAGAGGAAGGAAATTTGTAAACTCAAAGTTGTAGTATTAGTGTAGCTAGATGAAATAAGAGTTGGTTCCCCTTCCATGTTATTAGCGGAGAAAAAGAGACAGATTGAGGGAGGAAAAAGAGATGTAGCAGGATATTGTCATTAAGATCACAGCAAACTAACATGACATACTGTTGGTGAGTAGGTAAGAAAGATAGCTCTGAGTCCCTCACTTTAAGACACGTAACGGAAAGGAGTCAGAACATTGCAGGAAGTGAAAGGACTATTTGATTCATCATTATCCTATTCTTAGTTGGAATTATTTTCCTCTTCATTTTAGTTATGACCACGGGTCAGCCAGACATTAAGACAAGAGCACAGGGTTACAGTGTGGGAGCCCTATTTAATTGATTCCAGAATGCACATCTGTCACATCCTAACATCTCTGGGGATCAGCTCATGGTGTTGGTCAGGCTCTGTGGAGATACAGTCGTTAATAATATCATGGCAGTTCACACTGTCATCATGTCAATTGAATTGGATGCATTGTTGATGGTATAGGTGTTGAATTTAATTGCGTTTAGAAGATCCTCAAAAAATTATACTATGATTTGACATTAAAATGAAAAATTACCTTGTGTGCAAAAAGGCGTAGAAACAGAGCAGCAGGACTTTAATTTGATATTAGTGAAGCAGATACGCATGGTTGGAGGAATGAACACAATAGTGCATAATTTTTGCAAAGTAACAACCGAACTGCTTTCTGGAGCCTAAGAGAGGAAGAGCCATCCCTTAAGTAGAAGAAACTGTTAATGAGTTTCACAGAAGGATTGACCATCACAAGCCCAGTCGAGTGACAGCAGAAACTGCTGGCACATCTTGGATGAATGAAAGAAACGTCAAAGCAATCAGAGGCTTGCATGACTGGATAACTATAGTTAAAGCAGTGTATCATGTCGTCTAAAGGATGGTGTTGCTCCTGGTGACTCATAAGGTGTGTCTTAGGATCAATGGAAAATGGTACAAATGTAAGCTTATAACATTCAGGGAGTTACTACCATTTTTAAAAGAAAAGGCAGACAGACCTAGTGCCTCTTTTGCTGGTGGGCTTAGTCTTTTGAGAATCAGTACAGAGGTCGGCACATGGCCGATCAGGGACTATGTGCCTGTGGTGCTACTTGCCCTAATGACTCAGAACACACAGGAGATAGGACAGGTCTCAAGAGTGTGGAGGAATAGAGCAAGTGTCCAGGACCTGTCCTCCTTCTAGACATGTGAATGTGAGATGGACAATGGATTTTTTTAAAAAAGAGTACAGTTCTTTATTTAAAGAAAGAATTTGCAGTTTTGGAATGCTTCTTATAAACCAGCAAAAACTAACCCTAGATTTTAAAAAAGCCTAGCAGTTTCAGCACCCTACAACAAATATAAAACGTTTTAAAGTAAATTCAACTAGTAAATATTTAATCATCTCCAAGATTATACCTTTAAATTTATGAAGCATGATTATTTTATGAGTATATTAAATTCTGTATGATGAATTTTTAATGTCCCTAAAATAACAAAATTACTTCAGATTAATAAAAGGACCAGAAACAAATATTGCATATATCTATTTTATTTCTGCCAGATTTCTATTAACAATCAAGACATGAGTAAAGAGAATATTTTCAAGCTTGTGTCCTCATCCATCCCATCCCATCCCCACCTTGAATTTCCTCAGGTGTGGATAAACCTTTCTAGACATTTCAGGTTTTTAATTCTTCAATATGTTTATGATCGTTCTTAATCTGGGCCCCATCGCCAGCGTTCCATGGATAGGCTACAGGGAACCCGTGTACACTTGAAATTATATAAACAGTCCTGAGCACTGTGTGCATTTTGGTGGTGGTAGGGAGAGGTATTCTGGTTGTTATATATTTCCTAAAAGTGCCCATATTTTAAAGAATGAAAGCATCCATTAACCACTGTTGAGCATTTTGGATTTGTTGTGACTTGGTCCTTGGCCCCTCCTAGACGTAAAATGGGAACTTTTAGTGAGTAAGTATTCTGCCTTAACAGGAGGCTGCGTCTAGACCCAGCAACAAGGGAGAGGGAGATTCTTGAGCAACAAGACACCCGGGAAATGGCTTTGTGATTCCGTCTTGGTTTTGGGATTTGGTTGCCAATGTGTCCCTGCTCTTCCTCAAAATAAACAAAGAAAAGCCCCTGCATTCCTGTGCCACCCAGGTTCAATCTGGAACTTTGAACTTTGTTTTTTTTTTTTTTTTTTTTTTTTAAGTGACAGAAACCAGGTCCCAATCATTGAGTTTTCCTCTCCCTCTGACGGGGTCAGAGATCTCCAGACTGTGATATGGATAAGACTGGGGGAGGCTGCAGGGGCAGCTATCCAGGCCATTCGCCACTGGTGGTGACTGTTATACTCTAATTTAAAAATGCAAAAAAAAAGGTCAGGTTGAATGGAGTCTCATTGAGTTCCATGAAATTCCCCTACCTCATGGGCCTGGCATGGCCTAAACTGATGGTCAGCCTCTGAACATCATAGGCTGGGCCGTGACTTAAGAGTCAAGACGTTTCAGAGTAGCAGGTATCAGCGTTGGAGATGTTTGTTAAAAAATCTCCAATCCTTGTTAAAAACAAGCATTTGTTTTTGGTGGAGAGCTTGTTAAAAACACAGGTTCCTCAGATCACCCCCAGAGATTCTGATTCAATAGGTCTAGGGTGGAATCCTGGAATTGGCATCTTTAAACCAGCATCTCCAGGTGATTGTGAGAAAGGGGCTGGAAAAGGTTTCGGTATTCCATGTGTTGAGAGCCTGGATGAAGAGAAGGACATCTGGGCCCTCAAATGTTCTGTCTTTCCTGTGTTAATTCTGTTGGGTCTGAGTCCTCTCCTTATTTTCTGGGAATGGCTTAAGAGGGGAGCCCTGCCCTCCTGAAAGGGCACTGCGTGCGAGATGAAACATTTCAGCTAAAACCATGACCAAGAATTGTCTGTCGGGGCTGTGTTTTTCCAAGCCCCTGACCCCAGCAAGGCTGTGCTTTCATCTGAAGTAGAGAATGTGCAAAGGTAGAAGTTTCTGTGGGCTTCAATCTTAGGGGAGGCAGAGTGGTATGGTGGAAGAGCACTAACCTGGGAGTCCTAAGTCATTCATTCATTCACTCATATACTTGGTTGCTTACCGTGTGCTAAGTACTGTCTTAGGTGCTGGGATTCAAGGGTGAACAAGACATAGTGCATGCCTTCATGGAACCTTCACACTAATCAGAGTGAAAGACTTTCAAAAATGGTTCTAAAGTTTCTACAGGGTTGGGGATTGGGACTTTAGTCTGGTTTTGAGACAGAAAGGGAATGGCAAAGATACTTGACTTAAAGGTGATCTTATATTGCAAAATGACTTGTCTCTTCTCATGTTAACTGTTTATTTGGAGTGGATGATGATGAGGAAGAACCGATGGAGATTGTTGAGCAGTCAAAGATGCTCCCTCACCGCCCCCTCCTGCAGTCCTGCCACACACAGCGTAACACCAAGCTACCCCTTGGTGCCACCATCAGAATAAACAAATCATTATTTAATTCATGTAATCAATCAGTTGATTAGTTAATGACAGTTGAAAGTGCTAAGAGGTACACAGCATAGTGGGAGCTCATCAAAGGACACCCAGTCCAGGGCAGGGCATGAGGCAGAGATTTCTTAAACAAGTAACTTTTAAACAGAGACCAGACATAACTAGTAAGAATGGGCATGGAAGGTGGTGAGAGTGTCAAGGCCTGGCCAGGGCAACATAAAGGTGAATGTCACAGTGAGTTTAGAGAGAAGCAGCATAAGATCCTACAGGGTCTTAGGGATTTTTTTCTTCCCACTTGCTGCTTTGTGATCTTGAGGGAGTTTCCTAATTTCCTCATCTGTAAAATGAGGGACAGGGCCAGCTCAACAAGGTAGCAGCATGGATCAAAGCTGCTTTGTAGAATGTAGCTGTACAGAAACCGAATTACTGTGAGTGCTCAGTGTCTGCTAGCTCATATTTAATTCACCTGAAAATGATAGAATGATTTTGGCAGGAGCCCAGTCGAGATCTCCCTTGGCTTTTCAAAAAACCTCATGGTAAAGGGGAGGGAGGTGAGTCTGTCCTGGTCCTGATGGCTTTGCCTGTTCAGCATCTTCTCTGGGCTTAGTCAGAGGGGGCATTTCCTCCAGCAGGCTGTCCCACTTCTGGAAGGAAGCTGTTTTTTCATTTTCTGGGTGTGCTACTTCTTTCATTTTCTTTTGTGATTTCTCTGAGTCAATGAATTCTAGCTCCTCCCCCTACCTTTTTTTTTTTTAAAGTAAGTTTGAGAATAGCAACCTTTGGTTAGACAAACATGCATTTTTTATAACTCAGTAAATATATATTAATAGAATATGCAGAGATTGATGCATCAACATGACATTTGGTGGTGTCACAGATGAGGAATTGTACCTAACATTTATTTAAATTTCATATATCAAATTCCATGTGGTTCACAAATGGCCAGTGGAGATTCTTTGAAGAAATGAAGATCTGTCTGCTCTTCACCCTCACCTCTCTTCATTGTCTCCATTTTAAGTTTGGCAAACACACACATGCAGCATTTCTAAACTGAACCTGGTTATCTGCCCTAGAGATATTATTTCCAGCACTACAAGAGTTTATATAACACCTCTCTTCCCATGCACAGATGCATTCTCACATTAGCACTTTCCCTTGATTCCATATGTGTTTATAGAAATTTTTTTGAAAGATTTATCTGACTTAATGAATAAAAGAGGCATAGGAAAAATCTCTGGGGCCCTGGGACCTAACGTTGGCTTAGCCACTTGCTAGCTGTGTGACATTATGTGGGATGAATTTGGCTTCAAGTAACAGAAAACTTGACAAGTGGAGTCTTCCATAAAGAGAGATTTATTTATGTATATTCCATAACAAGAAGGCTGAAAGTAGGAAATTGCTGGCTTGATTCAGCCTCAGCTTAATGGTGTCCTCCAGGACCAGCTTCCTTGTGTCTTTCCCTTCTACAACCCTCAGCATGTAGCTGTTTTAGCCTTACTCTTGTGGCTCTATTGCCACAAGATGCCCACCTCAGCTCTAGAGCAGTGTTTCCTTTAAGGCAGGACAAACAGGGAAGGTTGATGTCTCCATGCATGCCCCTCTTTACTGAGAAAGCAGATTTTTTTTTTTTTTTTTTGAGATGAAGTTTCACTCTTTTTCCCAGGCTGGAGTGCAATGGCATGATCTTGGCTCACTGCATCCTCTGCCTCGCAGTTTCAAGTGGTTCTCCTGCCTCAGCCTCCCAAGAAAGCAGAAGATTTTTAAGAAACCCACTCAGCAGATGCCACTGGTCAGAACTGTCATGTAAACACTCCTAGCTGCAAGGGAGACTGGGAGGATATTTAGCTTTTCCATCTTGTGAAGTGGAAACTAGCATGAGAGGAGAGGTTGGAGCCTGTAGGATTAGTCAATAGGCAGCATCTGCCACAGTGTCCTTGGACAATTTACATAGTGTTGGATGTCAGTGTCCTGATAAATTGGGGTGGCTTGACCAGAATCTAGATGACCTCTGGGGTTCCTTTATTTCTAAAGCAGGACTTCTTGGGCCTTAAACACATGTACAAATCACCTGGAGATCTTGTTACAATGCAGATTCTGGTGGTAAGGGGTACAGAACATGCATTTCTAATAGGCTTCTAGGTGTTGGTGATGCTGCTGGACCATACTCTGATTTGCGGGGTTATGAAGGTCTACAAATTGTTAGATATCTTTCTGCTTTTCTCATTAGACAAGCCAGCTTAAGACAAATGCCAAACAAAGCCCTTGAATTTCCCAGTATGACTTAGAATTCACAGAAATTTTCTGTCCATCAGCACATGTGCACATTCCTATTTTTCATCATCTGAGCTATTTTTTCATCATCTGAGCCTTTGTGTTAAGGAGATTATAAGTAGTTAGGAAGTAGGGAATAGGGAATTACTTCTCTAATTTAATTCTCATAACAACCCTAGATTACTCTCATCTTACCAGTAAGGAATTTGAGAATCAGAAACTCAGGGAAGTTGTTACTTTCTTAAGGTCATATAGCTAGAAGATGACAGGGTTTGGATGATAATAACCGAGGTCTCTGATTTCAAAGTCCATGTTTTTTTCCACTTAATCATGCTAACTCTTGCAGAGGCCTGCACGTGAGAGACCACAGAATGAATACAAGATAGGTCCCAATGGAGTGACGATTGTTACAAACCTGTCCATGCGAATGTAGCTTGTTACAAACCTGTCCATGCTAGCTAATCTCCCTTCACCCCTCCATATCCATTCCCCACCCTTTTCTGTGTCTCCGGGTAGGGTGGGAGGGGACGGACCTCTCCCTGGGCTCTGGCCTTCAGTTGGGTCTGGCTAATAGGAATTGCCTACAAGAGACTGTGAAGCATGGAAGAGATAGAGGCTGGGGTATTCATTCACCACTTTCCAAATGGTTTGGCAGTAGTGGTGTTTCTCTATGTCAAGTCCACAACTTAGGAGGCCTCTCTGATGGCTCTCATTGGTGTCTAGTAGTAGGGAGTGGTTACTCCCTCTCTTTATCCCTTTAAGCCTGGGTGATAACTGCTTCCCCTGTTGCTAGTCCCTGGGTGACCTGCCATCTCTTTTTGGTTCTCTCAACCCTATCCACTCCTCTATAAATAGTCTTTGATTATCATTTTTAGGTGCTGCCTGTTTCCTAATGAGGCCATGACTCACTCACTCATTTCCTAAAAAATGTTCAGGTAGAGGTAGATACTGTTAAACTGTTAAACTCTATAGAAGGAGGAGGTTGGGAGGCCCCAACAGTCAGAATATGAGGAGAAGTTAGGGCTTCAGCTTGACCTTGACACGTGGGGAGGATTTGCAGACACAACAGAAAGAGAACATGCCAGAAGAACATCGAGCAGAGCAAAAATTAAAGGGATGTGGGGATCTAACTGCACTTTGGGATCAATAATAGGTTGCCTGCAGTGAAACCAAGTAAGGGTGGGTTATAGGAATAATAATGCTAATGTTATTAAGTGCTCGAGTTAGTGTGTGCTAAGTGCTTTACTTGAACTAACTCATTCCATTTTCAACAGTCCTGTGATCTTGTTTTTGAAGAGGAGAAGGAAGCTGAGGTAGAGAGAGGTTAAGAGGTTAAGAACTAGTCCCAGGTTACCCAGCTCCTAAGTGGCCAGGATTTGACCCTTTGTAGTATGGCTGTGAGCCTGCCCTTTGACCCACCATACTGTGCTGAAGCATAGACCTCCAGAACCCATTGACTGTTTTGGAGCAGGGATAAACTCTGAAGAAAGTGATATTTAGGAGAGGATGTGCTGGATAGAAGGCATGCGGGGAAAAGCTGGGGGAATCTGCGGCTCTCTCTGCAGGGCATTCAGTTAGCATGCTCCACCTCCCACGAAATGCAGGGGAAAAGAGGCTCTCAGCCACATATCAATCAGATGGGATTGTCAGCTGCAGAATGATGAGGTTTATACATTTGGAAAGGAGAGCTTTATTTCTCATAAAGGGTTGCAGCCTGCAGGTGGCTATTCTGACAGGCTGGAAAACACAGCCTTTGGCCAGAAGCCAGAAACAGATACTTCAAGGGAGGGGCAAAGGGAACAGAAATTTATGCTGAGTGGGGTGGCTGAAATACATATTTAATAAGCTGTAGGAGGAGTTATAAATATGAAAGGAAAAACATACACATGCACAATTGAACTTCATGCCTCTCCATGGGTCGTATGTTCAACAAATGACTGTGTTAGCATGATCTGAGGGTAGAATTTTCAGCCCTCTGGCATCAAAGGTGAAGCATTGGACACAAAAATCCTCAGTGTACATCCTCTGTAGACTGGCCAGAACCACTCTGTGGTCAGAAGGAATGCTGGTCATTTGTGTCAAAGGCACTAAATGGGAGGGGCAGTCATGGGGTTGGTTGAAATCAATGGTGGGGCAAGCCTTTCCCAAGGACTAGTTTCTGTTTAACCCTTAGGAAAGAAAAGCAAGGGAGGAGGTATAACTAGGCCTGTCCAAACTCCCATCCAATCATGGCTCGGAACTCAGTTTTCAAGGTTTCTCTGTGGTCCCCTTGGCCAAGAGGGGGCCTGTTCAGTCAGCTGCAGAGCTTAGGATTTTATTTTTATTTCTCAGGTTCATCTGCCCTCTTCTGGGTGTGACTATGGAAGAGCTGTCTTTCCTTTTCATATGCCCCGCGTCAGAATTCTTGTTCCTTTATCTGAGTGGCAGGGAAATGGAAAGGACCGGAGTCAGGATGGCTGGGAGTGACAGCTATTGCCAGGTCCAATTAACAAAAGGGCCTGGAGGAAGTGGCTGCCCCAATCCTGGCAGAGCCCATGTGTCTGCAGGGTCTGTGTTGTCCCTGGATTTTGAGATAGCCCCTTAAGAATCAACATAATTGTTTTTGTTTTTAATTCCTCTGAAATGAATTTCTTTAGCAGCCAAGTAGCTCCATTTAGCCAGTTTGTTCTCTTTCTATTTTCCATGTGGAAATGTAGGTTAGGCTGGGCACAGTTGCTCACACCGGTAATCCCAGCACTTTGGGAGACCATGGCAGGTGGATCACCTGAGGTCAGGAGTGCAAGACTAGCCTGACCAATATGGTGAAACCTCATCTCTACTAAAAATACAAAAATTAGCTGGGCGTGGTGGCATGTGCCTGTAGTCCCAGATACACAGGAGGCTGAGACAGGAGAATGGCTTGAACCCCGGAGGTGGAGGTTGCAGTGAGCCAAGATCGCGCCACTACACTCCAGCCTGGGTGACAGAGTGAGACTCTGTCTCAAAACAAACAAACAAAAAAGGTAATGTAGGCTAACCTGAGTTTCCTTTTCCTCATCTCCACAGCATTGGTTGTAACCCCTATCAGACTGTACTATGTGCCTTCATGTGCATTCCTGTCATGGAGAGCACCCAAAATAGGTATTCACAAATACTAGTGGGAATTGCTCCCTCCTATTAATCTATCTTCCTTCCATTTAAAGTCATTATGAAATGATAAGGGTGTTGGACAGAGTCCGTCCTCCCCTCCCCTCCCCTCCCTCCCCTCCCCTCCCTCCCTCCCTCCATCCCTCCCTCCCTCCCTTCCTTCCTTCCTTCTCACTGTGAAAAATTCCAAACAGACATAAAAGTAAGATAGTGAAATATACCATCATCATCATCAAGACTTATCAATGCTCAGCAGCTTGCTGTATTTCACTTATTTTATTTTTGCTAAAATATTATGAAGCAATCCCAAATATCATACATTTTATATCAAATACTTCAGTGTGCATATCTAGAAGATAATGTTTTCTTGGCTGGGTGTGATGGCTCATGCCTGTAATCCTAGTGCTTTGGGAGGCCAAGATGGGAGGATCACTGGAACCCTGGAGTGCAGACCAGCCTGGGCAACATAGTGAGACCATGTTTCTAAAAATAATAAATTAGCTGAGTGTGGTGGCACACTGATATGGTTTGGCTGTGTCCCCACCCAAATCTCATAAATCTCATAAATTGTAGCTCCCATAATTCCCTCATATTGTGGGAGGGACCCGGTGGGAGATAATTGAATCATGGGGGTGGCAGTTTCCCCCATACTGTTGTCGTGGTAGTGAATAAGACTCCTGAGATCTGGTGGTTTTATAAGGGGAAACCCCTTTCACTTGGCTCTCATTCTCCTCTCGTCTGCTGCCATGGTGAGGCATCCGCAGTCACGTGGAACTGTGAGTCCATTAAACCTCTTTCTTTTGCAAATTGCCCAGTCTAGGGTATGTCTTCATCAGCAGCTTGAGAACAGACTAATACACACTTCTAGTCCTAATTACTTGGAAGACTGAGATGGGAGGATTGCTTGAGCCCAGGAGTCTGAGGATGCAGTGAGCTGTGATTATGTCACTGCACTCCAGCCTGATCAAGACCCTGTCTCCAAAAAAAAAAGAAAAAAGAAAATTATATTTTCGTAACATAATGTCATTAATACACCTAAAAAAATTAACAGTAATTCCTTAATAGTAAGTAATACCCAGACCATAGTCGCATGTATTCAATTGCCAGCACAGTCTTTTTATAGTCGATTTGTTCAAATCAAGATCTAAGCATGGTAAGTAGCACAAGAGAGAACAGCTAGCTGGGGCCCCGTTTACAGTTCTTAGAGTGGAATGCAGGAATTTCTTTGCCTAGTGCACAGTGAGTCAGTTTTACTAATAAAGTGCACCCTGACATTTGTGGTTTTGACTGTCTGGAAACAACTTCAAATGTACATGGCATTTAGTAGTGTCTGCTGAAGCACAAAAGTGAATCCTAGGGACTCCTGAGGCTGTGTCTGGGAGGGAGTGGTTCAGCTAGAGAGTAAACCTAGCTGAGAGCTGGCACTTGGCTCCTCAATGACGCTTTGTTCTTCTCTTCTTCTCTTTTCTTATTCTTCCCTGATTTGGGATTTCACAGACTTGTACAATTAAAAAGTAGAGTTTTACATAGAATTATTAATCTTTTATTTTGCTAAGTAAGGACATCAGAAAAAAAAGTCTTGGCTGGGTGTGATGGCTCACGCCTGTAATCCCAGCACTTTGGGAGGCCGAGGCTGGTGGATCATCTGAGGTCAGGAGTTTGAGACCAGCCTGGCCAACTTGGTGAAACCCCGTCTCTACTAAACATACCAAAATTAGCCAGGTGTGGTGGTGCATGCCTGTAATGCCAGCTGCTTGGGAGGCTGTGGCAGGAGAATCACTTGAACCCACGAGGCAGAGGTTTCAGTGAGCTGAGACTGCACCACTGAACTCTAGCCTGGGCGACAGAGCAAGACTCTATCTCAAAAAAAAAAAAAAAATCTATCACCATTATTTCTTAAAAGAAAGGATATTTTAATACTAAAAGGGTAGAACTGACATGATTTCAGAATAATGGAGCATCTATCCCAGGAAGTGATTATTGGCCACCTTATCTTGACATTATATATGTTCTGTGGTTCTAGTTTTGTTATTTTGTCATGGATTGGTGAACAACATTTTGTCACAGTTTGGTATTTGGGAAGCATTCCTCTACCCAAGATTGCTTAGATAGTAAAACTTGTGCCGTGATAAAAATGTCATTCTCTTTTGAAAAATAGTTGAGTGGGAGAGGAAACTTGTAGTAAAAGTTGAAAATGAAGTTAACTTGTGATGTAGAGATAGGCACAGAGATGCTACTGTTTTGATCTGTGATTTAGGGGCATAATGGGAGCAGGTACAAACATTTCCATATTCTCATATAGATCTGCGATTAGATCAAGGGATGTCAAGAATTATTCTCTTAAACTTATTAGGCCTCTGATCCAACTTCTTCTTGGCTCCCAAGAACTTTCATTGTTCTTGCTCACATTTCCAAGCCCACATGTCCTCCTTGTCCTGTACTCACAGCCTAATACCAGCATTAAGCGGATGACCCCCACATTTGCATCTCTTGCCCACTCTGCTCTGCTGAGCTTCAGACCAATGTATCCAATTGCATTCAATAACAGCTGCATTCAACAACAGGGAACCGTTACTCTGCTTCCTCATTCTAGCTCTTCGTCCTCTCTTCCTATTGTGCAAAATGGAGACTTGCTCATGCCAGAAACCAGGAGCTCTCGCATCCATATTCACCCCTCTAAGATTTTACTTCCGAATATATTTCAGTCTATTTACTTCATGCCATTACTATCCCTACCACTCCAGTCTAGGTCACTGCTACCTCTTGCTTGGGCTTCTACAACAGTTCTTCTTACTCCACCATCTCTACACTAACCCTACCAGTTCATTCTTCATACAGCCAGAGTGACTTTCTTAAAATGGAAATTGTGTCACATTGTACCCCCTGTTTAAAGCTCTGAGGGCATTTGAGATAAAATGAAAAAAAAAAAAAATTAAGAGAGGGTCCAAGTCCCATGTGGCCTGCCCATTACCCAACTTCAGTCTCATCTCAAGCAACTTTCCTTTTCATCTACCCTGCTTGATTGATACATGCTGGACTTTGATTTTCTTGAATACTCGAAACTTTCTGATTCAGAGTAGGGAAGACATGGTGTTTCTTCTACTAGAAAGTCCTTCTCCCTCCCCTCTCTGCTGTCTGTCTCTTCCCCCTCTGCATTGTAAGCTCCCTGAGGACAGACCCTAGACTATTGTGCTCATTAATGAATAACCAATATCTATTCATAATAGCACAGTCCTTGGCAGAGAGTAGGTGCTTGCTAAATGAGTGAATGACTATTCCAATTAATACCAAACTTCCTTCATCCCTATAGAAGGACAGAAAGGAGAGGCTGAATATATTTGAAAAAGAAACAAGGCCATATCTTTGCTAGGTCAGCCAAATTGATATTGGGTATTCAGACGAATATTTATCTGTGTCGTTGTAATAACGGACCTTTCTGTGAAATAAAGTCAATCATATTTAAGTGGGTGCTATGATCAGCCCCATTTTGTCTGCGTTGCAATAATTGCCAAGGTTTCTATAAAACTCCTGGAAAGGGTGACCCCTCTGTCTTGATAAAGTGCTAAATCTGTCCATTATAGACAAAGATCTATAATATGTCCATTAAAAAAACACTAAGTACCTTATTAGAAAAGACTGAAATCAAATACATGGAAAATGGCCCCATAACTTAAGCCCACACTTTTATTACAGTTTTTAAAGAGAAGAGTCAACATATTTGTAGAACCATTTCCTATAATACTTTTCAATAAATTATATAATTTGCACTTTTGCTTAGCGGAAATGAAATGTGTTCTGAGAATTGTAAGCCCACATTGAGCTCCTATTTTACTAATTCCCTTTTAATGCATCATCTCAGTGACTCACATTTAGCACCACATCTTACTGGCTAATTATCTCTACTTTTCAGTTTAGCATCCTACTTCATGCTAATTGAGTCCTTACTTGTATTTTGTGGGTATGATTTATCCCAACTATACTGTAAGCTTCTTGTAAACAGGAGTTCATGTATTTTTCTACTTCTGCATTGTAGTTACCCTGTGTAATAGGCAAAGTCATAGAACAGTGAAAAAAAAAAACAACCGACATCTCAGGGGCTTTGTTTCCTACTCAACCTGCATGTCCAATATGGGTCCGCAGGGGAACTCTGACACATCCATCACCCTCATATTCACCCTACTAAGAGTTGTGTTCTCCCAGGGACCCAGGCTAATGAAGGCTTTGTCTTGACACTTCTTTCCCTGATCAAAACAACACTGAGGAGGAAACATGACAAACCCCATAGCTGGATTTTATAGCTCCTGCCAGTGTGTAATACATATCATTCCACATGCATGTCATTGGCTAACACAAGTCACACGGCCATGCCCAACCTCAAAAGTGGTGGGCAAATGCAGCCCTATTGTGTGCCAGGAAAGAAGAGAGTCAAGAATACTGGCAGCTCTGCACTCATGATTCACACTCAGTGCTGCTCAGTTCCAGCTCATGATGGGATTTCTATCATAACTTGTTTCATTGAAGTTTGGAAATGCCTGAAGGAATATATGTGGGCTCAAGGTAAAGAGAAGGCAGTTACTGGTTGAAAAGAAGAAAGTGTGGCTACTGTGTGTTTGTACTCTTTCTTGTTTCAATTTCTAAAATCTGGAAGGGAAAGCCCTAAAGAATATTTCAAAATAAAGGACCCACATGAATACCTGCCTTTATGTAGCCAATAGGTGTGTACTGACTAATCATCTGGTATTCCGCTTGACCTAGTCAACATTTCTGCCAATGATTTGCATGATTGCAGATGTTGACATGCAGAAAACATTTGCATACTATATGAACCTGGAACCAAATTACTGGAATGAATAATTTGGGTGATAGAATTATGATCCAAAGCTGGGATCATGGGCTGGAATAATGGGTTCACTGTAAAGGATAAATGTGTGATGTTTGGGTCTAAAGACCAATTCAATTACAAAACTACAAGATGGCAGAGCTTTGAATAATAGCATATGTAAAAAATCTTCATGATTTTATGTTGACATGAATTGTATTCTTATCTGATGGTGGGATATGGTGGACAAATGAATTAAAGGAATGTCTGTCTGCATGGGAACATGACACCCAGGCCCATGAAGGAGGGGCTCATGAAGTCTGCTCAGGCATTGTGCAGAGCCTTGAGCTAAGTTTGGCCTGTCAGTGCTTGAGGGACCTTGACAGATGAGCCTGCCCAGAGGAGAGTAGTGAGGTTACCAATGGAATGAGAACACTCAAGGAGCAGATGAAGGGGCTAGGCCAGCTTATCCTAGAGAATAGAGACTGGATTGGGGAAATGTGGGATGGGAAGGGCAGCCTTCACATACTCATAGAGCTACCAGGTAGAAGAGGGAATAAACTTTGTCTTGCTGTGGAAGGCAGAGCAAGGATAGATCATAGCACTGATTTTGACACAACGGAGAATAGAACTCTGTGAAGTCCATGTCTGTGTTATTCTGTGTTCTAACCGAACTCTGTGAAGTCTCAGTTAAGTTTCTTCTATGTTATGTCACAGAGAAGATTCATGAATCCAAAGAGTAGAGTGACCAACTTCGTTTACCCAAGACTCAGAGATTTTTCTAAGACTTAGAATCTTCAGTGCTAAAATCAGAAAAATCCCAGGCAAACCTGGAAGAATTGGTCACCCTACCAAAGAAGTTTGCTTTTAATGTTATCTAAGGTCTCAGCCCCCTCAGAGATTCTATGATTTCTAAGATAGATATGTTGATTTTCTCAGAAAAATTTCAGGTAAATGCAGTGATTCTTATACAGTACTTTTGGTTCTCAGTCCCATGCTAATTTAATCATGAAAGACTTTTACATGTATTTTGAGCAATTATTCCACATTTGTGTTTAAGATTTGATCATTGCCAGTAGATTCATGCCCTACAATTGTATCAAATAATCAGGAGAATATTTCCCTGCAAGTCCAAAGTCATTAATTACATAAATGAACATTTTAGAAATACAGAACTGCACCTTTCTTAAGAAACCACAGTGGGTAATTTGATTGTTTGAATGGCCGTTATCCTTAGATGAAGCTTTATGAAGGTGAACGGCAGAACAGGCTGTTCCATCGGAATGAAATTTCACTAGGCTTATACACAATGAAAGAGCTATTTGTGTTCAAGACATCCTAGTAGAAACTTTGTTCCTTTCTTTTAATCATTTATTATATATGGGATTCTGGAATAAATTTATTAAATCAATCTGCAATCTTGAAGATTTGTTCATTTTTTGGGGTTCAATGTTTGTGTATTTAGGAATAAGACCTTCACAAAGAGGTTTTTTAGTTTTCCCTTGGCATTCTTTTTGGTAATATGCCACCTGGCCATTCTAACTGTTCAACTTCAATACAACCATGCGATGGTTTATTGAGGTCTGCCAACTTCCCTAAGCCATTTCCCTTATAGCACACTTGACAAAACCATGTTAATAGAGTCCTACGAGATGAGAAGAGTAACTGGTGAATGGGCTCTATTTTTTAATCTAGTTGGTGATTTATGGAGAAGAGAAAGAGACTCTTCAGGTTTCTGCCTTTCCATCTCATTTCAAGAACAGAAATACATCGAGGTAAGAGAATCATGGCAAGGCTATTGATGTGGCTTAAGGGCAGTGGCAATAAAAAGAGTTTTGACTGAGAGGAAAATAGTGGGAAACAGCTGCTCACTCAAGCCCACTCCACCACATGCTCCCTCCTACTTTGGTTTGGCTTCATGCCTTCTGGGAATTTTCCTTGGATCATGCATCTGACTCTTCTCTCTGCTGTCACACAGAATAACTCTATTCTTGGATCTGTGTTGTTCACTGTAGTTGTTGATGAAAGATTTACTATAAGGCCAGGAAAAAAACCTTGTTGTTCATGATGAATAAAGCCCCAAATGGGTACAGTCTTGGACATTCTACTGCTTAAATTATCAACCATGCAAGAGAGGTATACAATTGTCTTAGCTTCCTGTCTGTATCACTCTGTGTACTGTGGCTATGGTAGCTTTGGAAACTAATTGGAAACAGAAGCAATGCAGTGTAGGATAGTGACACATCCCCGAGAAGATCTTATACGAAGAAGAGATGCATTTATTACTAGAATCTGCAACCCCCCCTCACAATCTCATCTATCTATTTTCACAAGTAACACTCTGGAATCTCAAACTGAGTGTGGAATTGTATACTTACCTTGTATGGCCTTTCACATTGATTTGAAAAGGAAGTCAGAACTGAGTATTTTTAGTGGACACTGCAATTTTGATCCAGAATATCTTAACTTTTTATGAATCATTGCAATGGTAAATATTGGAAATCCGTTGTTCAAGTTCAGAAAAAGGCTCACCAAAGGTAAATAGCATGTGTGCTCATCAATGATAATTAGCTTGCTTTTATTTAGCTATATTCCAGCCATGTTTAAACACCCATGGGAACATGACTGCCCCTTTCTGGGATTGCATCTGAAGTTATCTACATGGATAAAGGTGGATTCCCCCCCTTCCTTCTTGGTACTCATTTTTCCTGGATTTGATCTTTTTCTCACACTATCCACACTGAGGAAAGGTGAATATCTCCTCAGCATTTCCCATGATTAGGAGGAAGATGATACTTGATTGTAGAACAGAAACCTACCCTCAAGAGAGAAGTTGGGAAAGAGGTTTTGAGAAATAATTTGCTTGTGCAGGAACAAGAACATGGAGAGACTTATGAATGTTGAGTCAGAAAACTCACTGTGATGAGAATGAAGTGTATAAAGTAACTTAGCAATGTCAGTGATGCAGGAGAAGCTGTAGAGTGGGCCAGTGGTGTTGCTCCCGGGATAGACATTTTCATGGACCTGTCATGCTGGACTGGCACTGTGCACACTGCTGCTCTTGCTGTGCTATCCTACGCTGAATACATTGCGGTCTCAGATTTACTGTGACTGCACTTTTCAAAAAATAGTGTTT
Source organism: Homo sapiens (assembly GCF_000001405.40). Classification (NCBI taxonomy): domain Eukaryota; kingdom Metazoa; phylum Chordata; class Mammalia; order Primates; family Hominidae; genus Homo; species Homo sapiens. Next base: position 51,311,824 of record NC_000014.9, read on the forward strand.
GAAATTTATGAAAATATGAAAATCTGAATGTTACTAATTGGATTTATACTGCTTATCAAGAGATTCTTCTTCACATATACTCAGGGCATTGCTGAACTGAGGTATCACCACCTTTCTGCCCAGTCACTTTCCACGTTTGCTAAGTTCTCCTGTAGGCTGCCCTGTCAATGTGACGCTTATTGCACATGGCCTATGTGCCACCCTTCCTGTCACCTTCAGTTTATCCCATGCTTGAATTGCACTATCATGTTATAAATCCATCAGAGAGTTCTTGTTTTATTCAAACTGGTATCAAAACAAAATTATCTACAGGCAGCCAAGCCAAGTTTTTCCTTTACTTGCTTTTGAAAGACTTTATTTTTTTATTTTTATTTTTTTCATAAATTTTTCTAAACTTTATTCTTTTTTTTATTATTATACTTTAAGTTTTAGGGTACGTGTGCACAATGTGCAGGTTAGTTACATATGTATACATGTGCCATGCTGGTGTGCTGCACCCATTAACTCGTCATTTGGCATTAGGTATATCTCCTAATGCTATCCCTCCCCCCACCCCCACCCCACAACAGTCCCCAGAGTGTGATGTTTCCCTTCCTGTGTCCATGTGTTCTCATTGTTCAACTCCCACCTATGAGTGAGAACATGCGGTGTTTGGTTTTTTGTCCTTGCGATAGTTTACTGAGAATGATGATTTCCAATTTCATCCATGTCCCTTCAAAGGACATGAACTCATCATTTTTTATGGCTGCATAGTATTCCATGGTGTATATGTGCCACATTTTCTTAATCCAGTCTATCATTGTTGGACATTGGGTTGGTTCCAAGTCTTTGCTACTGTGAATAGTGCCGCAATAAACATACATGTGCATGTGTCTTTATAGCAGCATGATTTATAATCCTTTGGGTGTATACCCAGTAATGGGATGGCTGGATCAAATGGTATTTCTAGTTCTAGATCCCTGAGGAATCGCCACACTGACTTGCACAGTGGTTGAACTAGTTTACAGTCCCACCAACAGTGTAAAAGTGTTCCTATTTCTCCACATCCTCTCCAGCACCTGTTGTTTCCTGACTTTTTAATGATTGCCATTCTAACTGGTGTGAGATGATATCTCATTGTGGTTTTGATTTGCATTTCTCTGATGGCCAGTGATGGTGAGCATTTTTTCATGTGTTTTTTGGCTGCATAAATGTCTTCTTTTGAGAAGTGTCTGTTCATATCCTTTGCCCACTTTTTGATGGGGTTGTTGGTTTTTTTCTTGTAAATTTGTTTGAGTTCATTGTAGATTCTGGATATTAGCCCTTTGTCAGATGAGTAGGTTGCGAAAATTTTCTCCCATTTTGTAGGTTGCCTGTTCACTCTGATGGTAGTTTCTTTTGCTGTGCAGAAGCTCTTTAGTTTAATTAGATCCCATTTGTCAATTTTGCCTTTTGTTGCCATTGCTTTTGGTGTTTTAGACATGAAGTCCTTGCCCATGTCTATGTCCTGAATGGTAATACCTAGGTTTTCTTCTAGGGTTTTTATGGTTTTAGGTCTAACGTTTAAGTCTTTAATCCATCTTGAATTAATTTTTGTATAAGGTGTAAGAAAGGGATCCAGTTTCAGCTTTCTACATATGGCTAGCCAGTTTTCCCAGCACCATTTATTAAATAGGGAATCCTTTCCCCATTTCTTGTTTTTCTCAGGTTTGTCAAAGATCAGATAGTTGTAGATATGTGGCATTATTTCTGAGGGCTCTGTTCTGTTCCATTGATCTAAATAATAATGTACAGAATTTAGTTATAAATTTAATTATGCTAGGAGAAATAATCACCAAGTTACTGTTTGGTGTATAACATTTTCCCTCACGACATCAATCAGGTGCCCGAAATAAACAGCTAACAGCAGCCCACCTTTTTTTTTTTCTTTCTTTCTTTTTTTTTTTTTTTGAAGCAGAGTCTTGCTTTGTTGCCCAGGCTGGAGTGCAGTGGCATGATCTCAGCTCATGGCAACCTCTGCCTCCTGGGTTCAAGTGATTCTCCTGCCTCAGCCTCCTGGGTATCTGGGATTACAGGCATCTGCCACCATGCCTGGCTAATTTTGTATTTTTAATAGAGACGGGGTTTCACCATGTTGGCCAGGCTGGTCTTGAACTCCTGATCTCAGGTGATCTGCCCGTCTCGGCCTCCCAAAGTGCTGGGATTACAGGCATGAGCCACTGCGCCCGGCCTCAGCTCACCTTTTTATTTATTGTATGAGTTTTTTCTGTCTTTCCTATAGAATTTTCAAGCTCTTAAAACAAGTGCATGCTTCATGTGACCTTTTCATTGAACCCACAAAAATCACTGCAAATGCTGTTTTCTCTTAGGCTCTAAAACTTAAAATAGGGAAATGAATCTGAGGCAGTCAACACAACTGGGATGCTTCCTTTAAAAAAAATTCTTACAGACTGCAAAAGATAGGCATCTCATCTCATTTGTATTTAACATCATATATGATATGCATAGATATATAGATATAACTTACACAAAGATAATTCAATATACATGCTTTGAATAATCCTACTGATTGGTTGCCTTCTTGCTTAAGTAGTCATTGCAGAGACAATAAGGTTTGCTTAACATGCCTCTTTGGCTGTGTGTGTGTGTGTGTGTGTGTACATAAAGAGAAAATACAGCTTTGGGAAGAGACCAGTCTTTCACTATAATTGTTTGGAACGTAATGAGCTGGTATATTCCTTAACATAAAGCCACCACTATGATGTGCTATTCTTTACCATGTCCTAAGATGGTTGTGTTGTAAACTGGGGTTATGGTATACTGACTTCATTCCTTATAGCTAAATCATTAAGGATAATAATTAGCATTCTTTCTGTATGTGTGCAGATTACAAATTTAACCTGAGATGTGTTTCCCCTTCAGACAAATTGCTTTTGGGTCCACAAAAGAATTTCTTCGTTGTTTATTTTTAAAAATTATCCTGCCTTTTCTTTTTAGCAAGCAAATGTTTATCGGACACCTCATTTGTAAAGTCTATAATAAACAGTGGGAGGGAGGGAATCTCTGTCTTTAAGGAACTTATTATTTAGTGGAAGAACCTAAAACCCGTTAGTTGTGGTGTGCTTATTAAGTTTCCACATGGGACAAAAATATACATTGCTGATTAATATGCCAAGGTGGTATATATTTAGTTAGGTTTAGGTCATATGAAAAGTTTGGTTATACATCCCCATTGGCATATACACACATACACATTTATTTAGATCAGTGGCTTTCAAGCATGTTTTCTCTCCTAAAGTGGCAGAGACTCTAGCCTAAGTGAGGGAGAGGCAGGATTCTTACTGTTGGCCCTCTTTATGCCACCTCCTGTCTTCATGCAGTAGCCTTGAGCATGACCTGAAAATTCCTGATTCAGATTGTTTGATATGCAACAGTGTGTCTTAGAACATTAATTATTACAACTGTAGTCAATTTCTACAAGCATAACTCAATATACATGCTTTGAATAATCCTACTGGTTGGTTGCCATGTTGATTAAGTAGCCTTGTTTCTAATGGCTTTGCAGTTTTTTCTTAATTCAGGCCTTTCACATCGTTCACCCTCTTAGTCAACCATATGCAGTTTATAGCTTCACTATAGACATTTTCTATAACCAATTTGTCTCTTTGGCAATACACATCTTATTGATTTTCTAAATAAATATCTGGGCCTTATCACTTAGGATCTCATCACTTTTCATCTGAATTATTAGGAGAACCTCTGCACTAGCTTTCTGCCTTTATTCTTGAAATTGATAGTGAATTTATTCCTTTCCACTTTGTTACCAGAGGGGTATTCCTGAATCATGAGTCATTTTTTGTTCTTCCCTGTTTAAATTTTAGTGAGTTGTGTGGTCCTGGAGATAAAGTTCAAACCTCCTAACGTGGCATACCAATTTCGTCCAGTTCAGCTTATTGAATCTCTGATGAGATCCCCCAGTAATTCAGGAACCAGGTTAGAGATGGGAGTCCTTCCTCCAACCTTGTCCTCTGCCTCATCCTTTTATGTGTGTTGAGTTGTTTTCTATTATAGCACCTCAGCACCTCATTGCCTTGGTACAGGCTGTAGCCTCTGCCTGGCACAGCCTTCTGCAAGCTTCAATAATTCCTCTTTTTTTTTCCCAAAATTCAGCTTAAGTTTCACTTATTTTAGAAACATTTCATGATTGTTTCCAGACTAAGATCTCTTCTTCTGTGTTCCCTCTCTCCACTGAAGCTATATCCCAGCATATACTTTTGTTAGAATTCTATTGCACTGATTTGTAACAATTTTCTGTCTCCTCTCATAAGAATGTGTTTATTTGATGGCCAGGACTGCATCCTGTTCATGGTTGTATTCTCTGTACTATATCATCTATCAAGGCGACTTGCATAAATATTTTATTTTAAAATATGTGAATTTGAGCCCTTCTTAATATTGATCCCCTCTGTTATAGACTGAATGTTTGTGTCCCCACAATTCATATGTTGAATCCCTAACCCTCAATGTGATGGTACTTGGAGATGAGGCCTTATGGAGGTAATTAGGGGTAGATGAGGTCATGAGGATAGGGTCTTCATGATGGGATTAGTACTCTTACAAGAAGAGACACCAGAACACTCTCTCCCTCTCTTTCTCTGCACACACACTGAGAAAAGGCCATGTGAGGACACAATGAGAAGGTGGCTGTCTGTAAGAAGCCAGGAAGGGAGCTCCCACAAACACCCAACCATGTTGGCACCTGATCTCAGACTTCTAGCCTCCAGCACTATGAGAAAATGAATTTCTGTTGCTTAAGCCACCCAGTCTATGGTATTTTGTTATGGCAGCCCCAGCAGAATTATAAACCCTCAGGGGAAGAACTGCTTGTTTATCATTTTGTTTACTATCTTTATGTTAGATTTCTAGCTCTGGAAAGTATTCCCTTTAGTTCTATGGTAATTCAACATTTAACAACAGGTTTTTTGAATTAAAAAAAGTAGTGCCATGCTTGATATACAAGATTTGGGATGCACACACACACACACACACACACACACACACACACACACACACATCACAATGAAAACATCACCTATAACCCAACAGAATCACTGTTAATATTTGTGTTTGTCTTCTAGTGTATATAATACAGTATGTATTACACACATACGTATTCCACAAAAATAAGATCATACTATAGTCCAAAGCAGTAAATATAGCTTACACTTATATACTTATATGGATGTTTATTTTGTTTAGTGTCACAAGGTGCACATTTTGCTATGACAATAATTACTCTTCTGCAGCATTATTTTGGGTATACAATTTTCCATCCAATGAATATATAACTCTACTGTAGATGTAATTTTTGGTCTGTATTCTTCTGAGATATTTAAACATTTATTAGTTTACTGGTTCCTCCAATCCAAGTGTTTATTACTCCCTCAAAGTTTACTTAGTTTCTTATAGTTCAAATATGGCAACTTTTCACAAGAGTATCACAAAGAATCTTAAAAATCATTTATTCATTGATTGATTGATAAATATTTATTAAGTACCCACTGGGTAGTACGAACTGTGTTTGTATTTCTGGGGAAATTCAGTAATATATAGCAAGAATCCAGAAAATATATGTGGTGTTTGTTCCAGTTATTGTGCTTTTAGAAATTTATTGCTAGGAAGTAATTGTATATGCACAAACAGACCTGTGTACTCAGATGTTCATTGCAGCATGTAGAGCAAAGGAATGGCCATGACCTACATTTCCAACAGTGAGGAAATATCTGAAATAATTGTGGCCCATCCATATGGTAGAATGTTTTTCAGCCATTAAAAATACCCTTCTCAGAGAGTATTTAAGAATGTGGGAATTGCTTAAAATAGAATGTTAAGTGAAAAAAAAAAAACAGGTTACAAAATTATGTGTATAACACGTGATCCCTGTTTTATACAAAACAAAACAGAACAAAAACTATTTATAGAAAATAAAATACCGAAATATGATTTGTTTTCTCTAATAGCTGGATTCCTGCCTTTGTGACTAAAAAATGTTTTGGGCAATTAAACATGTTTGAGATGGTTTATTAATTTCAGAGATATGGAGCACCTTTTATTAGAATTGTTTCATTTTGGTGAAGTGAATTGCTTCAAACATCGGTTGAATTCTCACCTTCATAGTGATACCAGGGATGTTTTTGGAGTGTTTTTGATGAAAGGAAGCCCATCAAGGAAGCAGGGGAGGCATCACCAATATACCCTCAACACTTGTTCTTTAAGACTCAGCCTAGCAGTCAAGTCTCCTGGGAAGTTTTCTCTGCATCTTATCCTATCACCACAAATGCAAATCCAGTATACTGTGTTACTATTACACAGTGTTGCTATTGTTTGTTTCTTTTCTCTCCTGGATTGTGCTGGAGCCTACCAATGTACTTGGTTTATAGTATTCAGTAAAATGTTGAATGCATGAATGAGAAGTGAATGACTGATCCAATGCCAACATTGCTCAACTACCCCTGAAACCCCTATACCTGAGCAAACCAAAGCCGGTATGTTGGACTTGATGGAGTGATATCAGCCTTGCTTAATAGAGAAGCAGCTCAAGTCAGGATATAGGATGGATTGTGTCAGTACAACCTCGGTGAATGTTTTTCATGCATTCCCCCGACATTGTTCTCCCTGGCTGGCTCTTGTATGATTATATTAGCTCTCGCATATCTGAGGTGAGAACTGTTAAGCAGCAAGGAGGCTGCCTGCTATGTGGTTCAGCATCCGACGTTATTTGGTCCTAAGCTCTGTGATGGAGCTGATCTGTTTCTGTATACTGAACTGTCTTTTTGGGGTGGTTTGGGGGAGGCTGCTGGGTTCTCAGACCTCAAAAGCCTAATAAAAGAACAACCATACATTAAAAGACATCAGGGAAAGAGGGCATTGTTTCTTATGTGGCAGCACAAAAGATGGGCCCTGGACTAGAAGGAGGGTCCCTGCTAATAAAGAGCTAGCCCTGTGAGGGCTCTGGTGCTCTTCTTGTCGTATAAAAAAACTGGAATCCCTGAGCAGATGGCTGAAGCACAGGACTCTTTCTGTTAACTTCAAATTCCCTTCCTATGGTGTAGGACTCATTCATAGGAGATAGGTCACATTCTGGCTCACAATGCCATGCCCATAATTCCTGCTGGAATCAGTGAGAGCCGTGGGTCCACAAGCTGAGGGCAGTCTGGTTTCCTTTGATAAGGAGTGTAGAGTGTGTGTGTGTGTGAGTGTGAGTCTGTACGTGATAGAGAAACTGTACATGTGTCAGGGGAGAGAGAGGGAATGAGAAATATTGAGAATTGGCCTTTTCCAAGAGAAAGGATTAAAGACATCCCTTTCTGTTCTGGGATGGCCCTTTCTTTACTGTTATGAATAGCTCTACTAATAGAAAGAATTAACAAGTACTCCATCTGTCATAAATCCCATTTAATATTCATGCCCGAAATAAACTGAGTTCTTACCCTAATCTGGCTTGCTGACTGTTCCTTCTCAGCCCCAGGGAAAGGATTATTCCAATGGGATCACTTCCAAATATTTGGAGAGAAGGGGGTGGAGGTAGAGAAAATGAAAAGGCTGATTCTGCCTTCCAAGGAGTTTAATTAATGCCACTGCCTTCTAGCCCTGAATTGTCTTGTGGCAAATGGCTCATCGAGTTATCTGAAGCGTACCACCTCCTGTTAACAAAGGTCATTTAAGGTCACCATGACTGGCTTCATTTCTGAAGTGTCTCTTCCTACCATGCCTGGGCAAATCTCAACTTCTATTTTGTTTCCTGATAAGGCTGCCTTTTCTGCATAGGATTTGGAAAGACTCTTCTATTTAATATTCAGTTTTACAGACCATTGCCAAGAAGCTATTTAAATTGTCCAGACACATAACTGTACATATTTTCTGTTTTATATAGGGGCTCTTCCATGAAAGGTAGCAGAGAATTCAGTATTATGATTTGGCAAAACCTAGTTGACACAGATGTGTTGCCAGTACCCTTGGGCAATGCAGGACCCATAAAACTGTGTCCCAGGTGTGGCACCCCACTCCCACCTCAAGGTGAACCTTAGTGCCAAGAACTCACTCTCTTAATTGGTATAACTTTACAGCAAATGTTGATATATTATAGGGCAAAAGGCTGCACCTTGTTCTTCTTTAAAATTATTTCAGATATCCTTGTTCCTTTGCTTTTTCATGTTAATTTTAGAATCATACTATCAAATTTTAATCAAAATTATTTTGGGTTGGATTGCATTTACTGAATTTATAGATTAATTTGGAGAGTTGGAGTTGTCCTTTATAGAGTCTTGAGTCTTCCCATACATGATATCTCTCTCCATTAATTTGGTCTTATTTCATATCTTTCCATAATGTTTAATAATTTTTCCCATGAATGTCCTGGACATATTATTTTAGTGCATAACTCAGTGCCTGCTATATAGTAGATATCCAGTAAATTTTTACTGAATAAATATGTTTTGTTGCTAGTGTGAATGGAATAAGAGTTCAACAAATGTTTGTGTATTGATTTTTTTATCTAGGAACCTTTCTGAAGCATGTTTTTCTATTTTTTTTTTTTTCTTTTTGAGACAGAGTTTCACCCTTGTCACCCAGGCTGGAGTGCAATGGTGCAATCTTGGCTCACTGCAACCTCTGCCTCCTGGGTTCGAGCAACTCTCCTGCCTCAGCCTCCCAAGTAGCTGGGACTACAAGCATGCACTGCTACGCCAGGCTAATTTTGTATTTTTAGTAGATACTAGGTTTCACCATGTTGGCCAGGCTAGTCTCGAACTCCTGACCTCAGGTGATCAGCTCGCCTCGGCCTCCCAAAGTGCTGGGATTACAGGTGTGAGCCACTGTGCCCAGCCCATGTTTTTCTATTCTAATAATATGGTACATTTTCTTGGATTTTCTGTGTATATAATAATTTGGTCTGAAAAATCAGAGGTTTGTTTTTTCTTTCTAGTCTTTATGCATTTAGTTTTCTTTATTGGCTTATTTTATTTGATATAATCTCCAGTACAATGTTGAATAGAAATGATGATAGAAGTATCCATTTCTTTTCCTGAATTTAATGGGAAATTGAAATCTCACTATAATATGTCTGCTTTCAATAGATGCCTGTTATCAAATTAAGAAAGTTCCCTTGTATTCTAATTTTCTAAGTTTTTCATATCTTAAAATCATGGATAGGTTTCAAATTTGATTAAATGCTTTTTAAAAATATGCTTGATTAGATGTGCTAACATTTTATTTAGTGTTTTTGGCATCTGTTTTCGCTTGATATTCATTCTTTGGTCACAGATGCAAATATTGGTGTTATAGCATAGTGGTTAATAGCGCATGCTCTGAAGTGAGACTGTTCAAAGTTTGAATTCTTGTTCTATCACTTCTGACTACTAACTTGAGTAAATTACAGACATTCTTTATGACTCAGTTTCCTTATCTCCAAATGCAGTTAATAATAACACCAACCACATAGTTTTTTTTTTTTTTTGAAGAAATTAAATGATATAATCCAAATAAGGCTGGGCACGGTGGCTCATACCTGTAATCCCAGCACTTTGGGAGGCCAAGGCAGGTGGATCACTTGAGGTCAGAAGTTCAAGACCAGCCTGGGCAACATGGTGAAACCCTGTCTCTACTAAAAATACAAAAATTAGCCAGGCGTGATGGTGCACACCTGTAATCCCAGTTACTCAGGAGGCTGAGGCAGGAGAATCACTTGAAGCCAGGAGGCAGAGGTTTCAGTGAGCGGAGATTGTGCCACTGCACTCCAGCCTGAGTGATAAAGTGAGACTTAGTCTCAAAAAAAAAAAAAAGAAAAGAAAAGAATAATCCAAGTAAAACTCTAAAACAGTTCTCAGTGCCTTGTTGAACATTTAATGTATGTCAACTCCATTTTCTTCTTCCTATTACTATTATTTCTCAGACTCCCCTTGTTTAGTTTTGGTGCCAAGGTTATAATGGTACCTAAAGGAAGATTGAGAGATTTCTATTTTACTTTTCAATATAGCTTATATAAAATTAAGATTTTATGTTTATTGAAGCTTTGGTAATACTCATTAGTAGAAATCATCTGGCTTTAGGAATTTATGTGGATAAAATTTGGGGATAGTCTTTAAAATTATAGACTTGTTTTTATTTCTTTTTGAGTCAATATTGGCAAATTTATCAAAAAATTATAAATTTATTTCTCAAAATGTGGGTTCATAGTGTTCACTTAAGATTAGTTTTGAATCCCTAGTTCATCTAAAATGCTCTTCTCTTTTCTACTGCTACCATTGTCTAACTTGTACAATCTCCTTTCCTTGACCCATCTTACCAGAAAATCATCTATTTAATTTTCCATTTCAGAAAAAGAACTTGGTTTTATTGTTCTTTTCTATCGTTTCTTCCCTTGTGTTTATTATTATTATTATTATTATTATTATTTTGAGACAGGGTCTCACTTTGTCACCCAGACTGGAGAGTAGTGGTACCATCTCGGCTTACTGCAATCAACCTCCACCTTCTGGGCTCGAGTGCTTGGTCCTCCCATCTTAGCCTCCTGAGTAGCTGGGACCATAGGTGCATGCCACCATGCTCAACTAATTTTTTATATTTTTGATAGAGATAGGGTTTCACCATGTTGCCCAGGCTGGTCTCGAACTCCCGAGCTCAAGCGAGCTACCTGCCTCGGCCTTCCAAAGTGCCCTTACGTTTATTATATGCATCCATCTACTTTCTTCAAGTTCCATCTTTCTCTTTCTAACTTCTTGAATTGAATGCTTAGTTCACCTTATTTCTAGTTCATTGTGATACATATATACATATATGTACTTTTTACTTTTAATACTACTTTAGGTGTATCATACAAGTTTTGACATGTCATGCTAATAATTTCTATCATGAGTTGTTAGCTCACAAGTTATTTGGAAATATGTTTTCTTTGTGTGGCATCATGGAAATATGTTTGATCTTTGTCCTTGGTTTTTGACAGAGCTCCTGAATCTCTTATAATTCTCTGAGTGATGGGGTGATAGGAGCATATATATATATATATATATATATATATATTTTTTTTTTTTTTTTTTTTTTTTGAGATGGAGTTTCACTGTTGTTGCCCAGGTTGGAGTGCAATGACGTGATCTTGGCTCACTGCAACCTCCACCTTCCAGGTTCAAGCAATTCTCCTGCCTCAGCCTCCTGAGTAGCTGGGATTACAGGCATGTGCCACCACACCTGGCTAATTTTGTATTTTTAGTAGGGACGGGATTTCTCCATGTTGGTCAGGCTGGTCTTGAACTCCCGACCTCAGGTGATCTGCCTGCCTCGGCCTCCCAAAGTGCTGGGATTACAGGCGTGAGCCACCACGCCAGGCTGATAGGAGCATATTTTGTTCTAATGAAGTGACTCTTGGTTGGGCCCTTAGATCACTTCAGGATGGGGACTGGTCACCAACCAGAAAACTTGATTAGAAGCCTAAAACTTTCAGCCGCACCCCTCAACCTCCAGGTAGGAAGAAGGGGCTGGAGATTGAGTTAATAATTGATCACTCCTTTGTGATTTAACTTCCTTAAAAAAATCCTAAACAATGGGGTTTGGAGAGCTTCTGGGTTGGTGAATGCATCCATATACTGGGAGGGTGCCACATCCCAACTCCACAGGACAGAGGCTCCTGAGCTTGGGACACATCTGGACTTCACTCTACATACCTGTTCATTTGGCTCATTTGTACCCTTTATAATAAACCAGTAAGTGCAAGTAAGGTGCTTTCCTGAATTCTGTGAGCTGTTCACAACCTGAAGGAGGGGATTATGGGATTCCACAACCTTGTAGCTAAGTCAGATGAGGCATCAGTAATCTGGGAACCTCATACTTGTGACTGATTCGTGGTACTGAGTCCTTAAACCTTTGGTGTCTGATACTAACTGTGGTTAGTTAGTGTCAGAATTGAACTGAATTGTAGAATACCCGGTTGGTGCCAAGGAATTGTAGAATTGGTTGTGGGTGTGGAAAATCCCCTACACATTTGGTGTCAGAATCTGTTGATGTCAGGCGGAAAAAACACCTTTCATTTGGCATGGGTGTTCCATTATTTGAAAGTTATGTTTTTCTGCCTCATCTCAGAATTCTAAATGTCACATAGGTCAATATTGATTATTATAATTATTTGAATCTTCTATGTCTTACCAATTTTTGGTCTAGGTGACTCGCTTTCTGACAAAGATGTGTTAAAATCTACCTCTGTGATTTTTTCATTTTTTCCCCTTATAATCTTGCAGCTTTTTGCTTTATATATTTTGAGACCATATTGTTTAGCACAACAGTCAAGGTCAGTCTCTCTTCCTGAAAAAAATTTCCCTTCTCATTTAGTGTGTTTAATACTAACAACTCTGTCTTAAATTCCATTTTGTCTGATTATAATAAGGCTCTCCTAGCTTTCTTGCACTTACTATTTGCCTGGCGTATCTTTTTTCATCTGTACCTTGTAAATATCATACAGTTCAAATTTCAAAAATTCCAGTCTGAGACTATAACCAGTGGTTTTAATTTTTTTACATATATTACTAGTATATTTGGATCTATTTCTTCCATCTAATTTTCTGTTTTTGCGTCATTCTCCTTTCTTTTTGCCCTTTTGGTCTATTTGAGTTTTGTTTTTCCTCTTCTTCTTTTTCTAGTTTGGGAGTTATACTTTTTATTTCTATTGTGATAATCTTTAAATTCTAAATTTAAATTATAGTGATAATCTTTAAATTCTTGTGACTAATACTTGACTAAGTTTAAAGTTAATGTTTCCCAAGCACTGTGAGGACTTCCACTTGTCTGTTCAGCTTTATTGAGTTACACCTGACAAACAAAAATTGTATATGTTTAAGGTGTCCAATGCAATGATTCGACATACATACCCATTGTGAAACCATCACCAGATTCAAGTGAATTAACACAATTTGTCACCTCACAGAGTTACTTTTTTGTGTGCTGAGAACACTAAAGTTCTTTTCTCTTAGCAAATTTTAAGTATACCATACAGTATTATTAACTATAATCACCGTGCTATGCATTAGATTCCCAGAACTTATCCATCCTATAATCGAAAGTTCGTACCCTTTATTTTACCATCTTCCCATTCCCTGCCCATCCAGCCCCTGAAAATCATCATCTACTGTGTGCTTCTATGAGTTCAACTTTTTAAAGATTCCACATATAAGTGAGGTCATATGTGAGGTCATGAGTGAGTATTTTTCTTTCTGTGTCTGGCTTATTTCACTTAGAATAATGTCCTTAGGGTTCATCCATATTGTTACAAATGGCAAAATTTCCTGCTTTTTTTATATTCATATGTGAGTGTGTGTGTGTATATATATCTAAAATGAGATATTATGTATACATACATGTATATAATGATGCTATATATACCTATATATGAAATTTATGTGGAATAATTTAGATATATCATTATATATGTAATTTATATATATATGTAATTTTGTGGATTATTTCACATTTTCTTTATCCATTCATCTGAGCTTACTTTTTAAACTCAGCTCCTCTTCCATTTCCATGTTATTAGTGACTACTATTGTCTTCTATCTAGTTCTAACTTCCTCATTAGTTGTCTGAATTATTATTATGCTTTGTTTACAGTTTCCATTTATCATCATATGTACTGATATTTGTGTTCATCATTGCATCTTGCTTTTTACTTCTTTGTTCTGGACTAAATTTCCTTAATGAAGTGTATTTTTAGTAGGTATTTCAGTGATGAATGGCAAATTCTCCTTTCCTTTTTCCATAAACATCTTTACTCTCCTCTCTGGGAGTTTTGTTGAGTTAGGTGTTGTATTCTAGGTTGACAGTTGTTTTCAAACAATAGCATGAAAATACAATGTGATTTTCTTGTGGGATATTCTGTTGCTGATGGGAAGTCTACTGGGGATCCAGCTGTCATTTTTTTGTTGGCAATTTGTATCTTCTCTTTGTTTGCTTTGGAGATTTTCTGCTGTTTTTGCTATTCTGCAATTTTACCACAGTGTGTCTAGTAGCAGATTCATTTTCATTTAGCCTCTTCAGCATTTGGGTACTTTTTCATTTTGAGGAATTACAATTCAGTTCTGGAAAAATCTTAGCCATTGTCTTTTCAATATTACCTCACCCTCATTCTCTCTTTTTTCTCTTTTTGGAGATTTATTTTGGACTTTCATACCCTAGCCTTTATATCTCTTAACTACTTTCATATTTCCTATCTTTTTATTATTCTCAGCTGTATTCTGCATAATTTCTTTAGATCTAGTTCCCATTTTTGTAATATTCTCTTCAACTCTGTTTAATCTGCCACATACTTTGAGCTTCTAATTTTATTTTTTTGTTATTATTATTTTTGAGACAAGGTCTCACTGTGTCACCCAGGCTGGAGTGCAGTGACATGATCTCGGCTCACTGGAACTTCAGCTTCCTGGTTCAAGTGATTCTTATGCCTCAGCCTCCCAAGTAGCTGGGATTGCAGGCATGCACCACTATGCCCAGCTAATTTTTGTATTTTTAATAGAGATGGGGTTTTGCCATGTTGGCCAGGCTGTTCTTGAACTCATAGCCTCAAGTGATAGACCCTCTTGGCCTCCCAAAGTGCTGAAATTACAGGTGTGAGCCACCGTGCCTGGCCTTGAACTTCTAATTTTAAGCACTATATTTTTCATTCCTATAAATTCTGTTTTTTAAAAATCTGTCCTTTTTCATACTTTTATTATTTTTTAACAAAGTTTTAATAATTTTAAATATACATATTTTTTTAGTCTGTTTCAGTTCTCTTCTCTCCCAGTACTTGGAATGATAATTCTCTCATGTATTAATTACATCTTCTGGCATTCCATTCCCTCTTGGTCCTTTATTCTTGTGTGTGTGTGTGTGTGTGTGTGTGTGTGTGTGTGTTTGTGTGTGTGTATTGTAATACTTTATTTTTAAATAGAGTTCATTATCAGCAGGTTGTGTTTTTCCTTGTGGGATTTCTGTGTTCTCAGTTGGTTTAAGTGTCCCTCCAAGAAATAGCTTACACATGGTTTCCGGAAAGTTCAATATTTCTTGCTATTGGTTACAACAAAGAGGATAGAACTAGCAGCCACTGAGAGACAAATCCCAAGTGAGCAAGGACGAAATGAATGGAGCAAGGACCTAGAGAAAGTGAGAAGCTAAAGGATGAGGAGCCCAGGTATAGTACAGCTTTATAAAAAGGAACAGGAATATGTCTTTCTTTTCAATAGGAGGGAAGGTAAAACTGTGACGAAAAACACAGAAAATTTTGAGGAAAAACTTGAGAGAAGCCCCAAGAAATGATTTATTCTTCTTAGAATGACAAGAGATGAGTTGTCTTTGCAGGTAAGGCAGTCAGATAGTTATGTGTCTGAGGAGACTAATGCTGTTAGAAGTGCTGAAGGGCAACAGGAAAAGTTAACAGAAAGGATTGTCAAGAAGGAGGGAGGGCCCAGCCAGGATTTAGAGAAAATAGACTTGTGGGATACAATCTATGTGCTTTGGTGATTTTTCCCACACTACTTGGCAGCTATGGATAGAGGGAAGATAAGTATGGGTTTGCCAGATTCGATGATTGACAATCCAGCCATAGGAGGCAGTTTGGGAGTGAGCAATTCTAAGATTCCTGCAAAAGCCCTATTTAAATCATTTCTAATGGATTCCAGGCTGGGTAAGGGGCAAAAGAAGCCAGAAAGACTCTGATGAATGAGGAGACAAGAGAAGAATCTAGAAAATGGAGACTCAGTGAAGGTGAGGACAGATCAGCAGGGATGAGAGGGCTGTGGGGTAAGAAGTGCAGGAAGTAAGGTCAGGAAAGGGGATTTTCCAGCTTGAGCTCTTGGCCATGGAATAGTTCCCAGGGCCAAGCATACCAGTAATTATTTGTGGCTCAATTATTTCCTAGATCCTTGCTATCTGGAGGAAAAGTTAGTGGCTCTGAGCTGCAGCATGGGGTCTCTCAGCTCCTACTTTCTATTGTAAAAAGTGAGAATGTTAGCCTTGCAGAACTATTATCCTACTTTAAAAAAAGATACATATTAGGTGCTCAGCAGTTTACAACATCTCTGGTGATTGTGTCTAAAATTATCATATTCTAAAGCCATGAGGGGGTCTATCAAGGCAAATATTTTAACATCACTTGAGGACTTTGAGCCTTATTTCTTCAAATGCTTGCCCATGATTCCTGGAACCTTTGCTTTCTGGTTGAAGTCTTGGTTTAGCATGTGCAGCAAATAAAACAGAACACAGCCACTCCCTGAGAGCGTCCCCACCTCCCCTCTCCTCTCCTGTGACTTACGTTTTCCTCAGTGAGCTGGCTGCCACCTCTGCAGCTGCCCTTTGAAGCATTTCTCCAGAGTGGTGACTGTCATTAGCTGTGCTGCGGCTTGGCTGTTCTCCCTGCCAACTGTGGTTGTGTCTGCCCTCACTTTCCATAGGACGTGCTGGCAGGCTTGGTGCTTTACCAAATCACAGCGGCCTTTGTGGGTCTCTGTCAGCATTTCTTTCCTTTTGCTTTCTTTGTCTATGTTGTTTCTAGAAGGGAGCAGAACTTGGTTGCTGAGTCATCACTGGCTGTGATGTGGGAAGTCAGAACAGTTCTTTACCTTTTGTTTATTTGTGATCTCCTCCCTCTAGAATGCTGAGAGTGTTTTGAAGGAGAAGATTCATAGGAAGAAACAAATTTAACCAGGATAATAGGTTGGGATGGGACACACTTCCAGTCCAATCTTGCTGTCCACTTGGTGGTAGGGAGGGGTCAATTCACTGTGCTGTTTCATTGGGACTTACTTTGGCATCCTCATACTGAGTTAAGTGTAGAGAACACAGTGATGGGATTGCATTAGCCTTCAAAAAGATGCTTACTTGTGACTGGCCTACTTAGAAAAATGGAGTGGAAAAAAAAAAAGGAATGTTTTGATGCAGAAAGAAAAATAAGGTAGTAGAAGGTAGAAATAGAGAACTACAGTGAAGGACCAAGCAGATGGGCTGTATCAGCTCTAAAACGTCCCTGGACTGTGTTCTTCCTGGCCATGTCCTGGATTTTCCATTCCTGCTGACATTTCCAAGTCATAAATCAAGGAGGAATACTCGAAGAGCCTTACGATTTCGTTGAAATATGAGCAGCCAGGACATCCTCTGGGTGGAGTAGGACTTGCAGGTGCTGGAGGTGGGCGGGCAGGACATGAGTTGAACAGCAGGCAGGGATATTGGGCAGGGTGGCCATTGCCCATGGAGTCCAAAATTTCACCTTTTTATAAGAAACTTTGGGATTTGGGCCTATGAAGGACAGCCCAGTGAGTCATTTCTCCGGGGCTGGGATGGGAAATTACTAGTTTTTGGTCTTATGATTGTGAAAGTCTGCAGATGTGCAACCATAAGTCTTTTTTATTCTCCTTTACTCTGCCTTTTAAAACTTTACAGTTAACAAAACCTTCCCTATTCTGCCCCAAGTGGATCAAATCCTTTTTCTCTCATCTGACTCCATTATAGTCTTGAGAACTAGCTAGGCACTTTTCAGATTAAGAAGCTATGTCTTGCCCAAATTCCTGTCCTCGTGACAAGTTTTCCCCAAATCTAGGACCAATTCCTGATCAACTGCTTTACATATTCAGATCAATGATGGCTTCAGTTCTGTGCATATTCTAACACTTGACATGGACATCTATCTTAAGGGCTTAAGGACTATTCTTTTTTTTTTTTTTTTTTTTGAGACGGAGTCTTGCTCTGTGGCCCAGGCTGTAGTGCAATGGCATGATCTCGGATCACTGCAACCTCCGCCTCCCAGGTTCAAGCCATTCTCCTGTCTCAGCCTCCTGAGTAGCTGGGATTACAGGCGCCCACCATCACGCCTGGCTAATTTTTGTATTTTTAGTAGAGATGGGGTTTTACCATGTTGGTGAGGCTGGTCTTGAACTCCTGACCTCGTGATCCGCCTGGCTTGGCCTCCCAAAGTGCTGGGATTACAGGTGTGAGCCATCGCGCCTGGCCCTTTAAGGACTATTCTTAATTGCCTGATGCCATAGGCTGTGGGTTGTGACTGTGAGATAGGTACTGTGCTAATCTCTAGACATTCATGATTTTGTTTACATTTTACACCCCTGTGAAGTAGATATTATTATTCTCATTTTATGGCATAATAAAATGAGGTTCAGAAGAGTTACATAAAGTGACAAGAAGCTGGTGGTAGCTGAGCTAGGATTTGAACCCAGATCTATCCTACCTCAAAGCCTAAGTGCCTAACCAGTCTGCTGGAGACTCAATCTGGAGTCCATGCCCCTGTCACCCCTAGATTTTATGTGACCTTTTGTACATGTGTTTTTCTGGGAAGCGGGATCCTGGTCTATATCAGATTTTCAAAGGGCTACGATCCCACAAAGCTAAGAACACTGTACTTAACTATTAGAGTTGGTGGATCAGTTAGGATGCTCTTGGTTGCAAACAAAGCAGAACTGAACTCAAACTGGCTGTGTCAGTGTTCACGCACAGTTTAATCAGGATTCCTGCTCTGTTTCTCTGTAACAGTCCTGGCTTCATCCTCCTAGTGTGTAGGCTTTGTCCTCAGGCTTCCCTTATTGATAGCAAAATGCCTGCAACAGTTCTGGGTCCAATGTCTGCACACACAGGTCCAAAAGAAGAGCCAAAAGAAGGTCCAAAGGAAGAACATTTCTCTCCTCTCTACTGTCCAACAAAACTTGTGGGCTTCATTCTTGGCCATGGGGCCAAGTAAGATCCTGTGCCCCTGTCTTGAGCAGTCATGGGAACTGGGGGACGCCGTGCAAGGGTTGGCTGCAGCATGTATTCCTTGTGTATTCCTGAATCAATCACAGTCTTAATGAGGATAAGATTACATTGAGTGCCTTAGGCCACTGCAGCGGGGAGTAGGGTCATTTTTACCTCACTGACATGGCTGATTCCTAATGGTCAGGGGAGAGGTGAAGTGGATGATGGGCAGGCATCCAGCAATACCCAAAATAGTTAGTATTCTTCCTGTGGCAACTCAAAGATTTTGCAACAATCTCCATATCTTAATGGGACAAGATGAAAGCAAATTCAGCTTCTAGGAGGAAACTTTTTGGCATTTCATTGTTCTCTTTGATTTGAAGAGTTTAATATGCTGCCTTTTCTCATCCCCAATCAGAGTCTATTTAGTGAGGCAAGATGTCCCTACCAATGAAGAGATATTTCCTTTAGATGCAGTTCTAATTAGAACTGCCGCTTCTGAGAAACACTTTCATGGCCTGAGTTACAAACTCCTCTGGAATATTTTCCTCTTGTTTAAGAATGCATAGTCTCAGAATCCAAGGGTGGCTGGGAAGAGGAAGAGCAATTGAAAATGAGAATGTGAAAGAAGACAGAAGTCTTTTTTATGAGAACTTAAGCAGAGTGATGACTGCATGTGTCTGAAAATATAATTATCCTCTTTTGTTTGCTTGATAGAGTTTTGATAGATAGAATCTTGACAGCTCTGTTATGAAATGTTAAAATGTAATTTAGGTTAAAAATCTTAATTATCTTAAATTATAGTCTGAAGTCATGTTCTAGACTTTGATCCTTTTATCATGTGTGACACAGCAGAGGCTGCAGGTGCAGCTAATCCAGCTGCTGTGTTTGCATAAAAGTGAAAAAAGTGGTTGATTGGCTCACTGGACACCCTTGGAGGGGATATATGTGTGCGTAGAAGGAAACCAGTGGGATTTGCCTTCTGCCCGGCAATCCCTAGATGATGCTCTTAACTTTAGAGCAGAGGAGCATTGTGGGTACTTATATTCATTAGAGAATAAAGCCCAAGCTCCTTAGTGCAACATTCAGGCCCTTAAGGACATGGTCGTAAACTACCCTTTCAGGATCAGGGAGACATATGTGCAGTGAAGAGGGTGTGGGCTTCAGAGTCAGACACTAGTCTCCTACCTCCCCCCACTGACTTGCTAAGCAAACTAGGATTTGCTATTTAAGATCTCTAAGCTTCAGTTTCTTCTGTTTACCGTATATGCAAAGAAGACACACTGACCTTCCTTGTGGGGTTGAATCACCGCATCACTCCTCTGTACTCTCCCAGATCTCTGCTTCCTCTCTCTTCCTCTCTCCCTTTCTTACATTGTTATTTTTCTTTCATGTGGCCTCTCTCTCTCTTTCTCTCTCTCCCCCGCCAATCAAGGAGATGGAATGTTCATTAGGGACATGGACTGCATGTCCTCCCCTCCCTTTATCCCCTAGTCTTAGTACAGCAATTGGTCACATGATTAAGTGCTAGATACAACTTTGCTAAAATGAGTGCTCAACAACATCCTTCGTCATCCATTTGACCTTCTTAGCAAATGTCAATTAAAAAATGAAATACCGAAGTGAGTCAGAAGGAGAGAGGGCTGGTTGAGATGAGACAGCTTTGTATAGTGGGTGCTGGAGTTTGACCCAATGGGTTTAAGTTCTGGCTAAATGATGACCTTGGGCAAGTTACCATTCTGTGCTCAGTTTCCTCTGTAAGATGGGGATGACAATAGACCCTCTTTAGAGGGTTGCTATGAGAAAAAAATGAGATAATAAAAAATATACTTAGGAGAATGAGTACTT
This sequence comes from Homo sapiens, assembly GCF_000001405.40. NCBI lineage: Eukaryota > Metazoa > Chordata > Mammalia > Primates > Hominidae > Homo > Homo sapiens. The sequence continues at coordinate 51,332,401 of NC_000014.9, forward strand.
AATTAACATGACCTATTATTGTTCCCCCAGAAGATTAGTTCTGCCAGGTAAGAACTCGACTGTACACTCATGAAATTTGAGGCAAGTCTTATTCTTTCATGAGATGAAAACTGAGCAAGAGCAGAGAAATCCTTTTATGTCTTTCTCCTCACTTTGTTCAACGTGGGGAACAAGATATGTAGGACTATAGGATGTTTCCTGTAGACAACCTGAGCATTACTGAGGGAGAGAGGGAGTGTGTGAATCTTGTGCCCTGGCCTGACCACACGGCTGCCTATTTCACCATGTCAGGGGGCTGCCAGCCTCTGAGGCATTGTCCCTTTTGACATCTTCAGAAGCCACCCATCATGAAGACTAAATTCTACATCTGTCTTCTCTAGAAAACAGAGTAAAAAATCAACATATATTAGGCACTTATTGCATACCTATTATGACATAGACAATCTCATTTAATTCTCACAATAATCTCCTAAATTAGTTGCTACCATTATCTCAACCTCACAGAGGAGGAGACTGAAGAACAAAGCAGTCAAGTACACTGCCCAGGGTGTACTGGTTAGAAGTGGTAGAGGCAGAATTCGCATCCACCCCTGGCCCTGCTGCCTCCTCTGCTCATGATATCTGTGCCCCAGGGTTCCAGATGGGACCATGCATCCACGACACCCACAAGGCTGTCCATTCCTACATGGTGCTCTTCTGTTCTGACCTCCTAGTGAATGGTGATAAAGGTTAATGACTATTTGGACTTTAATGTGTGTGCCTATTGTTTCAAAGGGAGAATCATGATTTAAAAGAGGCTTAGGAAGACTTCATGAATTTAGTTGTCAGAAATATGACTCTCCCAAGGCTTGGGGTGAGTTGAAAGAGACCTCAACACAAGCCCATTAGCTTGATGCAATGTCCTGCTTAGGGCTTGCAAGAGTCCAGTGTAAAGGCAAATGAAAGACCCAGGTGCAAAAATGGGTGGGCATGTGTTTCCTTTCTTCCATCAGATGGGGCGTCCTTACTCCCAGTCTTTCCAGATGTTCTTCCCACTCCTCAACTGCTCCTGGCTCAGAAACCCTGCACACCTGGAAGAAAGTGAGAACCAGTTTTTCAACAAACACATTGCACAGACTTATTGTGAACCCCGGGTGGAATCAAGCATCGGAGGAAGAGAACGTGGTAAGTTTTATCACTCTACAGAGCACTTGAACTCTGCCTTCTTAGAAGAAATACCAGTGTTCTGGGGTATCTCTTGTGCCCAGGAAGCTCATGGGAGCATTCATTGCCTCAGTTAGGGGAAATCTCCAGAGAATATTTCTCTCATTTGAAGTAGAGATTCTAACTCATGCTTAGAGGATCATTTATACAAGATTCTTTTGGGAGCCTGGTTGTTTAACATCTGCTTTAGGGCAGGAGTATTTTTCTAAAAAAATACTTTATTTCTTTCTTATTAACAGTTGTCTACCCTACAAAGTTCCCGTGTGCAAACAGGATGGGTCTTAATTAGGCTGCAGAAGTTGTTGTGGAAATCCATTTGGCCTCAGGCCTCTGTATATGGCATGCTAAGACACAGAGAAGAATTACTCAGCCTGGGTGCCAGCTGAGATGCTCTACCCAGCTCTGCCCTGCCTTTTTGGAAGCTTTCTCTGTTTCCTTACTTTTGACATGTGGGGTTGTGAATTTGAGAGCTTCCTGAGATGTCAGCCATGAGAAGCCATATCTGTGTAATGCTACCTATGTAGTCTTCCAGACTTGAAAATAATCAGACGTATAAGTATTTGAAAGGCCAAACAAGGAAAACTATGAGCCAAAGAAAGACTGAAACAAGATGTGACAAGTCTCATGTAAATTGTTCATAATTCTGTTCTGATTCATAGTGGAGTTAAAATAACCTGTAAGCCCAACACTGCAGCTGGTTAACAGAGCACTGGTGTGTTTGTTTCCTCCAGTGAGGGCAGGCCAAGTGGAGGCCTGTGGGTGGGAGATCCCTGCAGATAAAAATGACTCTTCAAGGCCAAGTGGCCTGTTGGCTGAGGGTCTCAAAGATTTGGTAATCAGAGTTGGAGTATAACCAAAGAAGAGGCTGAGGAAAATCTGGATAGACCTTTCTGGGGGTGGTGGCCCCTTCTTTGCCTTTGCCCCACCCATTGCAGATTGTCTCTGGGAAAGCAAGTTCCCACAGCCCCGTTTTTTCTTCAGAGTAGGATTGACAAACTATCTACTTTAAGATTACCTAGACCACTTATTAAAATGCACACTTCAGGCCCTATTCCACGAAATCAGGAACTTTGTCCGTGCAGCTGAGAAATCTACTCTTCTAGAAAATACCCCAGATGACTCTCGGTATTAAAAGCTTGAAAACCACTGCCAAAGCCTAATAGGCAAATACTTTCTTGGACTCCAGCATAATCTAAGTTTTTCTTTAATTCAGGGAGAGAAGGATCTGTTATGATCCAGATGGGACATAAATGGGCAAGAATTTGATGCATCCCAGCACAGTTACTCAGTGTTTCAAAAAACGAATTAGCAAGTGTTTAAGCACTTTTATCATAGGAGAGGAGCTCAATAATGTTTGTTTTGCTTGTTAATTTGTTATAATGTCACCAGGGAGAGACACTCAGGCCATGTGGCAGGTTCTTGCCCTCAAAGAACTTCCGCTCTGTAAAATCCTGTGAAGTAACATATAATTAAGTACTAAATTACCTGGTAGGAAAGTTAAATGTTAGGTAAAAACCAAAGCCTGGCATAATCAGGAGAAGCTTCATGGAGGAGATGGGACGTAAGCTGAATTGTGAAGAATTGTTAGTTGTGGGGACCTTGAGAAAGAGGAGAGGAAGTTGCCGGCAAGAGGAAAATGATGTCCAGAGGCCTCAGGTGGGAGTGGGCTTGGGAGCTGGTGCTGCACCGGGAAGAGCAAGGTAGCTAGTGTAGAGGGATGATGGGAACTGGGAAAGGTAGGCTAGATTGCGCAGGACCTTAGAAACCAGGCAGAGAAATTCAGGCAAGAAAAGGGAGCTCCTGAAGCTATTGAAAGCCATGGGGTAGCAAGGATCCCACTGTTCCACAGTCAGTCCCCTCAGGGCCAGAGGAGTGCCCAATGCTGAGTGCCACTCGCTGCTAGTAGGGAAAGTGCTGAGACATCAGACACATCTGGGGAGATTCAGTGTTGGAGATGGGTGGCCAGGGGCAGATGGGGCAACAGAGGGCAGGCAATTCTGGGGCTGCTGGGCCCTGGCTGGCAGGAGAAAGGGGCAGCAAGTCAGCCCGGGGTGGCTGGAGTCAGATACAGAGTTGAGTCAAGGTCATGGGCTGTGGAATCTACAGTGGAGAGGGCCAGAGCTTCATAAGCAGGGCAGGAGGCCAAAGCAGACACTGAAGCTAGCAAGTAAGGAAAGACTTGGCACTGTGGAGTCTGAGGAATTAGTCTGATTATCTGTGGTGAAACGAGGCTCATGGGATATGCTCTTTGGAAATTCCAATAAAAAATCTGTGCTGGGCATTAAAGGACCATCTCCCATTGCATGGACAAGGAGCTGTGGGTTATACTCAGGATTGGTTTCCCCACATGGCAGGCTAGCCTGGCCATTCTACAGTCTGCCCAGAGCTGCAGCGTAAAGAGGCATTAGACGGTACATATTGTTGATTTCCAGGAAGTTACACTGCCCTACTTTAAGGTGATGCTCATTAGTCTGCAAACCTGGATGCTGAAGAAATCCATGTCATAGAAGGACAGAAGTCTTGTATCCTGTGCCAACTCTCATTGTTTGGTGGTGATTGCCTGGAGTGCTGGGGCTAGTCTGGGTTCTGCAGGAAAAAAGGTACTGATTGGTTAATGATATGTGCCATGGATGTGTGTGTGCGTGGAGTGGGAGGAGGTAAGTGAATGAGTGAATGATGGCACCAGTACCACCTATTTACTATGTCTGATTTGATCCCAACCTCCTGATCTCACAGGTGAAGAAATGGAAGCCCATAGATATTAAAAGTGTTATAGTGGTCACAGGACTCAGGGGTAGATCTGGGAGAGAGGCTGAGACTCCTGGTCTAGTGTTTTTTTTTCCTTTGGATCACAAAGCCTTCCAACCCTTCCACTCACCATGGGGCTGTCACACTGACTTCATTTTCCCAGTCCCACCCTTGGCTTCTGCTAGACTTTGCATTAGGAACTTGGCCACAGAACTAATTTGCACAATGGCCAAACTTGTTTCACATGTGATCAGGACTCTTGGGGGGAAGGATTCTAGGAAAAGAAATTGCAGATTGATTCAGAATTCCTGAGAGCTGGAAAATGCCATTAGGTAAGGGGATGGCAAGAGTTGACTGAGAGAGAGAGAGGGAGGAAGATTACTGTGGAAAGGTATCATGAGGGAAGCAGCAGTAGATTGTCACTACTTTTACAGAATTGAAGATGCACAAATTGAAGTTGGAGATTGTGGCTGCCCAAAGTGCAGAGTGGGCACATTGTGGGGAGGAGACAGCCTGATGGTTATTGAACAGTGTTGGGAGAGGTAACGTGCGGTTTTGGAAGGCATGTGGACAGTGGGGTCACCCAAAGCCCAGCTCTGCTGAAACAAAGTAGGCCCACAATAAATGTTAGCCAAAAAAGCCAGCTGTGCTTTCAGCATTTCATCCTCCCAACTCCACCTTGAGAGTGGATATGATTAGCCCAATCTATACCAAAATAGAAAGTGGCTGGGGTCTCAGAATGGCTAATGAACTCATCCAGGTATGCAAGTGGCTGATCATGTTACAGATTCCAAATCCCATTCTCTTTTCCCTGGTAGTGAGAATGTCTCCTGAGCATACCTGCTATTTAAGAGAATGAAAAGAGTTTTCTCTTTCTGCTTATTACCTTGCTCTTGGATGGAAAACAACCAGCTTCTAGTCTATGGGACAGGAATCTAACTTTATTCCAAATTCCTAGAGTAGAAATTAGCTCTGTGTGTTGTTCTTGAGTTGTATGCATGTTTTATTGAGGAATTAACTTCATAACAAAAGAGTATGATTGGAACTTTTATAATTGCACCTGTTACTTCTATTATTGAACTTCTCTCCCTCCCCTGTTTTATTGCTAAAAGAATCAGTGATAAATTATTTGTTTGGAGAAATGTGCAGCCTGCTGAGTCCAGACTGCCCTCATATGCTTTTGGTATCTAGACACATAAACTGTTGTTATTTGAATCTGTTTAAAGGAACTTCCAGCACATGCCCAGGCAGGGCCTCAGGGTGGGCGGAGCTCAGGTGGACTGCTGTCTCCATCAGGCTAATCACAGGGCAACGTGGCTCCCATCTTACTGCTAGCTTCAGAAATTAAACCTACACTTCCGGGGCCTGGTTGAAAACCACTGACTCTTCTGCCAAGCAGGAGCTGTGCCCTCAGGGACCATCTGCAGAGGTAGTGTGGCCAATTATGGGCATTCAAAGCAAGCCAACTGGTTTAAGCCATCTTTCGCTGCCAGTGTTGGCTGCTGGCAACAAAGCCAGAATCTGGAGGATGCTGGAGGAAGAGTCATCCCTGAGGTCTCTCTTCAGTCTCACAACTGCACTGTCTCTAATTTAATGTAGTCTGAGAGTCTCACAACCACACTGTGAGCCATGGAGCATCCGTTGATCTCATTGAATACATGAGGAAACCAGGACCCAGACCTATTATGTGACCTGTCCAAGGTCTCCTTGATCCTTAACAATGAAATGGAAACCCAGCTTTTACATTTCTTTAGAAATACTTATTTAAATGAAAAATATTACATTATTTTAATTATGCTGCTTCTTTCCGAAGAGAGATCATTATAACACAAGTGAAAAAAAAAAAGAAATTTTTAATACTTCTCTGCTTCCTTTTTTGGAGGGGAAGACAGCAAAATTATGACAACCAAAAAAACTTAACTACATGACGTTTCAACAGTTCCTACTGTCTTGCTTAAAAGACTTTGCAAGTGTTACATATTTTTGCTTTTAAAACACTGAATCTAAAAGTCTTTGCTATTATGATTTTTAAAATTTTTATGTACATATTTATTGGGAAGTAAGCTCATAGTAAAGAGCTTAGAAACTGCTATAAAAGTAGAAAACAAATGCCCTCCTAAAGTAAAAATTCAGAAATAACTATTTACTTTCCTATACTTCTTCAGGTTTTTCTTTTCTATGCCTACATATGTTTCTTAAACAAAATTAAGATTTTGCTGCATACAGTTTGGAGTCCTAATTTTTTTTTCCACTGGAGATTATATCATCCTATTTTTGTAATATTAAGATTCAAATGTATTATTAATTTTTTAAATTGCAAACAAAAATTATATATATATAGTATATAACATGATGTTTAGATAGATATATATTATGGAATAATTAAATCAAATTAGCATATCTATCACCTCACATACTTATTATTTTTGTGTGGTGAAAACACTTGAAATGTACTCTCTTAGCAACTTTCAGTTATATAATGCATTATTATTAATTATAGTCACTATGTTGTATCAAATACATTATTTTTAATGGCTGTGTAATATTTTCCCATTCCCTTCTTGAAACATTTTCTTCTTGGCTGCTGGAACATTTCTTTCTTGGTTCTCCTCCTTAGAATCTTCTAAGTCTCTTTTGTAGAACCTCTTCATCTCTTCTCAGTCTCTAATAGCAGGAGGTGCCCCAGAACTCAGTCCTGAGGCCTCAGACCTCTCCTAGTCCTTCTCCATCTGCGTTCACTTGCCAGGAGTGCCCATCAAGCACCATGGCTTCAAATACTGTCCACCCATCCCCAAGAACTCCCAGATTCTATCTCCAGCCTCAACTTTCCCCGGAATACTGCCTATTTGACATCTCCACTGAGATGATTAATGACATACTAAACTTACTGTGTCTTAAGCTAAACTTCTAATGAACCTGCACTCCACGTTCCCCTTCTCAGCAAATGGCAACTTCATCCTTGACCTCAAACCTCCAGGCCTCAAACCTCATCTGAGGTCTTCTCTGACTCTTTTCTCTTACATCACACATCCAGTCCTTCACAAAACCTGCTAGTCTCACCTTTTGAGTAGTTCCAGAATCAGATACCATTCCCATCTCACCTCACCTTCCCTGCAGCCGCACTGGCCCAAGCCATCTTCATCTCTCGGTTGGATGATTTCAGGAGCCCCCTGAGGGGTCTTTGCCTGGATTCCATCCTGGTCCCATGACAGTTTATACTCAACAAAGTAACCAGATAATGTTATGGATCTGCTCAAACCCTCAAAGGCATTGCAATGTCACTGCCAGTAAGTGTCTCTATCTCCCACTGCTGCCTCTATCCCACACCCCTCTGGCCCTTATCCACTCTGCTCCGGCCACACAGGTGTCCAGCTTCCTCTCCCTTTGGAACTTTGCTTTGCTGTGTCCTGACCTGATAGGTTCTGTCCCCAGATGCCTGCCTATCTTGTTCCCTCCTTGCTTAAGGTTCCTGTTCAAATTCCATCTTACCTGTGAAACTCTCTACATAGTCTTTATAAAGAGCAGTCTCTCTACCCAATACTCCTTTCCCTGCAATCTTACCTATTTTAATTTTTCTGCATCTTGCTTTTTCTGTGTGGCATGTATATTCATTTCCTAGGGCTGCCATAACCAAGTACCACAAACTGGGTGGCCTCAAACAACAGAAATTTATTCTCACCTTGTTCTGGAGGTCAGAAGTCCGGAATCAAAATGTCGGCAGTGTTGGTTCCTTCTGAGGGTTCAGAGGGAGAATGTGTTCCACGCCTGTCTCCTAGCTTCTTATAAATGGCTGGCAAACCTTGGCATTCCATAGCTTGTGGATGTATCACTCCAGTCTCTGCCTCCATCTTCACATGGCCATCTTCCCCCTGTGTCTCTCTCTTCTTATAAGAACACCAGCCATATTGAAGTAAAAGCCTATTCTACTCTATTATGACCAATTTAATGTAACTATTTACATCTGCAATGATCTTATTTCCAAATAAGTTTACATTCTGAGATCCTGGGGGTTGGACTTTAACACATCATTTTTGGAGGACCCATTCAACCCGTAACAGCATACAAAGTACTTACTAGTTGATTTCTTTAGTACCTGTCTTTACCCACAAAAACATAAGCTATTTCTGTTCACTGATGTATCCTCCATGACTAAAATACTTGGTACAGAGTAAGCATTCAGTAAATACTTTTTAAATGAATGAATAACTATGGAAATCCCATTTTCTAATCTTTTCTAAACACCTTGCTAATGTAAATACTGGTATAGTGAAAGTTTTTATGCATAATTATTCACCTACATCTTGGATTGTTTCTTTGGGATATGTTCCCAGAGATAGATTCAACTCAATCTACTACCCCTTATCCTAGTGCTGGCCTGTGCTGCATGAATAGGGAAATCCTATTCATTCAGATGTTGCTCAAATGGAATTTGTGGTGACTTGAAGGAAAGGGTGACCTGGTTCATCTTTGCTGTTTGTTAAGCAAATTAAGGGTGGAGTCAAAGTTTTAGTGGGCAGTAACTCAAATCCTAAAGATTATATGTGGTTATATAACCTTTTTTCCTATTTAAGAATTGGTTTGCCTTTTCCCCAAGTTTTTGCGTAACTTCATAGTTATATTTAATGGCCAGTATTAGAAAATCTTATTTCACAATCTGTTATTATTGGGCATTTAGTTTCTTTCTGATTTGGGGGTATTATAAATAATGTTGTAACGTCTATTTTCAAACATATATTTTTCCCCTCACATCAGTATTTTCTCTTTAGTGTAAATTCTTAAGAATCAAAGACTCTCAAAATGCCCAAGCGATTAAATATCTTTATGGTGTTTGATATATTTACTTCTTTCATTTGAATCACATGGGCCGAAGGGTATATCCGTACATTTTTTAAAACACATTTTACTTACACATTCATCTTTTAAGAAAAATGGCCCAACTCTTTTTGCCAGTATTGTTATAATCATTAGTTGGTTCATGTTCATTCTTTCTTAGGGAGTGGAGCTTCCTGTTAAGTGGGTACCACCTGCAGGACCTGGGCCAGGCTCAAAGCTGAAAGCAACTCTGTGTGGACTGCCTATAAGGGAGCCAATCACCCTTGGGAGGTTGGCAGAGACTGTGCCCATTAAATCCCTCCATACCATGCAGTGCTAAATGGCCCAATCAAATCCTCTATTTAGAAGAATATATATCAGATGATTAAAGAGAAAGCTGATGACTCAGCTTTAGGCTGTTGTTTTTTCTGGAGCAATAGTGAGCAAATATCACTGGTTGTTTACGATACTGGCTGCACATTTTAATGGGTAAACCAATGTCCCTGAATACCTACACCGCTGATCAATAATGCCTCCTTTTGCTGGCCTTTCCCATGGTTCTTTGAAATAAACTTTTATGTTGGTTAACAATTTGTGCATATTACTTCCTTGTAACCCTGAAGGAATGGCTAGTAGAGCCAGTACAATAGTGCTTTACAGAAGGGAGTACCCCCTGATAATCCTGCCAGTGGTAATGCCTATAAGCAGCTGGGTCCCAAATTCACCAATTCCGAGAGTTGTCACTAAAACCTTTTTTTTTGGGCAGGGGGATCAGGTTCAACATGGTGTTGATTTTTTTTTTGGTTATTAGTTAGAAAAATTGAGTACTTAAATGGTCCTTACTTATTTTAAGCCAAGTTCACTAATAGAGAAACTGGCCTCTGGAAAATTGGCCTTTAGTGTTGACTGCTAAGTAATGTTCTTCATTTACTGGGGGAATTCATCTAATATTGACTTCAAATTATTCAACAATGAAATCATAGATTTACTGTAGACACAATAGTCCTCAAGCTTACAGAATTTGGGAGCCCCTATTGTCTACTTGAAACTATCATTTTGTTTCTGTCATTCGCATATGTACAAGTCATGGCTAACTTGATTGCTTTGGTGTTTTCCCAGGTAATATTGACTCCAATCCAGAAGACAGTCATCAGTTAAGTAAATAAAACAGGAACAGAACATTGGTACTTACAGTAGGCATGATTTTAAGATAAACCCCAATGAGTCATATCCTTGTATAATCTCCTCCCCTTGAGTGTTGTTGGAGCTAATGAGTTGCATTTAGTGAACAGAATATGGCAAAGATGGTGGGATCGTCACTTCCGTGGTTATGTTATTGCTATGTAAACTGCCATTATAGCAGACTGGAAGGATTGATTCTCCTTTTGGCCATGACGTAGTGAGGTACCATGTGACAAGAAACTGCAGGCAGCCTCCTGAGTCTGAGAGTGGCCCCTGGCTGACAGCTAGCAAGAAAACAGGGACCTCAGTCCTCCAGCTTCAAGGAAGTGAACTCTCTGAAATCACATACACATGGAAGAGGACCCCAAACTCCAGACTCCAGAAAAGAATGTAGCTGTGTCGACACCTAGATCACAGCCTTGTGAGACCCTGAGCAGGGGACCCAGTTAGGCTGTGCCTCAACTCCTGACCTATAGAAACTGAGATGATAAATGGGTGTTGTTTTAAGCCACTAAACTGGGATGTGTTATGAAATGACAGAAATTTAATACAGTCTCCGTATTCAGGGTGGAGTGTAAGGGAGTGTGTTTAAATCTCAGCTTTGCTACTTATTAGATGTACAACCATGGCAAATTACTTAACCCCTCTGAATCTGTTACCTTTATGGTAAAATAGGAACAAAAATTATACCTATTTCAGGATGATGAAGAGGGAATGAAATGGTACACGCTGAGTCACTTAACGTGGTACCTGACACATAGTAACTTCTCAATGCATGTTTTTCATTGTCATCAGAGGTTGGACATTTTAAATTCCATAATCCTAAATGTTTTTTTCATTATTTTTTTCCATGTTGCTCATGTTTTGAAGATTTTCATTTATCATATTACCTGATTTTATTTATTAAGTAATCATTCATTTTCATTTCCTCATCTATTTTTTTTCTTTTCTTTTTTTGAGATGGAATCTCGCTTTGTCACCCAGGCTGGAGTGCAGTGGCGCAATCTTGGCTCCTGAGTATCTGAGAATACAGGCGCGCGCCACCACGCCCAGATAAATTTTTTGTATTTTTTTAGTAGAGACAGGGTTTCACCATGTTACCCCGGCTGGTCTCGAACTCTTGACCTCAAGTGATCCACCTGCCTTGGCCTCCCAAAGTGCTGGGATTACAGGCGTGAGCCACCACACCCAGCCCTCCCCATCTATTTCTAATTCATGACCTACATACAGCTTCTGATTAGCTTGGGGTATTCTTAATAGATTAATTATAATTAATGTAGTTTGGCTAAAAGCAGACATTTAGTGTTATAGTTAGTAGAATTTCCCTTAACTTTTGAAATATAAGAAATGAATTGTTGAACTTTGCCAGATTAACATTTGGAACCACAGTATTAGCTGATTGATGGTAAATAGGCATTGGGTGACTTTCTGCAGCTAAGCAAGGCAATCATGATTTGCCTTTATATGCCAGCATATTTGCTCAGGTATTGCTGGATGGGTGAGAATGGCTGAAAAGAAAATTGTTAGTTCAAGTGAAGGAAGGAAGTGCCCAGAAAGAAAAAGAAGATAAAATATTAACATTATTTAGGTACTTAATGGCTGGGAATTAACTTATGAATCACAAAAGTTTTAGGAATTGTTGTGCAATGTCAGTATTTAAATTATGGTAAAATGAATAAGTATGCTTCATTTATGTTGTGTTTATAGTAAAATGCTCTTATTTTGTAATTTATTTTGTGTATAATAAAATAAGAGCATTTTAATCTATAATTATAATATTTGAAGTATGATTGCTACTCTTTCTTTAGTGCTTTATTTCCTCTTTGAATATTATCTAAAATACTGCATTATATTATGTTATTAATATCAAGGCCTAATGTATTCAGTTTCTAGATGAACGATTTTCAAGTTGATTACAGACTTGATAGGGAATTATATTTATTTAATAGAAGTCTCTTTTGTACAATCTTAGCTAAAATTCTGAGAAACAAGAAAAAGCTATGTTATAAGGAACTAGTTCATCTGCTGTAAAAGTACACTGACATTTTAAAGTGCAAAAAACCAAAATACAGCTTAAGAAGTATGTCTGAAAAGTTAATGTTAAATAAATTAGATTTTCCAGGTTATACTCTGTATACGCCCTGAAAAAGTTCTGCAATACAACGCATAGAAAACATACACATACTCACACAACAGACACATAATACATAAAACACCCACAGTGCACACACGCAAAACACACAAATGGCAACCCCTATAAGCATACTAAGGTCTCTGAGAAGTCCTACAATAGAGACCTACTAAGTTTTGTTTAATCATGTGCTTCTCCAGTTGATCTCAGAATCCTTCCCCCACCGTCACAGGTAACCCTGATTCCTGATGACTTTGTGTTCCTTGGAACACACTTTATGAATGACGGCTCTATGAGATTTTTCCCAAGGAAAACTATTACATAGGAGAAGTGTAAGATGCCCTCAACATTTATGGGTAAAAAACAGATACCACCATTAAAATAACCCATATATCAGAAACAATACCTCCAAATTATGTGAAGAACATTGAGAATTCTTGCAGGGACTGAAAATCTTTATTTCCTTCTGGAATCCAGGTTTTTTCTTTTGGTGTTATGTACAGATAAAGCCAGGTCTATCTGCAGGTGATCACTGTGCTGCTAGTCTCTGTTCACATTGGTAGAAAGATGTCGTTGGGCAGTAAAAGATGGTCATCTTCCTGCAAAATGAGTCAGTAACCCAAGGGTGAAAGCTGTGTCTCCCCCACAAGTTCTATCAGCATCTTTTGACTTGACAGCACAATTGGGAGCCTTATCCTTTCTGCATTCCTGACACAGAGGACCAAAGGCCACTCCTCAACAACTTGTACCGCTCTCTCTGTTTATTCCATAAAGAATGAAAAAGGAATATATTTCCACACTTTAAGACTATATGGTGGGGCATTTGGAGGGTGCTTACTCTGATAATTAAAAGGATTTTATCTTCATAAGGAAATCGACATTTGCTGTCAGGATGCCAGACCACAATTCTATAGAAGCTTTTCTCTTTTTTTTTGATTGATATGGTTTGGCTGTGTGTCTCCACCCAAATCTCATGTCGAATTGTAATCCCCATATGTGAGGGGATGCTCCTGGTGGGAGGTAATTGGGTCATGAGGGTGGATTTCCTCCTTCCTGTTTTTGTGATAGTGAGTGAGTTCTCACGAGATCTGATGGTTTAAAAGTGTATGACACTTTCCCCTTCACTCTCTGTCTCTCCTGCTCTGCCATGGTAAGATGTGCTTGCTTTCTCTTCATCTTCCACCATGATTGTAAGTTTCCTGAGGCCTTCCAACCATGCTTCCTGTCCAGCATGTGGAACTGGAACTGTGAGTCAATTAAACCTCTTTTATTCATAAATTACCCAGTCTCAGGTAGTTCTTTATAGCAATGTGAGAACGGACTAATACAGAAAATTTGTATCAGGAAAGTGGGGCATTGCTTTAGAGATACCTGAAAATGTGGAAGCAACTTTGGAATTGGGTAACAGGCAGAGGTTGGAACAGTTTGGAGGGTTTAGAAGAAGACAGGAAGATGTGGGAAAGCTTGGAACATCCTAGAGACTTGTTGAATGGTTTTGACCAAAATGCTAATAGTAATATAGACAATAACATCCAGGCTGAGATGGTCTCAGATGGAGATGAGGAACTTATTGGGAACTGGAGTAAAGGTCACTGTTATGCTTTAGCAAAGAGACTGGCAGCATTTTGCCCCTGCCCTAGAGATTTGTGGAACTTTAAACTTGAGAGAGATGATTTAGGGTATCTGGCAGGAGAAATTTCTAAGCAGCAAAGCATTCAAGATGCGACCTGGCTGTTTCTGCAAGTGCATGCTTATATGTGTGAACAAAGAGATTATCTGAAACTGGAACTTATATTTAAAAGGGAAACAGAGCATAGCAGTTTGGAAAATTTGCACCCTGGCTATGTGGTAGAAAAGAAAGACCCAGGCTGGGCGCAGTGGCTCACACCTATAATCTCAGTACTTTGGGAGGCTGAGGTGGGCGGATCACCTGAGGATGGGCGTTTGAGACCAGCCTGATCAACTTGGAGAAACCCCGTCTCTACTAAAAATACAAAATTAGCCAGGTGTGGTGGCGCATGCCTATAAGCCCAGCTACTCGGGAGGCTGAGGCAGGAGAATTGCTTGAATCCAGAAGGCAGAGGTTGCAATGAGCTGAGATCGTGCCATTCCACTCCAGCCTGGGCAACAAGAGTGAAACTCCATCTCAAAAAAAAAAAAAAGAAGAAAGAAAAGAAAAAAAAGACCCATTTTCTGGGAAGACATTCAACCTTGTTGCAAAAATTTGCATAAGTAAAGAGGAGCTGAATGTTAATAGCCAAGGCAATGGGGAAAATGTCTCCAGGGGATTTCAGAGACCTTCAAGGCAGCCCTTCCCACTGCAGGCCTGGTAGCCTAGGAGGAAAAAATGGACTGATGGACCAGGCCTAGGACCCTGCTGCTCTATGCAACCTTGGGACATGGCACCCTGTTTCCCAGCTGCTCCAGCTCCAGCTGTGGCTAAAAGGGGCCAAGGTGCAACCCAGGCTGTTGCTTCAGAGAATGCAAGCCCCAGGTTTTGGAAGCTTCCACATGGTGTTGGGCCTGCAGGTGTGCAGAAGGCAAGAGTTTGGGAGCCTCTACCTAAATTTCAGAGGATGTGTGGAAACACTTGGATGTCCAGGCAGAAGTCTGCTGCAGGGAAAGAGCCTTCATGAAGAACCTCTACTAGGGCAGTGTGGAGGAGAAATGTGGGGTTGGAGCCCCAACAGAATCCCCACTGGGGCACTCCCTAGTGGTGCTGTGAGAAGGCAACCATCCTCCAGACCCCAAAATGGTAGATCCACTGACAGCTTGCACTATGCACCTGGAAAAGCTGCAGGCACTCAATGCCAAGCCGTAAAAGCAGCTGCAGGGGTTATACCCCAGAGCCACAGAAGTGGAGCTTCCCAAGGCCTTGGGAGCTCACTCCTTGCATCAGCATGCCCTGGATATGAGACATGGAGTCAAATGAGATTATTTTGGAATGTTAAGATTTAGTAACCACCCTGCTGGGTTTCATACTTGCGTGGGGCTTATAGCCCCTTTGTTTTGGCCAATTTCTCCCTTTTGGAATGGAACATTTACGCAAGCCTGTACCCCCATTGTATCTTGGAAGTAACTAACTTGTTTTTGATTTTACAGACTTACAGGTGGAAGGGACTTGCCTGGTCTCAGATGAGACTTTGGACTTGGACTTTTGAGTTAATGCTGAAATGAAATAAGACTTTGAGGGACTGTTGGGAAGGCATTATTGGTTTTGAAATGTGGGAAGGATATGAGATTTGGGAGGGGCCAGGGGTGAAATGATATGGTTTGGCTCTGTGTCCCCACTCAAATCTCATAGCAAATTGTAATCCCCACATGTCGGGGAAAGGGCCTAGTGGGAGGTGATTGGATCATGGGAGCAGATTTCCCCCTTGCTGTTTGACATTCCTGCTTTCCCTTCACCTTCTATCATGATTTTTGTAAGTTTCCTGAGGCCTCCACCCATGCTTCCTGTACAGCTTGTGGAACTGTGAGTCAATTAAACCTCTTTCCTTCATAAATTACCCAGTCTCAGGTAGTTCTTTATAGCAATGTGAGAATAGACCAATACAATGATTATCTGTTTATTATCTAAAAGATGCAGTCCTAATTAAACTTTCTGTTTATATTAACCCTAATATTTTGATCTTCATTTTTTTAACTTTGTGAACAGTAGAGTTTTATCCAAATGTGAAGTTTTATACCTTCACAGCTATCACTCCAATAAAGATATTTATTCTATTAAACAAAACATTTTAAAATGTTTTAACATATACAAATATATTTACAACATAATCTGCCAACTAAAGACTCCAACAAAGTTTACAGTACCTAAAACAGAATACAGATGCCTACAATAGTTTGCAGACTGATTTAGTTCACAGTTACATCTATTGCTTTAAGAAATGCCATTAATACAAATGCATGATTTACAGTATTCCCATTACAGCAAGAAAAAATAGATTTATAAAGTAAGGTGTCCTTTAGGTATTTATTATGCCAAGTATATCAAGTATTTACTTTTTTTTCCTTTTTTTTGAGACAGGGTCTTGCTGTGTCCCTAGGCTGGAGTGCAGTGGTGCAGTCTCAATTATGCCAGGTACTTAAATGATTATTCTCATTATGACATAAGAATAATGGTCTTTTAGTGATGAAAGATAAATTGTATTGGCTCAAAGACCACTGAAGAGCTTCCAGGAGGTTCCAAAGTAAAATCTGGCTATTCTTTATGTGAAATAAATAGAATAGCAGCAATCTCAGTGTATTCCTTAAACATAAACCAATGTGATTCCATTTATGTTCATTGGGCCTTAAGTAAATGACTTGTTACAAATAAAAATCGAATTTTAGAAACTAGTTAACACCACTGGTCTAAGTTTGCTTTTTTGGGTTTTTTTTTTTTTTTTTTTTTTGAGACAGAGTCTCGCTCTGTCACCCATGCTGGAGTGCAGTGGCCCGATCTCAGCTCACTGCAAGCTCTGCCTCCCGGGTTCATGCCATTCTCCTGCCTCATCCTCTCAAGCAGCTGGGACTACAGGTGCCCACCACTATGCCCGGCTAATTTTTTGTATTTTTAGTAGAGACAGGGTTTCACTGTGTTAGCCAGGATGGTCTCAATTTCCTGACCTCATGATAGCCAGGACGGTCTCGATCTCCTGACCTCATGATCCGCCCACCTTGGCCTCCCAAAGTGCTGGGATTACAGGCATGAGCCACTGTGCCAGGCCGTAAGTTTGGTATTTAATTGCTTGCATATGTCTGAGACATTTTACCATGAAGTACATATTAAAAATTAACAATTATTTCTAACTTATACATAAGCCAAAATGCTCACTCTTTTTTTTGTAGGAAAGTTAGAGATTGTATATTATTGAAAAAGTTCATTTTCCAGGGCTTCAAAATGACCAGGGGAGTCAAGAGACACTATCATGGAATCAAACAATGAATTTTTGTATTAACCTATGTGTACATTGACTATTTCACATTGACTAAGCTGCCTTAGCTAGAAAAACAAGGTTCTGTCATTTCTTTCCTGATCTTTTCCTTTCCTTCCTTATTCACCAAGGAGGATGGCCCAGCAGCATCTCAGCCTACGCTTTTTAACTCACCTTCTCTATACCCTCTACCCAATGTCCACATCAACCAAGGATCCCTGAAGGATTCTTTAACAGCACCAATGTACTGACCATTACTCTACATTTTTCTAGATGGCTCTGAGGTCCAAGTAAAAGATAATATTTGCAACCAACTCACTGGAGTTGACCATCAAAACTCTTTTCCAGGTAAGGTCTCCTTCATTATCTGAGGCAGAAATTTTTTATTGCTTTCTTTCTATTCCAATTGAATTAAGATATGACAATCTTCCCATGTACATCAAAGATGACTTACAGAATTTCTTGGTGGGCTATAAGGTGGGAGTCCATCACCAACTAAGATTTCAAGATGGCATCCATAGATGAGCACATCGGTTACAAACTGTATGGAAGAGAGCTTTTTCCTACC
Organism: Homo sapiens; assembly: GCF_000001405.40. Taxonomy (NCBI): domain Eukaryota; kingdom Metazoa; phylum Chordata; class Mammalia; order Primates; family Hominidae; genus Homo; species Homo sapiens. The sequence continues at coordinate 51,349,964 of NC_000014.9, forward strand.
ATAAACATTTTTTTCTTCTCAAAAAAGAGTTTGCAATTTGCAACCAAATGGACTGGAAAATCTGGCACAAAAATCCTGGGCCTTTTCCACAAGTGTCCTGTCTGCTTTATTTGGGGCCATTACTTTGACCACTATTTCCCAATGGGTTTTGTAATGTCATAAGTTAACAAAAGACCTGTGCAAACAGGATACAGCATGGTCTGATGCTCATAGACTTTTCTGTAATTACAGGCACACTCAGGCATCGCAGAAAATAATATGTATTGTGGAATCCCTCACTTGATGAATAATCTAGATGATCAGAAATGTGGCACTATTTTGGCTTTCAGGTGGAAAAGCACCCTGAATCCAGCTTCCTGCTATGAATGAATACTGAGCTTGGGTTGGTGGAAATTGATTTTCGAGATAAGTAAGTATGGCCATATTCTAAGGTTCCTGGAATCAACTGTGTTCCCTTTAGGTGGTGTGGGATTTTGTGCATGGGACTGGGTATGCCTATGTGTGAATCCAAGTGGTGTGATTCTGAGTGTTTGTGCATGTGTTCTTGGCAAAATGCTCACTCTTACCATGGAAGCAAAACTCACTTCTGAAAATAGCCTACTCATATAATATGTAAACACATGGAGCTTTGAGATAGACTAAGAACATGCTCCTATGTTCTATGGATCAAAATGCAAAGGTATCTGTACATATGTAAATGAAGACATTTTTGTTAATTTGGGATATATTGATATTACATAACTATGTGCATACCTATATAGACCATAAAACAAATTTTGACAATGTTTCTAATGACAACATACTTTCTAAGCCCCAAATACTGGACATAAATATGAAAATGAGTTTTTCTGTTTTTAAATACAGTTTTTAAGTGGAAAAGCAAAACCAACACTCTCCGTTATAACATGGACTGGCCTTTAAAAGGTTCAGAGTCAAAAACCTCTTGTTGTTCCCCAATGTGATAAAACACATAAGCTTTCTCTCTCTGGTGAGGAAGTCTGATCATCTCTAGTGTTTTGTCTTAAAAATTGCTTTCCAGGATAGGTCGGGCGCAGTGGCTCACACCTGTAATCCAGCACTTCGGGAGGCTGAGGCAGGCAGATCACCTGAGGTCAGGAGTTCGAGACCAGCCTGGCCAACATGGTGAAACCCCGTCTCTACTAAAAATACCAAAATTAGCCGGGCATGGTGGTACCACGTTTCTCAGTCCCTAGAGCCTTTCTTTCTTTCTTTTTTGTTTTTTTCAAGGAAGCGTTTTGCTGTGCCACCCAGGCTTGAGTGCAGATTTGAGACCATGGCTTACAGCAGCCTCGACCTTTCCTGGCCAAGAGCCTTTCTTTTTTTTTTTTTTCTTTTTTTGAGACGGAGTCTCGCTCTGTTGCCCAGGCTGGAGAGCAGTGGCGCCATCTCGGCTCACTATAAGCTCCGCCTCCTGGATTCAAGCCATTCTCCTGCCTCTGCCTCCCGAGTAGCTGGGACTACAGGCGCCCGCCACCATGCCCTGCTAATTTTTTGTATTTTTAGTAGAGATGGGGTTTCACTGTGTTAGCTGAGATGGTCTCGATCTCCTGACCTTGTGATCTGCCTGCCTCGGCCTCCCAAAATGCTGGGATTACAGGCGTGAGCGACTGCGCCCGGCCACCAAGAGCCTTTCTTAGCACCAACTGTGTACATTGTGTACTGCCCTTTAGCCTTTGCGCTTTGCAGCCTAATCCAAACCAACTGCTGAACGAGACACGCGTCTCCGCAGTCTCCGAGTCTTCATGGCTTTGGTTGTTAATCACTCTCAGCAATAGCCAAATCCCTTCCTCCACGCTGGTCTGTTCTCCCTAACTGAAAATGCAAGTGAAGGTGGACGGTTTGCCGTTCTGAGGAGCCCCTTATCAGTAATAATGTAGCAACTTCAGAAAAGTTAGCTGAGCAGCCTAGAGAAATAAGCAAAGGCCAGAATGTAGAAAGCCTTGACTCCATGCTGCTTCATGAGAACAGGGGTTCTTAGACCTATCAGAGCAGCAGCACCTTTTGACAGCGAATGCTTTCCATCTTATCAAAGGTGGTGTCACCTTTCTTCAAAGCAATGCGGCTGAAACTCTCGACCAAGTTCTCCGCAGCTTCTTCATCTTGCGGATCTTCTCGCCCGGCTGCAGCTCAAAGAGGTGGCACCTCTGGGCAACGCAGGGCCCCGGCAACGTCCCCAAACTAGTGGAGAGCAGGCGCGCGCCAAGGCCTGCTCCTCCTCCACACGCCTTCGGCGGCTCAGGAGGTGGGGCGGCGGCGTCTTCCTTGGTGCCAGGCCTACGTAAGTTTTCCTTAAAGCCTAACTGACAATTCCGCACAGGAAGCCTGTATTGCTGAAATTAGAACAAAAGGCCTATGTACCTTAATGCATTCATATTTCATATTTTAAATAAAACCATGGTTTCCCACAGAGTGACTTCTACTCTAAGAAATGGGGCCAGGAGCGGTGGTTCACACTTGTAATCCCAGCACTTTGGGAGGCTGAGGCAGGTGGATCACTTGGGGTCAGGAGTTCAAGACGAGTCTGGCCAATAGGGTGAAACCCTGTCTCTATTAAAAATACAAAAAAAAAAAAAAAAAGAAAAAAGAAAAAAAATAACCTGGCGAGGTGGCGGATGCCTGTAGTCCCAGCTACTCAGGGGGGTGAGGCACAAGGACCGCTTGAACCCGGGAGGCAGAGGTTGCAGAGTCGATATCGCGCCGTTGCACTCCAGCCTGGGCGACAGAGTCAGATTCTGTCTCTAAATAAATAAATAAATGTATGTATGTAAAGAAATGTAATATCCTGGCAACTTCTAGATAAGCTTTTTATTAGTAAATTACCTATTTATTAAGGTACAGTGAAGGAAAGAACTTGCTAAAAATTATTTTGATTCGGTTCACTCAATATTTGAATACGTGCAAGACATTTTGCTATGCATTTTGCCTCTTGATCTATAAGCAAGAAGTAAATATATATTTTCATCCTTCCAGAATAATTTTCACCCGTATTTGATGGGTATTTGTAGACTGAACATGTGCCAGAGCCAATCTGTCCTTTCTTCTTAAACTCATAGGACTAACCAGGCTGGCAAGTGGTAAATGACACCAAACTAGGCTAGATTCATAGGAATTTAAAAATGTCAATGGACAATATCTACTCACAAACAGATTTTCTAAAAAAATGAAAAAATTTCTTTATCACCATGCTGAGTTGACATATTACCATCCTCTTCTAACCTTTTTTTTTTTTTTTGAGACGGAGTCTCGCTCTGTCACCCAGGCTGGAGTGCAGTGGCGCTATCTCAGCTCACTGCAAGCTCCCCCTCCTGGGCTCACGCCATTCTCCTGCCTCAGCCTCCAGAGTAGCTGGGACTACAGGCGCCGCCACTGTGCCTGGCTAATTTTTTTTGTTTGTTTTTTTTTTTTGTATTTTTAGTAGAGATGGGGTTTCAACATGGTCTCGATCTCCTGACCTTATGATCTGCCCACCTCGGCCTCCCAAAGTGCTGGGATTACAGGCATGAGCCACCGCGCCCGGCCCTCTTCTAACCTTTTCATAGTGGCATCTCGAGTTGAAACACCAGAGCCAACAGTTTGAAATACACATATGGTTTAGGAGGCTGTGTTGCTATAGGACATTTCTGCCCTATCAATGGTACAGAGACAGGAACTTCCTTAGCTCTTTTGCCTGAGGTCATTTGTAGAGACTCAAGTCTCAGTGATGGGATTCGGAGGGCTGCCTGTTAATTTTCGAGAGTGGGTTGTGATGGTTATGTTTATGTGCCCACTTCGCTAGGCCATGATATTCAGTCAAGCTTTCTAGATGCTTGTGTGAGCTATATTTACGTGAGGTAAACATTTAAATCAGCAGACTCTGACTAAAGCAGATTGCTCTCCAAAATGTGGTGACCCTCACCCAATCAATTGAAGGCCTTAAAAGAAAAAAGGCTGAGCTGTTTTGAGGCAGAGGGAGTTATACCAGCAGGCTGCCTTCCAACTTGAGATGCAACATCTTGTCCCTGGGTCTTCAGCTTGCAGGCCTACCCTGCAGATTTTGGACTTGTTAACCTCCATAATCATGTGAGCCAGCCAATTCTTCAAAATCAATCTGTCTCTCTCTCTCTACACACACACCCACCCACCCTTTCAGTTCTGTTTTTCTGGAGAACCCTGACTAATTGATGGGTAGCCTTTAATATGCTTCATTGTCAAACCCATGAGCGGCTTCATAAAAACAATCTGGGATGGCAAGGAAGACTTTTTTGGCTTGGTTCCCAAATTTGGCTTTGACCTTTGCCTAGACTTTGGCCCCTGAATTCCCCCATGAAAACCCTGTGACTGACCCTCAGGACCCAGCTGTCTCTGCCTCTTGAATAACACGCCAAGCTCCCTTACATAGAGCTGAGTCTGAGCCACTAGGCATTTTTCTCTCCAGCTAAAATTACACGGGACTCACTCCTAACTTTGCACAATTTAAGAATCGATTCAGAATTTAACTAGTGAGCATGTCTGAGTTCCAATATCATACAAGGTTAATTCATTAATACTTGAAGATTCAAACAGCATTTTCCTGTACTTGCCCTTTTCAACTCACATAGAGGTGACCCTGTTCTATTATAGTGCCATTTTATACAATTTTGGTCCATTTCTGCTCATGCTTTCCACTACACCCAATGCTGGAGAGAGGACCTATAAAACACTAACCCATGGCGTCACTTGTGTAAATACCGTAATCTATGTACATGATCCAGCTGTGAATGTTGGTAATATTCATAATTATAATGCTCATATTTACTGAGTGCTCACTATGTGCCAGGCATTACTTTGTAGGTACTAAACCCTTTAATGCTCACACCAATCTTAAATGAGGTAGGTGCTATGATTATCCCCATTTTATAGATGAGGAAATTAAGCCACACCCTCAATGGCACCATAAATAGTAGATGACCCCTGAGATTGTTCAGCTGCACTGACTGGCAGCCATTCCTGATGCTCTGCTGCTGGCCTTGGGAATTTCTCCTTCTGCTTCTATCCACAAGGGCACACAGCATGGCAATCCCCTAATCCTGCCTTTGAGGATGCTACCCTGAGAAGCAGAGCCTGTGGCTCTTTGCATCCCACCAGGGAGCAAAGCTCTTCAGTCTTAGATTTTTTTCTGGCTGATCCTCTTTTCTCAGGATGCTGCGGCTTCTGTTCTAGTGTCTAATTTGTCATCATTCCTTTTTTTCCTGCTCACCCCAACATGTGGCCCCTACTTGTTTTTGTGTTATGTTTCTGTGCCCTGTCCCTTCTCCGGAGGGTCTCAGGAAACATCCTGGTGGGCTCAGCATGCTAGGGGCTGCTCTTCACCTTCTCAGCTCCTTTTGATGTAAACTGTACTGCAAGACTGAGGGCTTTGGATAGTTGAGGCTTTTTTTTATCCATACAAAAAATACACTGACTCACCTCTCCTGACTTGTACATAAGATTATCTTGACTCTCTTCACATATCTTGTTCCTTAACCAAAGTCCAATACTGCTTATTTCATTTAAGTATGACTTCAATGAACTTCTTAATTTGAAGAGTTGTAAGTTCTCAGTGATTCTGGTGAAATGTTTTCTTAACTTTGAGATGACTGTCTTCTCTTCCTGTAAGTCACTGAAGAAATCTTCCTAAAGTGAAACAAGCCTTTCTTCATGTCTCTCTTTGGAGCAGACTTCAACTGGCCCTTTAACATGCCCCTCCTTTGAGCAGAGGCACACTTCTTCTCTGTGTGTCTTTGTATCCCCTTATACACCAGGAATCCATGGAGCCCATCATACCAGGTGCCCATAGCATGGTAACTAGGAAGTAGCATAAAAAATATTACCCTACAAAAAAGGAGAGCTGTTACAACCCAATTCATTAATTCCTGGTAGAATTGAAGGGTTAGGTCCTGCTAGACCTGGGTAGATTGGGCTGTCACTGTCGGGAGGCAAGTATAGGCAGGAAAGAGCTGACAGAGTAGGTCTGAGACTTCAGAGCAGAGCCCTACAGTCAGAAACAGAGGTAGTGGCTCCTGGTGGCCTCTGGCACAGACACTGAGGAAATAATGGCCAGGTTGGAACCAGGAGAAGGACGAGGGACAGAGGTAGAGAGCCAAGGGAAAAGCTGGATGTGGGTTCAAGCGCAGGCTATGAGACAGAATTATGAGGCTCAGGGACATCTATGCTGATACTTTCACAGAGAGCAATGGCTTTTCTGAAGTGACAGGTTGACCCCCATTCTCCTAGGATTAAAGGGTCCCATTGTCCTGGAGCCAGCATGGGGGGCTCTTCATATCATAAGTGATAGTGCTGACAGCACGTTTATATTATTTTCTTTAGCAGGAGTTTAGGTGTTCCCAGAACACTGAATTGAACTAAGAGCGAGAGAAAGAGAGAGAGAGAAGTGAGTGAGATGCTGTTGAGTTGAGGTAACCTATCTGTGAAATACATATTTTAAAATTTAGCCATTTGTATAGCTGATTGTCTCCTTAACATTCCATTTAGGAAAGGAAGGGGATCTGTCTTACGAGTCAGATATTTCAGTTTAGCCATCTCATTTGCTATTCCTCTCACAGTAGAGGAAAGCCAAGTGAGTTGCGTAAATGGAATAATTACATTTCCTATTCCTGGGCGACACATTTGCCAATTCTTTCTTAATAGCATTAGAGCCAGGCACGGTGGCTCAAGCCTGTAATCCAAGCAGTTAGGGAGGCTGAGGTGGGAGGGCTTGAGCTCAGGAATTCGAAACCAGCCTGGGCAACATGGTGAGACCTTGTCTCTACTAAAAATATAGCTGTGCTCAGTGGCACACGCTTGTGGCCCCAGCTACTTGGGAGGCTGAGATGGAAGGACTGCTTGGGCCTGGAAGGTTGAGGCTGCAGGAGCTGTGATTGTGTCACTGCACTCCAGACTGCACGGCAGAGCGAGACCCTGCCTCAAAAAAAAAAAAAAAAAAAAAAAGCATTAGAATAGATAGATGCAGGAAAACCCCCTGTGTACATGCAAAAGGTAGTAGTTGTTAGCATAACTTAAAGCATAGATCTCTGGACATAATGAAAAAGAGGCCGCACTGGTCCACAGATTAGAAAGATACATATGTAGAGAAAATGATTTTTGAGCCTCCTTTAAAGATACTATTCCAACTTAATTCATAAACATAATGATAGCATTCCTCACTTACTTTACAGCTACTTCATCATTTTGTCCCATCTAGAGAAGACTCATCTCTGATAGGATAACTCTCATTTATCTCCTGTGTGGCTGGGACTCCCACCCATAAGCCTACATAATTAGAGGCCTGCAGGAGATTCACATTCCTTCTCTTGGTTTGTCTTTTAAAAACTCCCATTTGTTCAGTTTCCCTGGCACATCATACATGTTCTTGCCTTCCTTTCCTTCTTCTCAGGCCCCCAGGCCACTACAGCACGTTTTCTAGAACTTTCCTGAGATATAATGCCTTTATCTAAACACTCTGTGGCTGAGTTCTGGTAAATAATGACAGGCATGTGTGGACTTGTGGGCAGAAGTAGGTTTTGCCTCTGTGCTTTTTCTCAGTGGGAAGCCCAGGAGGCTGGCCCTGTTTCAACCTCCAGATCTTTCTTTTTATGAAGATAATGATGATCACAGAGTCATATTATTGGCCTCCCTGCGGGCACTCAGAGGCAGCCAGCCCAACGCTCTCATGTTTCTTTGCCTTTCATTTGAAAACAACATGTAGGGGCACATAGACAGGGTCAAGATAATTTAAAAGAAGAATTTTTGAATTTAATTAGATAATACTTCTTCATAACATACTTGGTTCATTTGCACAGGGTATGGCAGCATGCAAGGGACTTCCACATGTATGATGCTATATAGTACTTGAAACATTGGAGCTGTTTCTTTTCTGATTATACAAGTGTTAAAGCAAATGTCTCCCTCTGTTTCTGTTAAAAAAGTGACAGAAATGGAATATTTGCCATGATCTCTTTTGCAGATACCATCCTATTTTCTTGCTTTTCAACACAGACTAAATTCTTCCTCAATCCAGTGCTCCTCCAAAGCCCCTTGTTCTTCTTCTTTTATATCTTAGCATTTAAGCTAAAATTAGTATTCATGGCCATATGCTTGTTAATTCCCTTTGCATGAAGGTGCGTTATTGGCAATCTGTGCAGATCATTCTTTAGTTTGGACTTGCAGCTAGCAAACTCTTGGAGCGAGAGCCAAGCTCAGGTGGGCTGGCCTAGAGGACATTGCTTCCTCTTCTTTTCAGCAACAGCTTGCATCTCAAATAGTCCCCCAAGAGGACTATTTGATGAAGTTTTGGCATGTGGAAAATATAAATACACTTTGCAAAGTGGTATAGACAAGCAGAGATTTTTCTGAACTAATATATAATGAGAAAATAACATTGAAATGGGAGCTGAATCCCCAAACCTGCATTGAAGAATGACTTTATTTTTTCCCTAAGCCTTCAAAATACTAAGGTGGGTTGCATACCAATAGCCCTCAGTGGGCTATGCTGAGGGAGAATAAGCTAGCAAAGTAAGAAACAAAATGTATCATTTTAACAAAAAAAAAAATCCCCTTTTATTGACTATGACATACATACAAAAAGATATGTTATGCATATGAGTTGTGGGAGTACGCGCGCGTGTGTGTGTGTGTGTGTGTGTGTGTGTGTATTTCCTAGCTCTGTTCACTGAAAAGGTTTAGAAACCATGACCGACCCAGTAGCAATGGGCATCCCTCGTTCCCAGGTGTGTCTTTGAAACACCATTTTTCCATTAACGAAAACTAGAGAAAATGCTATTTCTAGGTTTGGGATGGGCAATGTACAAGATGTGTCTGGAACACCTTGCCATACCAGATAATGAGGAAGCTCTTGAAGACCACCAGGATCATGTTGAAAACACTCAGGGGTCACCTCGAAGAGGCTTCCACTGGCTGATGAGGGGGAAATTTGAGCTTCAAAAAGGATAATAAATGTAATCATTATGAAACCCATCAAATAAATTGAAATCCATGACTTCATAATGATACCTTAAAAATTGATCTCCTTCAGAGCATAATAGGGAAATAATCCATTTTTTGTGAAAATTAGTAAATGAAAAGAAAGAAACATTTATTCTACTTCTGCTAAGTGAACATGCCACTGAGTAATCAAATAGTAGATGAGGGAAAGTATATTTTTAGAAAAGTGTTCCAGTGACAAATTAATAAATGGAAAAGAAATGATAGAACTAGAAGGTTACCATTTTGCAACCCCCTTTGAATGAATAGATCTTGGCATCAAGCATCAACAGCTGCTATTATCACAACAAGAGAAACAACCAGACACTGCATGTTTCATGATGAAAAAACAAATCACCACCTAGAATCTTGCCAAAAGTTCAAACCTGAGGCTGACCAAGTCTCTGGATCCAGCTCCCATTTGCAGGAAAGATAGAAGACAGAGGACAATCGGTATACAATCAGCAAAGGCCAAATGATGGGAGGTCTACCAGTCAAGTTGGACAAAAAGAAACGGATGGAGGAGAGACCCTGCAGACTATAAGAGAATTAAAAGACACGTCAAATTTACAAATGGGTAAAGCTACACTATAGTGTTTAGGAATGCATGCCTAGGTAATAAAACTACAAGAAACACAAGGAGTGGTTACTTAACACTTCAGGGCAGTGGTTAGCTTTGTGAGAATGAAGCCATATTGAGCAGGATGAGACACACAAGGGACTTTGGGGGTGCCGTGCAAAGTTCCATTTCTTGACCTGGACAGTGGTTTCTAAGGTGTTCACCTTTTAACAATGAATTGGGCTATGAAATCACTTTGTGTGGGTTTCTTAATCTGTGTTTTATTTTATAATGGAAAACGTTAAGAGAGTAGAAGAAAAGAAGAAGACCAATTTTTAAATTTACATTTTATGAATGCCATAAAGGGCTTAACTAGTGAAGAGCAGTTGCGTCAAGACATTATCATGGAATGGTAATGAGCGTGAGCTCTGAGCCACCCTGGTGGGGCCTAAATCGCAGCTTTGCCACTTATCAGCTGTGTAACCCTGGGAAAATCACTCAGCCTCTCTGTTTCAGTTTTCTTATCTGTAAAGTGCATGTCATAATAGTTCCCACTTCATAATGTCATTATAAGATTTACATGAGATGATAACGTGAACATTGAGAATACTGCCAGGCATATAGTAAGGGCTCAATACAGCTATGTTGTTCCTTCTTACTTCTTGCTTTTCTCTCCCATTCATTTTCCTCAAACACTGTAGCATTATCTCTTTCTTAAAATCCTGTGGAGCAGGGTGAGGAATCCTCCACTAGTCCTAGCCTGTGTCTCTCTTGTCCTTCTATCTTCTGCTCCTCATTCTGTATTTAAATACCCCCAGGGAGAAATCTGAAAAGACAGGGAAGGAAAGATCCCAGCTGGGCACTCAGAATCTATTTAGAGATGAGAGAGAGGGAAAGGGACTTTTCTTGAATCCACAGCACCTAGAACAGTGCCTGATCCAGAGCAAGCATGTGGCAGACATTTGCTGAAAGGATAAATAAAAGAACCTGTAGAACGTGATTTTAAAAGCACTGCTCAAGGATTTCTCTTTTGGATGAAGAGTTTGAAGCAGTCCATGGCTTTATTTTTGCCTCGTCCTGCCTAGCTGTTTTTCTTCCCCGCTGCCCCATTTTGGTGTTCATGTCTTAGTATGAGTCAAATAGTCTAAATGTAGTATCTGTTGGCAAAACATACATATTGCGCTTGTTCTTTATTCAGAAAGCCACATGTGGACTCCAGCCCCATGCCTACCAACCGTCTTGTCACTGTCACTCGGAGCTCCTTCCTGCCCAGCGGATGTGTCCACCCTCTCCTTCTTCCTCTAATGTTCTTCCTGTCATTGTTCCCATACGTAACTCCCTCCCATCCTGTGTTCCAGTGTAGATGAGCCCATTGCAGCAAAGCCTTTGTGTACCAGCCTCTCATAGGTAAATTTCCCCATCCACTGCTTGTTTCCCTCCTGTTTCCTTCAAAGCACTTACCATGTATCTACCCATGGATGAATATTTGTGGAGGAGTCCATGGCCTTGACAGCAAATGACCAAACACACACTACAAGAATGGAAGCATGAATGCGAGTTGACTTGTTTCTTGTCTCCTCCATAGCTTCCTTGAAGGTACTGTGACTGTCGAGTTTACTAGTTTCTAGTTTTTAGTGGGTGCTCGATAAATACTTTGTGAATGAATGAATAAACAAATAGATAAAATGTGAAGCTTCAGGCTTGGGGTTGGGGAGGGTGGTTCTACAAGACGACCTATCAGAGTCTCATTGTGAGGTGGAGCAAGGAGATGGGGATTCCAGGACAAGGAAGTAACATTCACAACCTTGAGGAAATAGGCAGTTTTCCCTGAAAGATCTGCTTCTAATGAGGGAGACCACCCCATACCTTTATTCAGAGATGGGCTAGAAGGCAGGACTCAGGAACAGGAACTGAGCCTACAGCCAAGGTCAAGGGCCTACGATGGTGAGCAGGATTGCTGGGCCTATTGTGCCCAGTGGACAGTCTTTAAGATGCTGATTCCAATGGGCATTTTGAGGTTTCTGAGAGTGAATGATGACTGAGTTCCATCAGGGGACTCAGCGTGGCCTGTCACTGACAGGGTGCTTCAGGATTTGGAGTGGTCCATAACTATAGACAGAGTATAGCCAAAAAAGCCTTGAATTTGAACCTTAGTTTTGTCACTTACCGTGTTACCCTGAGCAAGTTTTTAACTTCTCAGCGACTTGGATTCATTGTTTATAAGATGAAGATCAAAGTATGTACTTTCTGTGGTTGTCATGACAATGAAATAAGATCTTTTCTCAGGTAAACTGCCCCATCCAGTATTGCTCAAATCTGGTTGTGCATTAGAATGGTCCATGGGGAACTTAAACACTGCACACACACCTGGGCACAACTGCAGCAGATTCAGACTCAGTAATTCTGGGGTGGCCTCCAATCATCTGTGGTTTGGGAAAGCTTAGAGGTGACTATGCAGCTCAGGCAGAGTTGAGCAAGGTCGGATTGGTGTATATAAGGCAACAAAAGACGGAAGCTTTTCCAGCTATCTCTTCTTCTGCTGCCACTGCCTCATCTTCTTCTTTCTGATCCTTTTCTCCTTTTTTTCTTCTTTGTTATTGGGTGTGAGCATAAGTGGACAAAGTCACATGGTACCTGGAGAAGCAGTGGCATTAAAAACAATTAAAGACTGATAATGTCCACATATGACGTTGATTCCAGCAAATGACTAGATAAAGGCTATGAGAATTGAGGTCTTGATGCTAATTAGTCAGCTTTGAATATCTGGAACAGCAATTGCAAAGGTGTGAAAGATGGTACTGCCAGTACTTCATTTGCATAGAATGACTCTTACACATGCCTTTCCGGTTTTCCTATATTTAAAAAAATTGGCCGGGTGCAGTGGCTCACACCTGTAATCCCAGCACTTTGGGAGGCCGAGGTGGGCGGATCACGAGGTCAGGAGATTGAGACCATTCTGGCTAACATGGTGAAACCCCGTCTCTACTAAAAATACAAAAAATTAGTCAGGCGTGGTGGCAGGCGCCTGTAGTCCCGGCTACTCGGGAGGCTGAGGCAGGAGAATGGTGTGAACCCGGGAGGCAGAGCTTGCAGTGAGCCAAGATCACGCCACTGCACTCCAGCCTGGGTGACAGAGCGAGACTCCGTCTCAAAAAAAAAAAAAGTACTTTCTACTAGACAGTTTCTGATATTCTCAAACAAAACATAACCATTTTAAAATAAAGATTGTAGAGTGGTTTAATTTTCTTGCGTAATGAAAATTTATTGAGTACTTTCTGAGTACATAGCATTGGGCTAAGGACTATTGACGTATGATTTAATTCATTCATTTATTCAACATGTGTTTATTGAGCGCTGCTGTAGGTATTAGAATATCGTAGTGAAAAAAAAAACAGATAAAAATCCCTATGCTATTGGAGCTTACATTCTAAGGGGAAGAGACAGGCCATAAAAAAGTAAACATAGTAAGAAGTAAATCATAAAGTGTTAGAATGTGATAAAATGTTACTTAAAACTATTTTAAGTAAGATGGTTAAGGAGACTCATCGAGAGATGCCTGAAGAAGGAGCAGGAGTTTTACTATGTGGATACTGGGAGCCTCACATACAGGCAGAAGGACTAGCCAGTGCAAAGGCCATGAAGTATACAAGATGTATCTGAGGAACAGCAATGAGGCCAGAGTGGTCTCAGCGAAGTGAAGTTGAGGACTAGGGAATGAGGTCAAAGAGAAAATGACCTTGTAGGTCATTTCGGGACTCTGGCTTTTACATTGAGTGTGATAGAAAGCTACTGGGGTGTCAGGGGCAGAGGAGGTATAGGATTCATATTATAACCAGATCACTCCAGCTGCAGCATTGAGAATAGATCATAGGAAGGCAAGGGTGCAAGGGAGAAGGATGCAAGAGAAGAGGCTCTAGTGGGAATCCAGGGAGAGCCCCAGTGGCTTAAACGAAGATGGTGGCAGTGGACATGGAGACATGTGAATATATTTTGGAGAAAAATTCAGCAGGATTTCCTGATGTGTTGACATGCGGTATAAGAGAAAGTGTGGAATTAGTGACTCTAAGGCTTTTGTTGTTATTGTTGGGTTTGGTTTGGGGTTTTTGTTTGCTTTTTCATTTTTTCCTGGGCAACTGAAAGGATAGAGTTATTTTCCAGATGGGAAGATTGTGGGTGGAAACTGTTTGGGGAAGAATATTAAAGTTTGCTTTCGGTGACTTGAGTTTGATCCCCAAGCGAAGACATCCAGGAGGCGTTGGACCTGAGCATTTGGAGTTGGGAGAGGTATCTGGGCTGGGGGGGCATACGAGGGACCATTGGGGTACAGATGGTGTTAAAAGCCAGAGACTACATGAAATGGGTGAAGGCGGGGTGCAGATGGAGAAGTGAAAAAGTGCAAGGACCAAGCTCTACGGCACCCCCAGAGGTCTGGGGGACAAGGAGGGATCAGCAAAGTAGAGTGATGAGGAACTACAGGTGAGGTGAAAGGAAACTCAGGGCAATGTGGTGTCCTGGCAGCAAGTGTGGTGAGGATGGTGAGGAAGAGAGCAAGGAGGCCAGTACCAAATGCTGCTAGGGGTCGAGTTAAAGGAGGACTGAGAAGTGACCATTGGATTTAGTAATGGGGAGGCCATTTGTTACCCTGACAAGAGTAGAGGTGTTAAAGCCCACTTGGATGGGTTAACAGAGAAGGGAAGGGAGGAACTGGAGACAGAAGAGAGGAACAGGCAGTAGTTCATAGGGAACTGGGTCAAGAGGGTTTTTTTTTTGTTTTTCATTTTTTAAGTGAGAGTGATAATAGCATTTTTGTGTGAAGATGAGAATAATACAATGAGAAGAGGAATTGTTGATGCCAGAGAGAAAGGAGAGCTGCTGGAGCAATGCCCTAGAGTAGGTGGGATGAGATGGGATCTATATGCAGGTGGGAGGTTGGCATTAGATGGGTGCACAGACAGGCCAGCTATTGTGTCAGGTGGGAGGCGGCACATGTGGGTGATGATGCTGGCAGGTATGAGTCTAATGATTTTCCTGATGGCTTCAATTTTCCCTGTGAAATAGGAAACTAAGAACTGGAGAGAAGATATCAGAGGCTTAAGGAGAGTGGATAAGGTATTATGTGGATGTCTAGGAGAGTGGGAGAGTCCATAGACCAGGGAAATGAACACAGTTGCCTGGCTGCACCAAGCACTCATGATGTTCACTATCACAAACATAAAGTGGGACTGGTGCATGTAGTTATGAGTTTTTCGCTAGCCACGTTTGGCTGTTCGGGTGCAGACACAGTTTGCTAGATTTAAACAGGGTTGAGGTGTTGCCAAGTGGGAAAGCTACAGAGAGACAAAGAAATAGAGATTAGATGCAAGGGGGCCATCATGATAATTGCCCAGGTAATGAAAGGAAGCTGAAAAGGGAAGATAGTGAGGGTCAGCAAAAGGTGGTGGGATCAGTGGATGGGTGCTGCCAGTGGGTTGAAGGTGGTGGGAGCAGTGATGGGGCTCCCAGTGGGTTGAAGGTGGTGAGAGAAGAGGATGGTCGTTCCCAGTGGGTTGAAGGCTTGTTGGAGTTGGGACACTGGGTGGTATGAACTGGAGAGTCAGGAGGTAAGTGATCAGATGCTGGGATGGATGAAAATGAGAATATGGATGGCAAGGTGGTTGTTCACCCCCAAACATGGCTGGAATACATTTTTTTGTTCCTTTTTGCAGTTAGATATGGCCAATGCTTAGTTCTGGCAAAGGAAATGTGGATGGAGATGATGTGCCCAGTTTCTAGGCCTGGCCCATAAAAAAATCATCTCATGCAATTCTATACCCTTTTTCTTTTCTGTCTGCCACTGAATGCAGAGAATCCAGCCAGGACTGTGAAGCCCCAGGGAATGGCTGCACTTCAAGTCAGAAGGAGCCTGGGTCCCTGAATCATCATGTGGAAGGCTCTCCACCCAGTTCAATGGTGCAATGGACCACAAGCAGGAACTTAATTTAGAATGTGCTTATTTTGTTAGATTTTGTAATTAAAAAATGGATCCCACTCTGACTGAATCAGAGATGTTGAAGTCATTGATCTGGGAGGGTATGTTCCTGGGAGTGGGTGGCTGAGGTGAGATTTCAAACAAGGTTGTTGAGGAAGAGGAGTTCAAGTGACTGAGAGGACATATTGTTGGATAAATTGTGCGTGCGTGTGTGTGTGTGTGTGTGTGTGTGTTGAAATCACCAAGAATAGGGAAAGAAGTGTATAAGAGAGTGTGGCAGTGAGCCCAGAGCTAAAAGAAATCATGAGCAGGGAGTAATTCACGAGCAGAAAGTAGAAGCAACGAGAGGCAGTTAATGAGAGAAGCAGCTGAGGGATTTTAGCAAGGGATGGGGGAGGATGGTATGGAAGCAGTATCTGGGGGCCAAGAGGACGCCGCCCCATCTCCAAGCCCGGTGGTCAGGAGAATGAGGGGAAAATGTCAGCGCAGGAGAGGCTACGAGGGAGGAGGAGCAGCATCGGCAGGAGGAGCCCCAGGTGAGAGGGACATTCAGGGAAGAGACTGCAGATTACAGGGATTTTTCTAAAGAGGGTTTCTGAATCCAGACGCACATTGGAGGACTCTTGAGATGCTGGGGTCTTGTGATGGGAAGATGGAGACAGAATGAAGGATGTGTGGAGCCCTACGGGGAGGAGAGAATAAAGAAGTGGGGTGACCTGGGAGCCTGGGATTCTTGTGACCATGGACACAGGTATCAAAGGCATGATGCAGTTAGCCCTGGGGAACCTGAGGCAGGTGGTGGTGATGAGGGGCAGGGAGCAGTGGTGTCTGGGACTCAGTCTTGGCTGCTGTCGCTGGAGGCAGTGAGGCCTGAGACAAATGGGATTAGTCCCACTTTAAGACCCTTCTCTGAGCCCATAGGCTTCTTCTTAACCCCTGTGCATGGAAGGAAAAAGGTAGGACATGAGGTTGATAGATGTGATTAAGATGTGGATTCTTAATCACATCTACTAGCTTCAGCTGTCCTACTCTTGGGAGGCTCACTTTTATACATAGAGAAAATATGTGCCATTATAACTGTGCTTCAGTGGGCAAAGTAGAGCAGACTTCATTTAAAAGGCTGCTCCATGCCTCTCTGCCCGGCCGCCCCGTCTGGGAAGTGAGGAGCGCCTCTGCCCGGCTGCCCCGTCTGGTAGGTGTACCCAACAGCTCCGAAGAGACAGCGACCATCGAGAACGGGCCATGACGACGATGGCGGTTTTGTCGAAAAGAAAAGGGGGAAATGTGGGGAAAAGAAAGAGAGATCAGATTGTTACTGTGTCTGTGTAGAAAGAAGTAGACATAGGAGACTCCATTTTGTTCTGTAATAAGAAAAATTCTTCTGCCTTGGGATGCTGTTAATCTATAACCTTACCCCCAACCCCGTGCTCTCTGAAATATGTGCTGTGTCAACTCAGGGTTAAATGGATTAAGGGCGGTGCAAGATGTGCTTTGTTAAACAGATGCTTGAAGGCAGCATGCTCGTTAAGAGTCATCACCACTCCCTAATCTCAAGTACCCAGGGACACAAACACTGCGGAAGGCCGCAGGGACCTTTGCCTAGGTAAACCAGAGACCTTTGTTCACGTGTTTATCTGCTGACCTTCTCTCCACTATTATCCTATGACCCTGCCACATCCCCCTCTCTGAGAAACACCCAAGAATGATCAATAAATACTAAAAAAAAAAAAAAAAAAAAAAGGCTGCTCCATGTTCATTACAGAAAACAAAGTCAATGTGCTGTTGACATTATTGCACATGACTGCACAGCTGTGCACAAGCTCCACCCACCAGGTGAGTCTTACCACTTTCCCTAAGTCCTGGTGCCTTGCTTCTCACAGAGTGGTCCATGGGCCAGCAGCATTGGCATCACCTGGATGCTTGTTAGAAGTGCAGGATCTCAGCAAGACCCAGACATACTGAATCCTCATCTGCATTTTAACTAGATCCCCAGGTGATCCTTAGGCACGTTAAGCCTGAGGAAGCACTGTGATGCATTTCTTGTTATTAGTAGGAACAAAGCAGGTGCCTCCAAGAAGAAAAAGGCAAATGAAAGAAGCAGCTCCAGGAAAGATGACATGTTACTCATCAGCCTTAAAATTCCAAGTTCAATGCATTTTTCCCCCCAGTGCTGGCAGTGTATTGGATTCATGTGAACCTCATTAAAAATTAAAACAAACAAGTTCTAACTTGCATGACTCCAAAAACATTTCATTGTTTCTTTAGGGAGAAATAGATGAGAACAGACAAAGTTGATTACACAGAATAAGGACAAAACAACTCTGAACTTTTAACCTGCATGAGTTGTCAGTAGAATCTCGGAATCATAGAATTCCAGAGTTTAGAGCAGTTAGCTCAACACTGGCTACACATCAGAGTCACCTGGGGAACTTTCCAAAAAGTACAAAATACTAGTGCTGAGCCCCAATCCCAGATATTCTATCTGAGGAAAGAAACGGGCATCAGGTATTTTTCAAAAGCTCTCTGGGTGATTCTTATATGCAGCAAGGATTGAGATTCACTGGTAGAAATAAGATGCAAGACACATATGTGATTTAAAATTATCTAGGACCCAAATTAAGTAGGTAGAAACAAATGAAATTAATTTCAATAACGTATCTTAATCCAATATGTCCAAAATATTATCATTTGAAATGTAGTTAATATAAAAAACTAATAATGATTTTTTTCTCAGTAAGACTTTAACATCCAGTGTGTATTTTACACATGTAGAACATCTCAATTCAGTTTAGCCACATTTCAAGGGTTCAATAGCCACATGTGGCTAATGACTGTCATAGTGGACAGTGTAGTTCCAAGTAATAACAGTAATGCTAGTCTATGAAAGATAGGTTTCCACCTCTGGAAAACAAAATGATTGCCCATTTAAAGTAGAAGAGCCAGTTCAGAAGATAATGAGATGTAATTCAGTATTATTTCTTGCTTGCAAACAGCCTCTTAAAATCATCGTGGAAGTTCAATGAAGAGGTAAGATTTAGAAAGTTTGCAAAATTTCTTCCAAAAAGGGAAATGTCTGGGATTTACGTGACAGAGGCAAACCCTTACGTGATGCTATGTTAAGGCATGTAAATGAATACTGTGCTGAGTTTCTCAGCAACCTATGGTGTTGGGAAGGGCTGATCTTCTGATTTTGATCTAGGAAACGATAGGAATATAGTCAATGGCTACATTTTCTTTTTCTCTCTTGGAATCAACCATTATAAAGAGCAGGCATCTTTGGGGATTTTGGTGTCTGCACAGCTGAATCAGCATCGGAATCAGGAATGTGCGAGGATAACATTCTGCGGTTTGGCATTCCTGTCTCAATTCCTCCACTTCTTAGAAAAGAAGCGTCACTCACTGATATTCTCCCAAACCAGCTGTTGAGTATAATAAAGACCTTCCTCTTAGTATTAACATTAGATTGTATTCTTAGGCTCTAATTTTTACCACGGGATTTTTCCCTAAAGAAATTAGAGAAATCACTTAGCCATTGGCATGTGTTAACTGTAACCAGGTCATGTAGCTCTTCTGAGCCTGAGGCAAATAAACAGAAAATCTTAGCGACATGTGCTGAGAACTAGGTTAAACAAATTTCTCAGGATGGGTTGCAGAATAGTTTGCTGGTGCTGGCAATGAAGTGTAGAGGCACTTAAGAGGGATGATTTTTCTCGCTTTTTACCAAAATGTCTTTGCTTCCCTCATAAGCCACTTTCTTCCGAAAGCCAACCATGTTTTTGTTTATTTGTTTGTTTGTTTGTTTGTTTTTTGAGGCGGAGTTTCGCTCTTGTTGCCCAGGCTGGAGTGCAACAGCGCAATCTCGGTTTACCGCAACCTCCGCCTCCCGGGCTCAAGCAATTCTCCTGCCTCAGCCTCCCGAGTTACAGGCGCGCGCCACCACACCCGGCTAATTTGTTTTTTTTTTTTAATTTTTAGTAGAGACGGGGTTTCGCCATGTTAGCCAGGCTGCTCTCAAACTTCTGACCTCAGGCGATCCGCCCGCCTCAGCCTCCCAAAGTACTGGGATTACAAGCGTGAGCCACCGCCCCCGGCCCCGACCATGGTTTTGTAAAGAGAGAACATTGAAAACATAATTGGTCTTTGGTCTATCTAGTTTCTCCATTTTGTACCCTTCTTTCACCTTTGCCAGTAATACTCTTTTCTCTCGGAAGACCCTGGAATGTTTCTCTAGTGTCAAAATTCATCCCAGCTAAGACTTGTGAACTTAACACCAAAGAGTAACCTGTTTATATCACAGTGCAAATTACACAGAACTATCACTCTTCCAGTGCTTTTGTGATAAAGAAATAAAGCACTATCAGAAGAATACCATGCATCCGCTAGGTAGTGAAGATTTTTAAAAAGTGGGCACAAAATTAGAACAAATGGAACCCTGAAACCGCACTACATAGGCAAATAGCTGAGTACAGATTGAAGTTAGAGAACCCTCGAGGGGCTAGGTATGAGTCTGCAATTATGATAGGCGGCCATCAGGGGGCATTTCAGCGCCTTGGTCGTGTGGCCAAAGGATCAGGTTTACCATAATCAGAGAATAAGGTAATTTTTACTTCTTTAAAAATAGAGTAGTTTAAATAAAATTATCAATTAGGGTTTAAAGATGATTCATATGAGCAAGTTCTTAAACCAAAGCCAAGGAAAAAGTGCGCTACCTGCCTCACTATGCGGTTTTCATAATTCAGGGTAGCCTTGCTTATGGCCCTAAGATGTAATAATCATGTTCCTTCTCACTCTGATTTCTTATTTGGGAACCATATTCTTTTATTGGGTTAAGGGAGAACTTTTTTTTTTTTTTTTTTTTTTTGAGATGGAATCTCACTCTGTTGCCAGGCTGGAGTGCTGTGGCACGATCTCAGCTCACCGCAACCTCCAACTCCCTGGTTCAACAGATTCTCCTGCTTCAGCCTCCTAAGGGAGAACTTTTAAAGGGGATTTTCACAATTTCAATAGCCCAGCAGTATCCTCTCACTCTCTTTTCCTTTTCCACTGCTACATGGAATGGAAGGAGCTGCTCGCTGTGTTAAAATGTGGAGATTATTTTGAAAATTTGAATATGAAGAATAAGTGTCTTAAGCCATTCTCTCATTTTTATAAAGAAATAACCTGAGACTGAGTAATTTATAAAGAAAGAGTTTTAATTGGTTCTCGGTTCTGCAGGCTGTACGGGAAGCATAGTGACATCTGGTCCCGGGGAGGCCCCAAGAAGCTTACAATCATTGTGGAAGGCAAAGTGGGAGAAGGTACATCACATGGCAAAAGCAGGAGCAAGAGAGTGAAGGGTGAGGTGCCACACACTTTTAAATGACCAGACCTCCCAGGAACTCACTCATTATCTCGAGGACAGTCCCAAGGGGATGGCACTAAACCATTCATGAGCAATCCACCCCCATGATCCAGTCACCTCCCATCAGGCCCCACCTCCAACACTGGGGATTACATTTCAATGTGAGGTTTGGGCAGGGACCACATCCAAGCTATAACAAGTAGTTACTTTAAAAGAAGTGAAGTAGTCTTAGCTGATATCTGCAAGATATTAGAAGGGCTTTTCAGGTCAAATTACTCTGAGGTTCTCAAGAGAGAAGTCTGACACATATAAGATAAAATGTGTGAGGTTTAATCCATCTGAAACTCTACAGTGCTCCCCTTTGCTTAAAGATTAGGTGTAGATTATTCCATCTAATATGAATGAGTGTAGGACTCACATAGTGGATTAAGTTAATGCTGAGTGGCAAGGTAAAGACATAAAAATAAATCTTAACGTTTGACTCAGGAGATTGCATTTAATTTGGCAGCTAGTAGGAAACCATTGAATGTTTTTGAGTAAGAGGGGTGGCATTCATGCAGTAGTGCTTTAGTGTCAGGGGAAACAAAGGACAGAAAAAGCTCAAAAGCTTGGTGGAAGTGGAATCCATAAAACTAGGTAGCAGATCAAATGTAGAGACTAAAGAAGAAAGATGAGTTAAAGATGACTCTGATGATGAGTAGGAGGATGATAGTGTCCTGAAAGAATAGGGAGGCCAAAAGTTGGAAAGAAATATAAACTTGACCTTCAACATGCAGAGTTGAGAATCAGATAAAAATGTGTATGTGAAGTGCTTTGGAAGGTGCACAGGATCATTGTCATGTAATAATACCATTTAGTAAACACAAGGCAAGTATTTTATGTGTAGGATCTCAGATACAGGCTGTGCCCCCACTGTCAGGAAAATGACCCATAAGTACAGGAGAAAGAACTTCAGGGCAGAGGAAGACTATGTCCTGAGCTTTTTGTTTTGTTTTGTTTTTAATCAGTTGGGGCAATTAAAAGAGGCAATGAGAAAGTAGCAAAGAGAACATAACAAGTGAAACAACAGGAGGTCACTCTAAATAGCCCAACGAGTTGGAGATGACAAGCTTCAATGTGGTAGAAAAGACAATGGGCTTCAAGTAGGACTGGCTGAGTTCAAATTCAGACTCCACAAGTTAACTAGCTGGCTTATGGTGGGCAACTTCACCTCTGCATGCTTCAATTTCTCTATCTGTAAAACGAGGCTATTTAAAGTATCTGCTCATAGAGTTATTGTGAGGATTAAGGGAGATCATACTCGAAAGTGCTAAAAGCAGTGCCTGGAACACCGCCACAACTCAAAAACTGTTAGCTGTCAGCAGTAGTATCATGGAAGTTAAATCAGAGAAAAAAAAATTTAACTATTATTTTAGGTTCGGGGTACATGTGCAGGTTTGTTACACAGGTAAACTTGTGTCACAGGGTTTGCTGTACAGATTATTTCATCACCCAAGTACTAAGCCTAGTACCAAATACCTATTTTTTTCCAATCTTCTCCCTCCTCCCACCCTCCATGCTCCAATAGGCTCTAGTGTCTGTTGCTCCCCAATTTGTGTCTATGAGTTCTTATCATTTAGCTCCCACTTACAAGCGAAAACATGTAGTACTTGGTTTTTTGTTCCTGCATTAGTTTGCTAGGGATGACAGCCTCCAGCTCCATCCATGTTCCTGGAAAATACATGATCTCATTCTTTTTTTATGGCTGCATAGTATTCCATGGTATATATGTACCACATTTTCTTTATCCAGTCTACCACTGATGGGCATTTAGATTGATTCCTTGTCTTTGCTATTGTGAGTAGTGCTGCAATTAGCATATGTGTGCGTGTGTCTTTATGGTAGAAAGATTTATATTCCTTTGTATATATACCCAGTAATGGAATTGCTGGGTTGAATGGTAGTTCTATTTTAAGTTTTTTGAGGAATTGCCACAGTGCTTTGCACAATGGTTGAACTAATTTACACTCCCACCAGGAGTGTATAAGCATTCCCTTTTCAAATCAGAGAAAATTTCAAGGAGGTGGTCGATGATGCCAAACTTTTCTTAGAGTGGTGACGGTGGAGGGCAAAATTTGTCTTTAAAATATGAAATTTCAATAAGAAGATTAGGGTGATTGCAATAGCAGTAACAACAGGAACAATAACTCACATTTATTTCCTTCCATGTGGCCTTCTGATTGAATTTGCTATACGTTGGGGAAATTATTTTCAGTCTTCCTCATGCACATGAAAAAAGTCTGACAAAAAGTAACAATATGTAAAAAAGTAGGTGTTTAATATTTATAACACTAAGTAGCACGTTTGCTTTCTCTCAGAAGAAAATTTAACAGTATAATTTGCCAAGAGGAGGTAATCTAATTATCACGTCCACCCTGAATAGCATACTGCCAAGCCTAGGAACTGTGCTGGTGAACATTTAAAAATATTTTCTCAATGCACATCTTCTAAACACTGTGTACTCTGCTGTAATATACCCTACTGTAACACTTTTCCTAGGATTTATACTGGGTATATGTCAGTGATTTAATTACATTTTTTAAATGGATGCTATTTTTAGGATCCTCCTGAGCCTTTAAATTCTAGTTGACTATATATTGTTTAATACCATATTAGTCGGTTCTCATGCTGCTCTAAGGATGTACACCAGACTGGATAATTTATAAAGGAAAGAAGTTTAATTGACTCACTCTTCCACAGGGCTGGGGAGGCCTCAGGAAACTTACAGTCATGGTAGAAGGGGAAGCAAACATGTCCTTCTTCAAAAGGTAGCAGGAAAGAGAAGAATGAGCGAAGGGGAGAAAAGCCCCTTACAAAACCCTCATATCTCATGAGAACTCACTGACTGTCACAAGAACAGCATGAGGGTAACCGCCCCCATGATTCAATTATCTCCCACCATGTCCCTCCCACAACACATGGGAATTCAAGATACAATTCAAGATGAGATTTGGGTGGGGACATAGCCAAACCATTATCACCCACCCCTAACACCCCTGTTTGCTTCTAGACCTATAACAATAGACTCAGGTCCCAGCAGGCCCCTAGAGGTGAGGTTCAGAGTGTGACCCATGAGGAGGGGCACTACGCTCCAAAATAACTGCTTGAGTTTTCTAATTTATGTAAGCAGAAATCTGGAGAACAGGAATGGGAATGGATATTAAGGGTGTGGGGTAGTGGTGGAAGGAGCATAAAGTTGGATCAGGCTGAATTTATTGATTTGGGCCCACTAAGCAGGGATTCTACATTTAATGTTGCAGCTTGGGGAGTTAAAAAAGGTTCTAATAGTTTATTTGCTTCGTTAGCTGAAATATGGATGAAAAGATGGCCCACTATAAGTGACCTAGAAATGCCTGATCTCCCTTGGTTTAATGTAGAGGAAGGGATCCAAAGGCTTAGGGATATGGGAACACTAGAGTGGTTTAGTCACATTAGACCTGCTCATCCCAGCTGGGAGAGTCCAGAAGACATATCCTTCACTAATACCTTGTAAAACAAATTTGTGAAGGAGGCATCTGCTTCCTTGAAGAGCTCTGTGATTGTTCTCTATATGCCAGATCTCACAGTGGGAACCGCAGTCACAATTACAAAACTGAAATACAATGGGAATAATTGAATCTCAAGGTAGCTGGGGCCAAGTGGCAGCCCTCAACCTTCAAAGGCAAGGTGGGCATAGTTACCGTAATGGACAGCAAAGGCAAAGCAGCAATCAGAATAGTCTGACTCATGTAGAGCTCTGGCATTGGCTAATTCATCATGATGTTCCTAGAAGTGAAATTGATAGGAAGCCTACTGCATTCTTACTTAATCTATATAAGCAGAAAACTTCCAGGTTGAGTGGACAAAGACTAATTTGAATTATAAAATCAGAGAATCATGGCCCCTCAGTGAATTTCAAGACCTGAATGAGTTTACAGACCCAGAACCCCTTGAATGAAGGGGAGTCCGGATCCCCTTGAGGAAAGACCCCACTACATCACTGATAATTTATGCTGTTAATCTTTCTCCCATCCTTCCCCAAGAGACCTCTGGCCTTTTACCAGAGTGTCTGTGCACTGGGGAAAGGGGAATTATCAGAACTTTTGGGAACTACTGGGCACTGGCTCTGAGTTGACGCAGATTCCAGGGGACCCAAAACGTCACTGTGGTCCTCCAGTTAAAGTAAGGGCTTATTGAGGTCAGGTAATTAATGGAGTTTTAGCTCAGGTCTGACTTACAGTGGGTCCAGTGGGTCCCCAGACTCATCCTGGGGTCATTTCCCCAGTGCCAGAATGCATAATGGGCATAGACAGTCTGTCATACTTAGCAGCTCACAGAACCCCCACATTGGCTCCCTGACTGGTAAGGTGAGGGCTATTATGGTGGGAAAGGTCAAATGGAAGCCATTAGAGCTGCCTCTACCTAGAAAAATTGTAAATCAAAACCAATATCGCATCCCTGGAGGGACTGCAGAGATTAGCGCCACCATCAAGGACTTAAAAGATGCAGGGGTGGTGATTCCTACCACATCTCCATTCAACTCTTTTATTTGGCCTATGCAGAAGATAGACGGATCTTAGAGAATGACAGTGTATTATCGTAAGCTTAACTAAGTGGTGACTCCAATTACAGCTGCTGTATCAGATGTGGTTTCATTGCTTGAGCAAATTCACATATCTCCTGGTACCTGGTGGGCAGCCATTAATTTGGCAAATGCCTTTTCTCCATTCCTGTCCATAAGGCCCACCGGAAGCAATATGCCTTCAGCTGGCAAGGCCAGCAATATACCTTCACTGTCCTCCCTCAGGGGTATATCAACTCTGGCTTTATGTCATAATCTTGTCTGGAGAGATCTTGATCGCTTTTCCCTTCCACAAGATATCACACTGGTCCATTATATTGATGGCATTATGGTGATTGGACCCAGTGAGTAAGAAGTAGCAAACACACTGGACATATTGGTGAGACATTTGTGTGCCAGAGGATGGGAAATAAATCTGACTAAAATTCAGGGACCCTCTACCTCAGTAAAATTTTTAGGGGCCCAGCAATGTGTGGCCTGTTGAGATATTACTTCTAAGGTGAAGGACAAGTTGTTGCATTTGGCCCCTCCTAC
This sequence comes from Homo sapiens, assembly GCF_000001405.40. Taxonomy (NCBI): domain Eukaryota; kingdom Metazoa; phylum Chordata; class Mammalia; order Primates; family Hominidae; genus Homo; species Homo sapiens. The sequence continues at coordinate 51,375,963 of NC_000014.9, forward strand.
AACCAAGAAAGAGGCACAGCGAGTCCTCTTTGTGGGCCTATTTGGATTTTGTAGGCAACATTTTCCTCATTTGGGTGTGTTACTCTGGCTCATTTATTGAGTGACCCGAAAGGCTGCCAGTTTTGAATGGGGTCCAGAACAGGAGAAGGCTCTGCAACAGGTCCAGGCTGCTGTGCAAGCTGCTCTGCCACTTGAGCCATATGACCCCCCCAGATCCAATGGTGCTTGAGGTGTCAGTGGCAGATAGGGATGCTGTTTGGAGCCTTTGGTAGGCTCCCATAGGTGAATCACAGCAGAGGCCTCTAGGATTTTGGAGCCAGGCCCTGTGATCTTCTGCAGATAACTACTCTCCTTTTGAGAGACAGCTCTTGGTGGGTTTACTGGGCTTTGGTGGAAATTGAATGTTTGACTATGGATCATCAAGTCACCATGCAACCTTAACTGCCTATATTAACTGGGTGCTTTCTGACCCATCTAGCCATAAAGTGGGTCATGCACAGCAGCATTCCATCATCAAATGGAAGTGGTATATACATGATCAGACTCAAGCAGGCCCTGAAGGCACGAGTAAGTTACATGAGGAAGTGGCTCAAATGCCCATGGTCTCCACTCCTGCCACTCTGCCTTCTTTCCCCCAGCCTGCACCAATGGCCTCATGGGGAGTTCCCTATGATCAGTTGACAGAGGAAGAGAAGACTAGGGCCTGGTGCACAGATGGCTCTGCATGATATGCAGGCACCACGTGAAAGTGGACAGCTGCAGCACTACAGCCCCTTTCTAGGACATCCCTGAAGGACAGTGGCAAAGGGAAATCTTCCCAGTGAGCAGAACTTTGAGCAGTGGACCTGGTTGTACATTTGAGTCAGTGGACTGGGAGCGGCAGACCCACCCTCAATCTGAGTGGGCACCATCTAACCACCTTCCAGTGCAGCTGGAATAAAGCAGGCAGGAGAAGACAGAAGAGCAGACTTGCTGAGTCTTCACGCCTTCATCTTTCTCTTGTGCTGGATGCTTGCTGCCCTTGAATATCGAACTCCAAATTCTTCAGCTTTTGGACTCTTGGACTTACACCAGTGGTTTGCCAGGGGCTTTCAGGCCTTTGGCCACAGACTGAAGGCTGTGCTCTTGGCTTCCCTACTTTTGAGGTTTTGGGACTTGGACTGATCCACCACTGGCTTCCTTGCTACTAAACTTGCAGATGGCCTATTGTGGGACTTTACCTTGTAATCGTGTGAGTCCATTCTCCTTAATAAACCCCTGTTCATATATACATCTATCCTATTATTAATAGTCGGTCCCTCTAGAGAACCCTGATTAGTACAGTGGGTGGTGAGGAGAATCAGCATTGCCTTGTCTGGCAACTGCCTCAGGGGAGGCCATCACTGTTGCCTCAGGCAGCTCAGGGTTTATCTCCTCAGATAAAGGTGGAAAGGCTGATGGCAGCCTGGATGGAAGAAAGGATGTTGTCACCACTGGGGCTGGGGAGGCTGTTTCCTCTGGCAAAAAAAGGCTCATCAGAGTTTACAAGCTCAGTGTCCCCAGCTTCATCATGGTCCTCCCACACATCCCCATTCCAAGTTGCAGGGTCCCATTCTTTTCCAATCAATACCCTCACTTTGACAGTAGACACCTGGTGAGACAGAGTGCACCTTTTGGTGCAGGTCAGCCACTTGCATGATAAGAGCTTGTGCCTGATTTTCCACATTTTCAGTCCTTTGTCCATAGGAGATAAGACTCTCACTCAGGGCAATTCTACGATAAGCTGTCTGCAAGCTGAGGAGCAAGGAAGCCCGTGGTGGATCAGTCCAAGTTCTAAAACCTCAAAAATAGGGAAGCCTACAGTGCAGCCTTCACTGTGGCCAAAGGCCTGAGAGCCCCTGGCAAACCAATAACGTAAGTCCAAGAGTCCAAAAGCTGAAGAACTTGGAGTCTGATATTCAAGGGCAGGAAGCATCCAGCATGAGAGAAAGATGAAGGCCAGAAGACTCCGCAAGTCTGCTTTTCTATCTTCTCCTGCCTGCTTTATTCTAGCTGCACTGGCAGTTGATTGGATGGTGCCCACCCAGATTAATGGTGGGTCTGCCTCTCCCAGTCCGCTGACTCAAATGTTAATCTCCTTTGGCAACACCCTCACAGACACACCCAGGAACAGTACTTTGCATCCTTCAATGCAATCAAGTTGACATTCGGTATTAACCATAACAAATAACAAAATCTGGTTTCTTGGAGTATGAACATTTACTGTTATAGTTTGCTGGACTTGCTTCATTTAGAAAATGTAAAACTAGGCTGGTCATGGTGGCTCATGCCTGTAAATCCAACACTTTGGGAGGCTGAGGCAGGAGGATCACTTGAGGCCAGGAGTTTGAGACAAGCCTGAACAACATAAGCAGACCTTTATAAAAAATTGCCAGGCATGGTGGTGCCTGCCTGCCATCCTAGCTACTCAGGAGGCTGAAGCCAGAGGATCGATGGAGCCCAGGAGCTCAAGTCTGCAGTGAGTTATGATTGTTTGCACCATTGCACTCCAGCATGAGTATTAGAGTGAGACCCTATCTCTTAAAAAAAAGGAATTATACTATTACCATGCAATAAATCACTGTAAGCAATTTGGTATATTTTTTTCAGACTTGTTTCCATATATTTCTTTTTATATAGTTGTAATCATTCCACACATGTAATATTGGCACTGTTCTTTAATATGAAATTATTAATAACTTTTATTTTACTACATGGTCTTCAGAACCATGGCTTTAATTATTATATAATAATTAATTATTATGATATATATTATATATCATATATATATCTATGATATAGATATATGATGATTTACCTCTTTATTCCCTTCTAACTGGACATTAGTTTCTTACTTTTTTACTATTAAAATGGCAGCATTTAGCATATTTAAGTATGTAGCTTTTTCATATTTAATATTTTTCCTTACACTTAGAAGTTTAGCTGAGGATTAAAGGGCACAGGCATGTTTATAGCATTTGGTAAACAACGCCAAATTATTTCCCAAATGGACACACAGACACACAGACACAGACACAGACACACACACACACACACACACACACACACACACGTATCTGTTTATGTGAGTGTATGATTTTGCTAAGAGAAAAAAATGCCTTGTTTTATTTTGTATTTCTCTGATTTCTTGTAGGTTTGAATATTTACCTAATTGCATCTCTCTGATGTTGTTCGCTTGTTCAGCTCTTTTGTGTTGGTCTGTTTCTAGGAAAATGATTCTTTTGTTTACAGTTAGTTTAAGATGGTTACACTAAAGTTAGATTATTTATTACTTTCTGATACTCCTCTGTCCCCACCAAAATATGGACTTCAGTCTAAAGATACGCTTTTGAAATGCAACATTTTATCAATGAGCTTTAAAAGGGCTTAATAATGTTTGTACTCAAACAGAATAAACCACCTGAAATACTTCCTTAAGAAAATCCCCAGAGGTCCTTAAGAAGAGAGAGATCTTCAAGAAGTAAAGCTTGAGATAATACACGAGCAGCTCAAACTACTTACAAAAAATAGTGGGGCAATCTTACATCATTTATTTAAAATAATTAGGTATTGATAGACATGAAAATCTAAATGCAAGATTCCTTAGCATCTCATACTTACCAGTTTCTTTTCCTTCCATGAAAACTGCACTTTCTTTCAAATGAAAGCACAGAGGGAGAAAATGGAAAGTCTGGGGGAACAGCCAATGACCGGTGAGTGTGTTGAAAGTTCTAGGATTTGCTGCCTCCTGTGTTTGACTCATCCATTACATACCTCTTGCCCTGGTGTATTAATCTGTCTGCAAGGAGCAGAAACCAATTCTAGCAAAAAAGCAGGGAAAAGAGAGAAAGGAGAAGATGTGTTGGTTGAGTATGGAGTTATCTCAGGACTCCAAGTTGAGGATGAAGCTTGGCCCCAGGGGGACAGTCAGGGATGGGGGTCCTCAGGAATGCCTCTTTTCTCTCAGTCTCTGTCTCCACTCCTCTCCCAATGCCAACTTTATTCTTTTGCTTAAGATCTTTCAGTCATGGATCCAAAATTCCTAGGAAAGGAGCTAATTGGCCTAGCTTAGCAGAGGAAGCTACCCACATCCCAGTTAACTACAGCTGTGAGGTCAGGAATTCCACAGTATGGAGACATGGTATTTCCTACTACACTTATTTGGGTGGTGTGTGAGTAGGTAGAGGCAGTTTCTAGAAAAAGGATGCTGAACAAAAAATTAAGCAGCATGCTTACTATGCTTGCTACCCTATTCTCCTTTGTACCAGCTACCTGCAACCTTAGCTCTGCTGGACCTCTTAAGGTGCTCTAACTTGTCCATTCCTCCAATAAGCTACATATTTGCACTTCAAACAACATGCACATGATATGCAATCTTCTTTTTGTACGTTTATGTTCATGTACAAACAACGTATTGTAAATGCCTATGTGTTTATCATATATGTGTATAGAGAGAAAGAAGTATTTCTTCAATTATGTTTATGAGAAGTTTCTAGGGAAAAAAGTAATGTTCTCTGGTCGGATAAGTTCTAGAAGCACTGAGCTAAACAAAGATATACAATTTCTTTATAGCATGACTTCTCAGGTTTAGTGGGCTAATGGGTACTACATATTCATGAGAGAGAGACCATTAGATTTTCCCTAAACTTATTTGAATATATGTATATATGTGAGTGTATGTATATATATTTTTTAATTTGAGGAATATTTGTAAATATATTGGTTATTATGTAGAATGCAATTTGGGAAATGTTGGCTTGGGTTTGAAGATAAGCATAAATTTCCCTTTGAAAAAGTAAGAGACAAGTAGATTGTATGCAAAAAGACATGAAAATGTGTTAGTATAAAAGCTCAGAGGGAGAGGCAAGTAGAAGAAATAAGCAACTTTGGAAAAAAAATTAGCCAGGGGACGACATGGGTTTTAGCCCTTCCATCTCCCACTGACTTTTCAAGACCTCCAGTAACCGATGGACTCTGCTTCCTCTAGTGTAAAATGTAAGATTAAGACATTTTCTTTTTGGAACACCAACTGTATTTTTCATGGTGTTTGTATTGATTTATGAAATACTGTGCCTCAGAATTTAGCACTCTTTGGAGTATGTTTCTATATAAGTTTAAGATCCAAATCTAGTTCAGAAACAGCAATAGGTCTAGCCACTCTCTTTAACTAAAATTATTGTATCATTATAACTGGTAACCAGATTGTCAACATTTTAATTTCTCTTTTCTTTTTTTTCCCTGTACCAGATTCTTCCTTCTAAATCAAAAGCAGTGTTATTTTTTTTTAAATTAAAGCTAACATTCCATGAGGCCAGCTGACAATGATGTATAGAACTTTTAGATATCTTTTTGTTTGTTTGTTTTTGAGACAGAGTCTCGCTCTGTCATCCAGGCTGGAGTGCAGTGGCGCGATCTTGGCTCACTGCAAGCTCCGCCTCTCAGGTTCACGCCATTCTCCTGCCTCGGCCTCCCGAGTAGCTGGGACTACAGGTGCCCACCACCATGCCTGGCTAATTTTTTTTTTTGTATTTTTAGTAGAGACGGGGTTTCACTCTGTTAGCCAGGATGGTCTTGATCTCCTGACCTCGTGATCTGCCCGCCTCGGCCTCCCAAAGTGCTGAGATTACAGGTGTGAGCCACGCACCCAGCCAGAACTTTTAGATACTTTATCATACCTTAAAAGAGTTTGACTAAGATTGTTTGGTGAGGACAAAACAATTATCCATCCAACCACCATTTATCATGCCCTTTCTGTGAGCCTGGCTCTGTTTTAGATGCTCAGGCTGTGACAGTGAACAAGACAAAGCCAAGCCCTGCCCCATGGGTCTTCCATTTGAGTGTGCGTGCGTGCATATGTGAGTGTATATGCATGCGTGTGCATGTGTGTATGTGGACTGAGTACAATAAATATATAACAATGTCAAATAGATAAGTGCTAAGAAGAAAAATAAAGCAGGCTAAAGGGATAAAGAATGATTGAAGGTGCTGTGTTAGAGAGGGTGGTCAGGGAAGTTCTCTTTGTTCAGATATCTCAGCAGACACTTGGACTAAGGGAGTGCTTCACGAAGCTTTGTAAAGGAAGAGAGTTCCATCTGGAAAGGCAAGTGCTAATGCCCTGGGGTGTTCATGTGCTGGGTGTGTTGCAGGAGCAACAGGGAGGCCATAGTGGCTGGTGTCCAGTGATGAAAGGGAAGGGAGAGATGGCAGAGGAGTCAGAGCTGTAGTGGGGGTGAGAGTGTGTGTGCGTGTGTGTGAGTGTGTGTGTGTGTACATGGAGGGGGAAGGGGACCAGACAACAAAAGGCCTTGTTGGCTATAGGAATAATTTTTTATTTTATTCTAAGTGTGATGGGATAAAATAACCAGAATACAAAACAGCAGGAACAACATCATCTACGTTCTTTTATTACTCTTTCATCTCAATCATTGTAGCCAAAAAATTCTTACGTGAAAGGAAATGAAACATTTGCACTATCTGGCAATCACTTTGAGAGAAGGGACACAAGGAAATAGCAGTACTGCATGTGGGAGAGCCATGATGAATAGGCCCTTTTTAAATGGGAAGGGCACCACTGCTGCTTTGGGGTTCATTTGTTGTCTATAAATATCACTGTTAATACAACCCATTAACTTGGTGACTGGGTGAAGAAAGGCAAGTAGCACCAGGTTGGAACTGCCTGCTGGTGAGTCAGAATGCTCTGTTCCTACTTGTACGCCTTAGGTGAATGGAAAGCTATTTGTAGGTAGAGGCATGCTGGCACAAGCTGGGAAGACGCATAAATCAAGTGACACTCAAGGCTTACTTGTGTCAGAAGCAGAGAGAGCTTTTACTGTACCCTCAGAAATCCACTTAAGATATAAAGAGATTAGGTCAGAGGAAGTAAACAGTCCTCTATCTTCCTTGTAATACACCTATTAGGTGGATTTCAAGCAGGTTGCTCTGGCCTGACTCCTGGGAACATCTTTTTTAATGGCATTTAGAAATGTAACAGATTTCAGGTGCCAGGGCCTGACAAAGTGGCTCCCCAGTTGCTCTGAACTTGGTAGCTTTAAATTCTAAGTCTGGCTTTATCCCCCGAGGACTCTACGCATGAGTGAGACCTATTATTTCCTCTCTTCTTTTTCACCATCTCAGGTGTTGGAACCGGAATAAACCTGCGTTCCAGTTCTAGCTCCAGAACTTGGTTGCCATGTGTCCTAATTAGCAAGTACATGATCTTTCCGTGCCTCAGTTTCCTCATTTATAAAATAGGGACAATAACACGTAGCTGTTGGGTGAGGATGTAAAGTGCCAGCGAAGAACCTGGCACTCAGAAAGCACTTGAGAAATGCAATATATCTTGGAGTGCAATCAAAAGGGATCTGAGCCTCCTGGAGCTATCACTTGATGATTAGTTGACTTGAGGGTCATTTTTACACATTGTTGGCATTCAAAAAATTGAAATTCAGCTATAAAATATATGTGGTCCCTATTTACGCTTCATCTAGATACTCTTCCACTCTTCCCTTTCCTACAATCCTGCCCAGTCACAGAAAGGGAGAGGAAGCAAGACTTAGTAACCACCTACTGCAGACAAGGCGTTTTACATTATCTTGTCTCACTTGATCTTCATAACATTTTTAAAACGTAAGTGTGTATTATTATCTTCACTTAATGATTAAGAAAATAGAGCTCTGAAAAGCAGAATTAAGAACCTAGCAACTGACAAAGTGGCCGAGATGGAGTATCAACCTAGGTCTGCTTGAATCCCAAACCTGAATTCCTTCCAGGACCCTGGGTGATCTACTGAGACCACACTACCATCAGCAAATAGAGTGCTGCACCAGAAGAATCTCCTGAACACAAAATAACAAGGGAAACTGGAGCCAGGTGAATTTTACCCTTCTGGCCTAGTCTCTGCATCTCACTGGACTATGTGAATAATTAATGTCCCCGAAATGGGGCCAGTCCTTTTGTGAATAGTTGAGTATAAATCTATCCTTAGGCAACATGAAGCAAGGATACTTCTGGCCTATTTTTAAAAATCAGCTCCCCTGCTTGACAACCAGTCCTAGGGTCTTATAGCCCTTATAGATGTCCTCATTTTGAGCCTCAGTCCCCATCATGGGGGGGCCACCATCACTCTTATAATAGCTCTACCCAGATGTGAAGACAGATCTTCAATCCCACCATAGGCTTCTCTTTTATGGAATGACTAACCTTTAGGTTCCTTTAGGTTTCTCATATGACCTATTTCCTTGGCCTTTTAATACTTTTCACAACTGTTTTCTGGACACTTTCCAAACTTTCTGCCACTTGCCGAAGTTACTGAGTCAAAAAGGAGACATGAATTCTAATAGAGCTCTGAGAAAAGCTGAATTTAAAGGACTTCCCCGGCCCACATCTCACATGCTTGCCTCCCGCTTCCACACCCCCGGGGTGTGCTCCGTGTCTATGCTGCAGCACTAAAGGATCAAGTCATTTTCCCCGTGGCAAAGAAATGCCAACTTTGAAAAAAAAAGCAAAAGACAAAAAACAATAAATTAGGAAGCCGGGGCTTCTGACAGTATCTGATAGAGCTACTGTTGCTACTATTGTAATGAACAATCCTAATATATACGCTTTTTAGTTCTAAGAAGGAACATACATAAAAATGAGTATGTTTTCCACTAGCATCAAGAGCTCACAAAGGATACCAAGGAAATGGATCAATTAAATGCCCCTTATTAATACTCTTGGCCTAAGAAAAGGAAAATCCTTAGTTAATAAACAACTGGGAAGATACTCATAGCAGGCAAGCAGATAAGATTAAAAAAATCTTTACAGCACAAACTGTTTCAAAGTTTTAAGTACCAAGATTTGGTCTGTCTTTATAACTTTTGGGGAATTTAAAAGGAATTACTTGGAATAAAGAAAGAAGCAGCTGTTGCTTTTAAAAATACTTGCTCACATATATCTAGCCACAGGAAAACATGTTCATAATTTGACGTTTGAAGTTTCAGTATTTGATTTGGTTAATTATTTTGAGAGTTATCATTTCATTAAATGTGTTTCAATTCAGTTTGAGGATTAGAAGAGCTTTCAGAATTCTTACATGTGATGTCTTTGTTGCATCTTTGATCAGTATTTTTTTTCCCTTGAAAATATATTTTCTGGTTTTAAAGAGTCAATGAAAAAAATGAATGATTCAGTTTGCAGAAATTTCGGATCTAACAAATCGATCAAAACAACCAGACAAATCTGGCTACAAATCCTGTCTCCCACACTGGCAAACAATGGTACGTTGAGAAAGTGATTTAACTCTCTGTGCCTTAAGTTTCTGTGATAACTAATATATATGCAGGTCTTAATATGGGCTTGGAATGTGATCACAGCTTAGAAAACATTTGTGTCCCTTACATCCTTGTCAACTTCTATTTGTTCAGTTAATTTGAATTCTAATCCAGTCCTTCAAAGTATTAGTTATCTCACCATTTTAACAATCTCATCATTGATAAAAGCATTTAAAATGTCATTTAAATTAACAAACCTTTTGAAAGTCCAACTGAAATGCTGCTTATAAAAGCAAATTATTTTCTGGCTTTTGTTTTTCTGACTTTACCTGGAAAAAGTCTTCATTATTTCTTCATGAACCTTACTAGCTTGTAACATTTCCACTCCTTGTAACGTTTAGGTGTGCCATATGTCTATGTTTTTTGTCACCCAGCATGCCATAATTTTCATCTGTGACATAAGCATTCCCCTATCACATGTGCACCCCTTGCTGCCCTGTGGTTCCAGGATAGTTATGGTTGTTTTTGATAAGAACTTCTATTTTCCTGACTTTATTTACCCATAACATTTTTTTCCTCTCATACAGCTTTTTTTCCTCCCTACAATTTTCTTTCTTTTTTTTTTTTTTTTTGAGACAGAGTCTCGCTCTGTCGCCCAGGCTGGAGTGCAGTGGCGCGATCTCGACTCACTGCAAGCTCTGCCTCCCAGGTTCATGCCATTCTCCTGCCTCAGCCTTCTGAGTAGCTGGGACTACAGGCGCCCGCCACCACGCCCGGCTAATTTTTTTTGTATTTTTAGTAGAGACGGGGTCTCACTGTGTTAGCCAGGGTGGTCTCGATCTCCTGACCTCGTGATCCGCCTGCCTCGTCCTCCCAAAGTGCTGGGATTACAGGCGTGAGCCACCACACCTGGCTCCAATTTTCTTAAGCCAACTTAAAAATTAGGAAACATTGGTATTAAGTTTCTGACTTAAAAAATTGGGGGAGTGGGCAAATAATACCAATTTTCAATTTTTCTCTACTAATGGGGAGAGACGAAAGTTACCACACTCTGTGGTAAACTCTTAGTTTGGTGACCCCCAATGAACCACAGCTGTTGGAGTTCTTACCCTTGTGTAGTCCCCTCCCACATGGACTCTGGGCTTGATCATGGAGCCATCTTTGGCCAATGGGACATTTGGCAAGTATGATGCAAGGAGAGGCCTGATAAGTGATTTCATATTGAGGCTTGTTTTCTTGGAATATTTGCTCTTGGGAACTTGTGGCCATCTTGTCAGAAAACCCAAACAGCCACATAGATGGATCTATGTGGAGGAGGAGAGAGGTCCCTGGCCAACAGTCCTAGTTGAGGTCCAGCTGACAATACAAGCTTGCCAGTCTTGCAAGGAAACAATCTTGAAAGTGCATCCTCCATCCTCAGTTGAGCTGCCTCAGCTGATACTATGTGGAACAGAGACAAACTGTCCCTGCTGAACCTTGACCAAACTGCAGAACTGTGAGCAAATAAATGATTGTTGTTATTTTAAGCCACTATGTTTTAGGATGGTTTGTATGTGGCTGTAGACAATGGAAGCATAAAATCACTCTCATTCCTGATCTTAAGTGCACAATCAAGAGAAACTGGCAGCAAATTGACAGTACTATGTTGATGCCAGATCAATATAATTCTCCCCCACCTAAGGCATAATTAGGTTGAGAACAAGGAGGGGTCTGAAGCTCAGATGAGCATCAAATGGCACTTTTCTAGTAGGAAAAGTTTTAATTATTTCATTCCTCCTTTTCTTCTTCCTCCTCCTCCTTCTCTCCCTTCCCTTTCTTCCTTTTTGACACATACTCATCAAGCACTTGCAGTCAAGAAGACAAACGCTAGCTCTGACAGAGCTTGTTTATCTTCCTACCATTGTTATTCTTTACCAGATGTCATAATCTGTGATAGATTGAAGTGTGACTTCCTCTCTTGTCCATTACACAATGCTAAATTGTTGAAAAATGACCAAAAGATGGTTAGCCAAGTAGGAGGAACAACTGGGACATTAGCTCATCTTCAAAGAATGACTGATACAGATGAAAGAAGAGATGAGATTATATGTGCTGCATTCATACTTACCTGGTTAATTCTTCCCAACACATATTATCTAAGGGTAGAAGAGCTCTGCACCCTTTTTTTCTTTAGTGGGTGGTGTGTCTCTCAACAGGTGTCAAAACTCCAGACTTTCCTGTAGAATGTTTCCTGGCTCCCCCTTGCTGGAGGGCATGGTTCTTTTCAGCACTCATCAGATTTATGAAGCCTCTGCATGTGCTGCATCCTCCTCGCTGTGTGAAAGAGACCGTAGATTTTAGAAACTGGGGCTAAGTCTGTTTCTCCCTGCTAAGGAAAAAATCAAATGGGCAGTAGGCTTCTGGTTCCTCTTATGCTAGCAGCTGACAAGAAGACAAGTTTCAGAAATCCTGCAAAGGAAGGAAAAAGTGGAGGAGATTTGTTGTAATATACTTTGTTTACTCCAAAGCAGAGGAATCACTGGTCATTTCATCAGGCAATTGAAGATGAGATGTTTTCCTTTTTAATCTGTAGAGAGATAGTGCAATGTAATAGTTGTAAGAATAGGCACTGGGGTCAGACTGCTTTGGTTCTTAGTGATCTTCTGCATTTACTAATCCAATGACCTTAGTCAAGTTGTTTAATATCACTTGATTGTCCAGATTTATAAAATGAAGAAAATAATAGGAACCACCTTAGGAATTATTGGAAAGAGCAAATGTGCATAATAAATGAGCAATAAATATTAACTATTAGTTTTAGCTAGTCTGTCTTCAGAAACTTAGCATTTTCCTTCCACTCATTGAATGTATTCTTAATTCTGCAAAACAGGAAGGATTATTTTAACTATTCTATGGACAAGCTGTTTTGGACGTATTCTATTTTAGTTTTCTCACAAGAAATGTAGCTGCAAATTTGAAACCTCTAGCTTCAGAAAAACTTTATTTAATCTAAAAATATTATAAAGCTCTATCTCATGAGCCTTTTCATTTGTAAGCATTTAAATAATCTGTGTAGTCAAGATTTTAAAGTAATACATATCCCTCACAACTCATTACAGTATATAATGTAATACTGTATACAGTATATAAGTAAGATTTGTGAAGTAGCTTTAAGTCATCTCTGCCTGTGGAAAGTTTTTGATCACGTATTCTTTTTGAAAAAGACCATTCACTATGGAGAATTAGGACCCTATTATATGTTCAATCTTCAAAGAAGTTCTATGTTAGGACTTTTATTGTCAGGTCAGCCAAGTTCATCCATATGCACACGCTTTTATTCAATAGAACTTCACAAATACTACATTTCCTTTTTCTTTCTTTTTTTTTCTTGTAGTGAGAACATTGAACATGAGATCTAGCCTCCTAACAAAGTTTTAAGTCTACAATACAGTACTGTTAACTAAAGGCACAATGTTGTACAGCAGCTCTCTAGAACCTGCTCATCTTGCATCACTGAAACCTTATACCCGTTGAATAGCAACTCCCCATTTTCCCCTCCCTTCAATCCCTGGCAACCAACATTCTACCCTCTGCTTTCGTCAGCTTGTCTGTTGTCTTAGTTCAGTTTCTGTTACTTAGAATACCTGAAACTGGGTAATTCATAAAGGAAAGGAATGTATTTCTTATAGTTACACAGGCCAAGAAGTCCAAGGTCAAGGGGCTACATCTGGTGAGGGCCTTCTTGCTGGCAAGGACTCTTCTGCAGAGGTAGTGCAGGGTATTACATGGTGAGGGGGCTGAGTGTGCTAGCTCAGGCCTCTCTTCTTATAAAGCCACCAGTCCCACCCCCATGATAACCTATTAATACGTGAATGAATTAATACATTCATAAGGGCAGGGCCCTCATGACTCAGTCACCTCTTAAGGAATCAATCTCTCAATATTGCTGTATTGGGGATTAAGTTTCAACATGAGTTTTGAAGGGAACAAATAATCGGACCATAGCAGTTCTTTTAAATATCAAGTGTAAGTTAAATTATACAGTATTTCACTTAGCATAATGTTTCTCTAGGTTCATCTATGTTGTTGCATATTGCAGGAGTTCATTCTTTTTAAAGGCTGAATAATATTCCATAATATATATATATATACCACATTTTCTTTATCCATTCATCTATCAGTGGACACCTGTGTTGCTTCCACCTTTTGGCTACTGTGAATAATGCTGCAAGGAACGTGGGAGTACAAATATCTCTTTGAGATCCTACTTTCAATTCTTTTGGGTATATACCCAGAAGTGGGATTGCTAAAACATATGGTAGTTCTATTTTCAATTTTTTAAGGACCCTTCTTTCTGCTTTCCCTAGTGGTTGTACCATTTACACTCCTACCAACAATGCAGAAGAATTCCAGTTTCTTTACATTCTCACCAGCGTGTGTTATCTTCTTTTCTCTAATAGACATCCTAACACTCTAATGAGGTGATGTCTCATTGCGGTTTTGATTTCCATATCCCTCATGATTAATGATGTTGAGCATCTTTTGTTTGCTTGTTTGTTTTTTGAGATGGAGTCTTGCTCTTGTTGCCCAGGCTGGAGTGCAGTGGCACGATCTTGGCTCACTGCAACCTCCACCTCGCAGATTCTAGTGATTCTCTTGCTTCAGCCTCCTGAGTAAATGGGACTACAGATGTCTGCCACCACGCCCGGCTAATTTTTGTATTTTTAGTAGAGATGGGGTTTCACCATGTTGGCCAGCCTGGTCTCGAACTCCTGACCTCAGGTGATCCACCCGCCTCGGCCTCCCAAAGTGCTGGGATTACAGGCATGAGCCACTGCGCCCAGTCAAGCATCTTTTTATATAACTGTTGACCATTTGCATGTCTTCTTTGGAGAATGTCTATTCAAGTCTTTTGCCCATTTTTAGTAGGGTTATTTGTTATTATTTTATTTTATTTTTTGCTATTCAGTTGTAGAAATTCCTTATACACTTTGGATATTACAGTAATCCCTTATCAGATATATGGTTTGCAAATATTTTCTCCTATTCTGTAGTTTGTCTTTTCATTCTGTTTCATTTGCTACGTGAAAGCTTTCCTTGCCTCTCCTTTCCTATTCCCTCTCTTCCTTCCTTTTCTCCTTTTCCTCCTCCTCCTTTTCACTCTTTCTCTCACTATTTCTCTCTCTCTCACTGAGACTTGCATCATTTTCCTCCTGATATACTTGAGACTGCTGAGTTAGGTTTTGTGTGTGTGACCTAGAACAAGTGGCAATGAAAGACATCTAGGTAATCTATAAACTTTACCTTGTGAAATGGGAGCTTGTCCCCTTCTACTCTCCATTCAAACAATGTTGTAAGGGCTGGGGTGGAACTTTCTGAGTGTCTTCCATCCCCCTTTCTTTTGGTCATTGATGTTATGGCCCGTCATTGATCTGGTTTACTTGGTTAACTTAGTCGATCATAAAACTGTTTGGAAGGCCTCATGCCCATTAGGATGGCTAGCCTAAAAACATAAAATAACAAGTGTTGGCAAGGATGTGAAAAAATTGGAACCCTTGTGTACCGTTTATTGGTAGGATTGTAAAATGATGTAACTGCTATGGAAAACACTATGGTGAGTCCTCAAAAAATTAAAGGTAGAAATACTGTATGATCCACCAATTAACCTTTTGGGTATATACCCAAAAGAGTTGAAAGCAGGGTCTCAAAGAGATGTTTGTACACCCATATTCATAGCAGCATTTTTCACAGTAGCCAAAACGTGGATGCAACCCAAGCGTCCATTGAGGGATGAGTGAGTAAACAATATGTGGCATCTACATATGATGAAATATTATTCACCCTCAAAACAAAGGTAATTCTGACATATGCTACAACATGGATGAAGCTTGAAGACATTATGCTCTGCGAAATAAGCCAGCCACAAAAGAACACATATTATATGATTCTCTTTATATGAAATGTCTAGAGTAGTGAAATTTATAAAGACAGAAAATAGAATGGTGGTTTCCAGGGCCTGGGGAAAGATGGGACTGGGGAGTTATTGTTTAATGGAGGCAGAATTTCAGTTTGGGAAGATGAAAAGATTCTGGAGATGGATAGTGGTAGTGGCCGTATAACAATAGGAATGTACTTAGTACCACTGAACTGTAGGCCTAAAAATGGTTAAGATGGTAAATTTTATGCTACGTGTATTTTACCCCAATACAATTTTTAAAAAGATAAAAAATAATAAAACTGTTTGAAAGTCTTGCTTTGTTTCTTGCTGGTTGGAAAAATCCTTGTTATAATCCTAGCACCCAAGTTTTGTAATATTGTTTTAGGCCCAGCTATTGAAATTGGTTTTCTTGAGCATTTTTAAGAGAGAATTAAGGTAAGGACTAGACCCACTTAATTTTATTCAAATAAGGAAGTGGAAGAGACATGGGTGTCTACTTCTAGATACCAATAAAACTTTAGAATAAGTTGGCCCTAAGTAAAGCTTTGTTGTGTCTCTGTCTTGGAGATATAAAAATGAATCTAGAAAAGCAAATGACACCAGATGTTTCTCTCAAATTGGTTGGTATCAAACACCATAGATTTACCTCAGAATGTGGACTCATTCTGAGAGCTGAGAGCTAAATGTGAAGCACCTTAGATATACATGCACACACACACACACGAACACACACATGCACACACATGCATGCACACACACACACACACGAGACCCACACACTATGTAATTAGAAAACTGTGTTCCATTTTATAACCATAACCAGTCTTCATCAGCTATTTGCACATCAGAACCACTCAGTGGAGATTTGCCTGTTCGGTGCCTGATCTTGATGTTTTCTAGTCCTAATATTTCCAGCAATGGGCCAAGTGGAGGTGCCAGATAATAGCAGAATCAGAACTTCAAATACCTGTTTTGACCAGAGATACCTAAAAGGCACAAATCCTTCTGTTTCTTCATAGGTCTGCTCAGAGGGCTGTGCCCAAGCAGTCAGTGAGGCTCCTGGGATGTTTCTGGCTTCCCATACATGAGAGGCGTCCTGATACTAGCAATGAACCGAGTCCTGGAGTCTGGAAAAGCACTTTATATCCTCAGTGATCAGGTGAGAAATGGCCAATTGATGGTGCTGGAAGGTGAAAATGTTTAATTATTTCCATGACGGTTTATATCAATATTTAACAGAAATATGCCATGGCTCATTCGATGTGAAGTGCATGGTAAAATGATGGATTTTTTTTTTCTTTTTAACTATCTAATAGTCTATGAATTTCCCCCCAGGAAAGAACTGTCCAGCCTAGCACTTAGCACAGTGTCTTGGCAGCAAGTAAGCACAGAGCTGATTGCTTGAAGGAATGCATGCTCTGTCCAAAGCCTCATCAATTATCACCTAATAAATGTAATAATTTTTGTGATGAAGACTCTTAAGTTCTGATGTTGGCAGAGAATATATTTCTAGAGTAAATCTCAGGATATTCCTTCAGAGTAACGTGAGGTCCAACCCATCTATGCTTTTCTGCTCTCCTGGCATCCAGTGAGATGTTCCCCTGGGGTGTGGAAATCTAGGTTTCCTGGA
The DNA here is from genome assembly GCF_000001405.40 of Homo sapiens. Taxonomy (NCBI): domain Eukaryota; kingdom Metazoa; phylum Chordata; class Mammalia; order Primates; family Hominidae; genus Homo; species Homo sapiens. The sequence goes on from NC_000014.9 coordinate 51,392,779, forward strand.
TATGGGAAGGTTTGGAGGGGACACTGCAAGGAAGATCATTGGAGAAGGGTGGAAGGGGCCACTCCAGAGGCCTGAGATCATGGCTAAGGGTGGTCCTGGAAAATGTTCCTCTTATCAATCATGGTAGCTATTACAGGGATGGATATTTGGTGGAAGAAAAAGAAAGCGAGTGAAGAAACTTGTGTTTACCTCTTCTATGTGACTCAGAAGTTGATCCATAATTGACATCTGCGAAAAAGAGAAGCAAAGCACCTCCTCCTTTCAGGACCACCTTGAGAAAAAAAAAAAAGAGGTGTTTTTAGCTTCCTCTTCACCTTTTGTCTTTTGTATATAGTCTAGCCTTTTCATTGTATAGATGAGGAAACTGAGGATCAGGATGGCAAAGTGACTTCTCAAAATTATCTAATCAGTGCAGGGCTGGAGCTAAAATCCAGGGCTCCCAACTCTGCAGACCAGCATTGTTTTTATGACTTTCCCCTCTGTCTTCTACCTAGTCCTCTTTTCTCAGAGCCTCCTCTCCTAGCCCCTCACTATTATCATAACTACAATTTATGGAGTGCTCACTACGTCTTAGGCACTGTACACTTTCCATGTATTTTGTTTAATCCTAGCAGCTTTATAAGGTCGATATTATGATAATCCCCACATCATGGATGAGCCTGTTGAGGTTTAGTAGCTTACCTGGGGTTCCATCACTGGTGGTGATTCATGAATGAGCCTGTCGAGGTTTAGTAGCTTACTTCGGGTTCCATCACTGGTGGTGATTCCAAAGCCCATGGCCCAGCATTCCCACAGAAGACTTGATTTGTTTGTAGTCTCTATTCCTCAAGACTAGGAAAGTTACAGGGCTCATTTTTTTTCCCTACTATCAATAATTCATGTTCAAGTGTAAATAGCCTGTGAATTATTTTGCTAGGGCTGCCATAGCAAGGTACCACAGACTGGGCAGCTTAAATAACATAAATTTATTTTCTAATAATCCTGGAGGCTAGAAGTCTAAGATCAAGGAGTCCCCAGGATTGTTCTCCTCCAAGGCTCCTGTCCTTGCTTTGTGGATGGCTGTCTTCTTCCAGTGTCTTCACACGGTCTTCCCTGTGAACAGGTCTGTGTCTCAATTTCCTCTTATAAGGAGACCCATCATATTGGATTAGGGCCCATCCCAGTGACCTCATTTTAACCTAATTACCTCTATAAAGACCCTGTCTCCAGATACAGTCACATTCGGAGCTACTGGGGGTTAGGACTTCCATGAATTTTAGGGGGACACAATTCAGTCTACAACAGCCTGATATGTTGCCCCTGGCAAGAGTATTTTTATTTTGAAAGAAGTTTCTTAGGTACAAAAACGCATAAGTCCAAAGGAATAACCTACAGTAGGTGTTCCAAACACCAGACTAATGTAGTACGTACTCTGTTAAAGGGAGGTGGGAAGAATACAGGTTTTACCTTTACTTTCTACAATATTGGCCAATTCTGACTCTCAGATCATATGTGTGAATTCTCAGGTCATTTTCAGAGGCTTGGATTATAGGAAGAAAACAAACTGGTGGTGCCTATTCATCAAACCTCCGTTGACACCTCACATTTCTAATAGTCATCCCTTTTGGAAAAATCTGTAATTCTCACGATTTAATGTAATTAACAGCTATTTTCAAATTTCAGAGGTGCCTTGGGTGAATTCCCAGGGTCAATGAATGACACAGCCCCAGAGCCATTTATTGTTAGCTTGGGAGCTATTTGCTTGGCGTGCAAATAATTCCCTGGCTCCTGACTGAAGAGAGGCCAATTTCTCTTTCTCAGGAAGGCCCTCAAGTTCTGTTTATAAATCCTCTTTTGTCATAAAATCCAGACACAGAGAGCCTGCTGTTGCACTCTGGCTACTTCCTGTAGTGAAGTAAAATCAGGGATAGGATGCAGGGACAGTTGATGCAACTGGACGTCTAAGCCCTGCCCACCTAGGACCCCCGGAATCAGGAGTCAATAAGGAAATGAGGAAGAGGCACTGCAGGCTGCAGAGGATGGGACCTCCTGGGATCCTCCTTTCCTGAGGGACATGGGGCTTACACAGGGGCTCTATTGTTCATAAAAAGATGAGGTGCCAGACTCCTGTCCTGAGAAAGAGGAGAAGCCTCTCCCCCTCCCTTGCTTCCTGTACTCTCCCTCTTCTCTAGTCACCTTGGCATTTGAACTTGTTGTTCAGGTCAAGCAAGTTGGTGCAGATGGCAGATTATTTTATCTGACATGTCCAACCTGTGTCAAAAACGTGTCTGTTTGGTCACATAAATGCTGCCTGATGTTGCCCTTCCCCTCATCCCCACCTCCTACTGTTCCCAAAGCCCTGGCTTTATTTTCTCTTGAAGAATAGCTGGATCAAAGTTATTACCTCTGATTTAAACCCATCCATAGGATGGCAAAACACTAAAAATGAAATCCCAACTCTTCTGCTAATTTGCCATGACCTGTGTGAGTAGTCTGACCTCGCTAAGCCTTAATATTCTTCCCTTTGTAAAATCATCTCTGAGTTCCCTTCTGACTCTCTGTGACTCTAATAAGAAAGGAACAAAAAATCTCACTACTGCCCAGCAAGCTGAAGGGCTTGTGAGAGCGAGCCACGCTGTCTTTGACTCTGAGGGGCACTGCTGGGCTGCCTCCTTCCACCTCTTAGGGTGGGTGAGGAGGCAGAGGCACTGCATGCCATGTGCTCCCAGCCTCCCTCCCAGAGAATCCCCTGTGGGACAAGTCTGGGCTTCACCCTGAGTGCTCCTGAAAGCAGGTCAGAGCCTGAGAGTGCAGGCGGGTGCGAGGGAGGGGAGGCTCCACACATTTGTTTTTGATCCTCAGAACACGCCAGATGGACTTAGGATAACTTGGGATCTGTAAGTGAACATTCTTGTCAGGAGGCCAAAAAGGACAGCGCCAGGCCCTTCTGGGCTACATTGTGCCTAAGGGTGATGCTCCCTCTCCCAGGCTCGGAGGCCGAGGGCCTGCTCTTTGTTGCGAGGGGAGGCAGCTGTGGTGCAGAAAGCTACAGTGTTTGTATTTCCTACTTTTGTTTCTAGCTCTTAGGCACCTTGGCTAGCAAAGAATCCATCCAATCTCCCCTTCCTTCTTTCCCTTCCTTCCTGCCTTTTCTCTTTCTCTCTTCCAAAAAGGCATGTATTTTCTCTTTTCAAAGCCATAACAAAAAGGGATTTATTTTCTCTTTTCAAAGCCGTAACAAAAATGTTTATTGTTGTTTCTAAATAAAAGGGTGAAACCACAGTGAAAAAATGTAGTTCCTGCTTCATATAACATCCTTTCTCCAAAATAGTGATCTGTCTCACACTCCAAGACCCAGTAACTTTTGTTAGGTCGTCAACAACTGTTTAATACACATTATTCAGAAAGCCTGGGAAGATAAAGATTTTCATGTTATAGATTTTCCCATATACTTGAGAAATACATTCCACGGCCTAGAAATTTGTTAAGCATGTATGTGCAGTCACAAATGTACTACTAGTTTGTAAATAACACGAATATTTGTTCATGGAGGTGGAAGGGATATTTCACATGATTCATAACCATCTGGTTATAGAGCAGGAAATGAGGTGTTTGGCAAATATTCTGGGTTTTTTTTTTTTGCCAGCGAATTATTTTTTTCCCCAAAGAAGTTAAACATGTGCTCCATGGCCTACGACCTGCAAGAGGTCTTGTACTGTTTATCGTGATAATCTGTGGGCTCCTGGTGCCTGTGCTGCCACGGAGCTGTACAGCCACGGAACGCAGCTGCCTGAAGTTAATGATTCAGGAGTCACCATCTGTGCTGAGTTCTGTCTCTTTGGCACATACCACACAGACACGTCCAGAGGTGAAGGCAGTACTTACACTCACAGATTAACATTCCTGCTCATCGGAACAACTTTCCAAGGAGAAGGCCCAGTTTTCTGAATATTAAAACTTTAGGTGAGTCATTAGAATCTCATGTTTGGGGAGTCTGTAGGCCAAATTAGTCAGCCAGACAGTGTGACAAGCTGGACATGAATATATGTAACTGGACGAGCTACAGGGGCCTTACTAATCAATTAGCCAGAACAACCTCCTTTTTTATATGTGGATCCAATTTTCCAGTTCAGTTTTGCAGAAGGGGCTATTCTGTATCCCTGTGGTTAGGGCTAAATGTTAAGGCACACCATGCGAGGGGCAGGGAGGATTTATCCCTTGCTATAAGTGTTCTTAACTTACCCTGTGTGAATTCTCTCCTAGAAGTGGGTAGGTTGGGGTCCTGGAGACCTGGGCAGGGAAGATCTGTTCCTTGAGTTTGGTCAGTGAGGAGCAGAGAAGGATCTCAGAGGTGGTATCTGATCTGCAAGAGGAGACTGGAACATAGATCCACGCTGCCTGCCTAGTGAGCTGTCATCATAGAAGACTTGGGCAGAGAGGCTGAGTCTATATATATACATCAGGAAGGAAACTGAGGCAGAAAGAGAGCATTCCAAACAGAGGCCAGGACGCATGCCCAGTCTGGAGGGAGTGCTCCTTCACAGGGCACAGCTGCAAGCCCTTTACATAAGGTATTTGTGGCTTCTGCCATAGGTGGAGAAGAAAAGGTTAAGATCAATAAGTTTGCTCAGACACCTTCCCTTTGACACCACACTATGGTAGGCAGGTACATACCTAGAGCTTGAGACAAGAGATGTGAAGTTTTCAGAGATTTGGAAACACTTGCAAAGTATATGTGTGTGTGAGTAGCAAAGATGATTTGTGGGAGAGAAAAACAACTTTTACCTACTAATCTTTTTTGCTTTTCTTCAAAAGTTAGGGGCATAAGTGTGTTGTACTTTGTACCTGCTTTGTTAATAAATTGGTTGTGTTTGATACAAAGGTTGAACACCTGTAATCTCAAACTCCAAAATCTAAAATCCTCCAAAATCTGAATGTTTTGAGCACTGACATCGCGCCACATGTAGAAAATTCCACACCTCACCTCGTGTGATGAGTTGCGGTCAAAACACAGTCAAAAGTTTGTTTCGTGCTTAAGATTATTTAAAATATTGTATAAAATTATCTTTAGGCAATGTTTATAAGGTGTATATGAAACATAAATGAATTTTTTGTTCAGACTTAGGTCCCATCCCTGATATATCTCAAGGTATATAGTCAAATATTCGAAAACCCAAAAGTATCCAAAATCTGAAACACTTCTGGTCCCAAGCATTTCAGATAACGGGTATTCAACTTGAATTTAAAAGTGTGAAGTCCTTGAAAAAAAGTTTAGAAACATAGACAACAATTTTTTTGGTCTCTAGAACCAAAAGGGGGAAATGTCTTAGGAGAAAGTTGTTATACATATTTACTTGGATATACAAAAAAATTATAAAAGTGAAGATTTTCCTCTCAGCATTAGAGCTGGTTAAGTGCATATTTTGAAACTAGTCATTTAATGCTTTGGTCTATTTCCTTGCTTCTGACATAGAGATATTGGTACTTAGGTTTAAATTACAAGGGCCGTTCTGAGAATCACTGCACCTCCCCACCCACGATCCCCTCCCGTGAACACATAGAGGAGGCTGTATTCATTTCGGTGCACATGTTCCCAAGGTAGAAGTCATGGTCTTCAGACAAGGCAAAGCCAATTTTCTTTAGCTCTATTCTTGGTGGTAAAATGCTCTTAGCAACTTACTCAAGAACAATAGCTATGCAATTTTTCAAAGAACTTTCTCTCATCATCTATATAAGAAAAATATGTCATTGTCACAAACAATGTTAATTAAATAGCCAATATTTATAAGCTGAGCAAATTGCATTTTTTTTTTGCATATTTCACCATCTCACTAGAAATTCTTAGATTATGAAAAGTACACTAATAAGAAGTCTCTAACAACCAGGCTTTTGGAACAAAGAAATAATGATAAACCTAATTTCCTACTTTCATTCAAAAAATTACACCCTGATATGCTAATAATCCTCTCTGAAGACAGCAGGTAAACTAGAAAATTGGGAAAAAGAGTCTCAACCAGGGACAATAGATTCCATAATTTTTTCACTGGTCTCCAGGTTTTCCCGACTCCAAATTATCCTATCCACCATCACCAAAGAGAGTGCCCCAAACCTAGATCTGCTCACTCCTTGGCTCAAAACATGTCAGCAGATTGCCAGTGTGTACAGAATAAAGCCCAACCTCCCTGGAATGGCCTCTAAGTCTCTCCAGGATCGGGCCCTAGCCTGATGCTCCAGTTCTGTTTCCCACACACTTACTGTCCCCACCCCACATCGGCACACCCTAAACTCAGCAAACTGCTCACTGCTCCTAGCCAAGCCCTTTTCCTGTGTGTCTACCATTGCTCATGAGCTTTCTTCTGTTGATACCCTGGCCCCAGCTCTGCTCTTGGAAACCTTACCCTTTCGTCATTCCCTGAGTCAGAATTTACCACTCCCTCTTCTGCCTTCCTTAAACATTGCATTCAGCAGGTCTTCCTTCTCCTCCCCGTCTATCTTTATGCATGTCTCACACTTGTCTGCCAGGCTACTGCATTAAGGGACTATTTGTAGTTAATGGTTCACCCATCACAGTTACTTGAAAATATTAAGGGCTCAATAAATATTAAATCTACTACTTTCCTCTCTAGTAGACATTAGCCACCATCTGAATGTGCCCCATTTTTCGGTAGATACATGAGTGCCTAGTAAAACCTCATTAATCTAGATTAAATTTGGGATATATCATCTGAGTTAGAAAAATATCTGACTATTAGAATATTGTTTCCAAAATATAACTTTATTACTTTTGAGTGCCTGCAGTTATGAGAATTAGGCTGAAAAGTGTTGTTCTTCATTGAATTGATGGATTTGAAATTATTATATCACAATAGGCTTAGCAGTACCTCCTCTGTGCTTCAAATTTAGTTAAATTATTGATACATAAGTGGGTGCTTCCAAAGTGTTTCTCTCTATCTAAGAGAGCTGTTTTCTCAGTATTTTTATTCTGGTTATATTTATATTATTGATTGACTCTCATAGAATAAACTTTAGACCAGCTCTTGTCAAAAGTAGTGAAATCATTGAATTGACTTAAGTAGAAATAAGAGGTTTTGTTAGATAAGGCAAATACAGGCGAATAAGAAAGTGAGAATTTTTGAATTTATTTTTTCTTTTATGCTTCAATGTGCAGAGAATGTTGTTTTTTTTTTTAGTTAGCAAATATTCCTTTTTTAAAAAAAGTTTTATTTTTAATTGGCAAAAAATAATTGTATATATATATGGGCACAATGGAATGTTTCAATACATGCATACATTGTGGAATGATCAAATCAGGCTAATAAACACAGTCATCATCTCAAATATCTATCATTTCTTTGTGGTAAGAACATTTAAAGTCCTCTCTTTTAGCTATTTTGAATGTAAAATGTATTATTATTAACTTTAGTCACCATGCCATGCAATAAGTCACCAGAACGTATTCCTTCTGTTTCTGTCTAACTGAAACTGGTGCCCTTTGACCAATGTCTTTCCTTCCCCATCTACCGCTCTACTCCCAGCCTCTGGGAACCATTCTACTCTCTACTTCTACTTTTTTTAGATTCCACATGCAAGTGAGGTCATATGGTAACTGTTTCTCCATGCCTGGCTTATTTCACTTGGCATAATGTCCTCTAGGTTCATTCATGTTCATACAAATCACAGAGTCTCCTGCATCATTACTATTTTCTCCCCTAATATTTTACTCTTGTCCATTATCACCTAATTAATCAGTATTTTTATTTTTTGGCAACTCAACTTTATCCAGTCTTTCTAAAAATTTCAATCTGTTTTTTGGAGAAATAAAAATCTCTCTTTTGTAATTCCATTGGTGTATATACTATTTAATAAAATTATATAATTACAATAAAAAACTATAACAGCATAAACAGGTTTGGGAACAAACACACCTGATTCTTGGTGAGCATGGAACTCAACTACTGGGAATAAACATGTGTGGGTTAATGAAAGACAGCCTACAGGCTGTGAGCACTCAGCATGCTGGGGCATTAGACAAAAGTTTATTATGTAAAGAATGGAGAGTTATGGCTAATCCAGAGGGCTATTTAGGTTTTAAAGAGCCCTTCTACTACACAGTAATTTATTTAGCCAATTTCCTAGGTTGAACATCTTAACAGTTTTTCTCCCACTCACTGTTGAAAGTAATGCAGCATTAAATATCTATGCAGATAATTCTTCAGCCACTTCCATAATTATTCCTAGAATTGGAACTACTGGGTAAAATTATATACATTTTGAAGACTTTAAATAGCACTTTCAAATTTTTCTTCAGAAAGGTTTTCCTGAATTTTTAAGTATTTTAAAACACAATTTAAAATAATGAGAAACCTTTTAATAGGCAGTCTAATTAAGCAACCAACTCCATTTTTCTGCATGTGGTAGGAATTTAAGTCTGATCCCTTTATCCTAAAACAATGACTTCACCTCTTCCAAGACATGGCAGAAAAACACCTTCCTTTTGTTTTCTGTGGCAATAGCAACAGTTCCATGGATGGAATTTATTTTTCATCCAGTAATTCAACCCATTTTGTTTTAGGATGTGGCTAGGAAAAACTGAGCCAAATATGCAAGATTAAGGCAACTTGATTTTTATGCTGTGTGTACAGTTCTGCTTTGGGTTTGGCGGACACAAACAGTTTCCATGGTTTGGGAGTTTTTGTTGTAGCAACAAGTTCCTTGGGCAGCAGTCTGAAATGCAAGGTCCCTCTGCAAGGAACATTTTGAACTCTGAGAGTAAAAGGATCAGATCAGGTGATATCTTGGATGGGTTCTCTGGAATGCCCATCCTAACCCAAGCTCAGGCCAAAAGTAAAACAGTCTTCAATTTCTCTGAAGACTTTTTCCATTGTTTGGAACTTCCCCGTAGGAGTATTCAACTTGCTAATGTCAACAGGGCTCGAATGGGACGCTGACAGAGGCACGTGACTGAGACTAATATGAAATCACTATACTGTGATGAATTTAAAGAAACTGCTCTTCCCTGACCTCCTACCCATGTATTTGGGAAGAACAGGGGGTGCCCAAGACAGCCAGACTTGTTCATCCCAAGAGTGTCTGTCAGGGGAGATCATGGCACATGAGGATTGAGAATAGATGTTGGAAAACAGGCCGTGGAGGGAGTGCTGAAGATAAGGTTGAAACACTTGGCCCAGCCAGGCCTCCTATCACAAGAGCTGGACAAACAGCCAGAGCCAAGGAACTGGGCCAAAACGAGGGAATCTGAGTAACCAGGAAAGCTGGTAGGCCAGTAATATGAGGTCTGGGCAAATTCAGTGGAGACTAGATAACACTGTCCCTGGGATTTTTGATATACTATTGGCAGATATCTGTGTGGATAAATTCTGTTCATATAAAAAGGCTGGGATAAAAAGAATCATTATGGCCTTGAAGAGAATGCCTGCAAATGGCAGTAGGAAGGTTGGGGAGTTTATTTGAACTCCAGGTTTTAAAAGAGATGTGAGAGAACAAGAAGGTCAGAGAGACTATCTCTGGCCAGGCAGCTATTTCACAAACCTTTATTATATGGTTTGGCTCTGTGTCCCCACCCAAATCTCATTCCCACGTGTTGTAGAGAGACCCAGTGGGAGATGATTGAATCATGGGGGAGGGTCTTTCCCTTGCTGTTCTCATGATAGTGAGTGGGCCTCACAAGATCTGAAGGTTTTAAAAACGGGAGTTTCCCTGCAAAAGCCCTCTCTTTGCCTGCTGCCATCCACGTAAGATATGACTTGCTCCTCCTTGCCTTCTGCTATGATTGTGAGGCTTCCCCAGCCATGTGGAACTGTAAGTCCATTAAACCTCTTTCTTTTGTAAATTGCCCAGTCTTGGGTATATCTTTTTTTCTTTTCTTTTTTTTTTTTTTTGAGACGGAGTCTCACTCTGTCACCCAGGCTGGAGTGCGGTGGCATGATCTCGGCTCACTGCAAGCTCTGCCACCCGGGTTCACGCCATTCTCCTGCCTCAGCCTCTTGAGTAGCTGGGACTACAGGTGCCCACCACCATGCCCAGCTAATTTTTTGTATTTTTAGTAGAGATGGGGTTTCACCCTGTTAGCCAGGATGGTCTCGATCTCCTAACCTCATGATTCGTCCACCTCAGCCTCCCAAAGTGCTGGGATTACAGGCGTGAGCCACCGCGCCCAGCTAGGGTATATCTTTATCAGCAGTGTGAATACAGACTAATACACCATAGGTAGGGGACGCAGGAAGGTTCCCAGAATCCCTCTTCAATCTCTCTCCCAAATGCTTACGAAGGCTTGAAATTCTCCGGTAGAAATTCACTGTTTTGGAAAGTATATGATGCTTGATGGTATTTTCAAAATAAAAGATAAAAGTAGATATATAAACATGTGTAAGATAAAACAAATAAAAATACCATCTACCTGGTTTAAGAAAAATAGTTCATCCTTTAAGTCCTCTGTAGGACTCTGTGGGCTCTTCCTCTTTCAGAGAAAATTGTTATCCTGATTTTTGTGTCAATCATTGCCTTGCCTTTCTTTAAGATTTTACCTTTTACATTTATTGACCTATAAAACATATTGTTTAGTTTTACCTGTATTTGAACTTTGTACAAATAGAATCAGACTATATTCTGCAACTTTTATTTTATTTTATTTTATTTTATTTGAGACAGGGTCTCACTCTTTTACCTAGGCTGGAGTGCAGTGGCACGATCATGTCTCACTGCAGCCTCTACCTCCCTGGCTCAGGTGATCTTCCCACTTCAGCCTCCCTGGTAGCTAGTATTACAGGCATGCACCACTGTGCACAGCTAATTTTTTGTATTTTTTGTAGAGACGAGATCTTGCTATGTTGCCCAGGCTGGTCTTGAACTCCTGGGCTCATGCAGTCTGCTCATCTCAGCCTCCCAAAGTGCTCGGATTACAGGCATGAGCCACCATGCCCAGTCTTGCAACTTTTTAAAATCAATATTATGTATTAAGTTTCATATGTGTTTTTACAAGTACCTGTAGTTCTCATTTTATTGTTATATAAAATTGTATTGAATGAATATGCCACAAACTTAAACTCCACAATTGATAAACTTTTGGATTTTTTTCAAGATTTTTGCTATAACTGAACAGTGCAGGTACAAATATTCTTGCGTGGGTCTTCTGGTACAAGTATTTCCATAGGAGAGAAGATGTGAACTTACAGGACTTGTGAATCTCCAAATTTATTAGAAAGTGCCAAATTATTTTCCAAAGTGGCTGCACCCATTGGAACTTCTACCAGTGGTGTCTAAGTGTTATGTACCACATGTACATGTTATACATGTCATCACTGATTCTTGTTATTTTTAGAATTTTTAATTTTTGCTTTTCTGGTAGGCTTGAAATACTATTGCATTGTAGTTTTAATCTGCATTTTTCTTAACACTAATAAAATTGATCTTTTTACATTTATTGATGTATTTTCTCTTTTGGAATATGTTCAAGCTTTGACCATTTTTCTTTCTGTTTTTGCTGAATTTATTTTTATATATTCTGAATATTAAAAGTATGTCAGTTGTATTTGTTGCAAATATTTTCTCCCAGTTGGTGACTTGTCTTTTTACTATATTTATGATGTCTTTCAATTTGTAGTACTTAATTTTAATATAGTTAAAATTTGCCAAATTTCTCAAATTTCTGTTTTATGGGTTGAGCTTTTAAGTCTTATTTTAAAATGTTTTCCTATGTAACAGTCATAAAGATATTCTTCTATTTTTTTCTCTAAAAATGTTAGTGTTGTTGGCATTCTCCCTCAAGTCTTTGATTCACCTAAGAATTGATCTTTATATAAGCCATAATGTGGAAATCCAATTTGATTTGTTTTCCTTATGGATAACCAATTGTTCCAGTACCATGTTTTAAAAGTCCATCCCTTCTTTAGTATTCTGCAATGCTTTCTCTGCCACAAGCCACATGTATGCTTTCTATTCTGTTCTACCACTGACTCACACTCCATTGTTTTAGTTGATATACTATATTAATAATTCTTTTTAAAAATTTTTATTTTAGGTTTGGCAGTACATGCAGGTTTGTTATGTAGGTAAACTCTTCTCACCAGGATATGTTGTATAGATTATTTAATCACCCAGGTATTAAGCCTAGTATCCATTAGTTATTTTTTCTGCTCCTCTCCCTCCTTCCACCCTCCCCCAACATGTAGGCCCCAGTGTCTGTTGTTCTCTTCTTTGTGTCTATGAGTTCTCATCATTTAGCTCCCACTTACAAGTGAGAACATGCGGTATTCGGTTTTCTGTCCCTGCCTTCGTTTGCTAAGGATAATAGCTTCCAGCTTCATCCATGTTTCCGCAAAAGACATGATCTCACTCTTTTTTATGGTGGTATAGTATTCCATGGTATATATATACCACATTTTCTTTATTCAATCTGTCATTGATGGGCATTTAGGTTGATTCCATATCTTTGCTTTTGTGAATAGTGCTGCAATGAACACTTGTGCGCATGTGTCTTTATGGTAGAATGATTTATATTCTTCTGGGTATATTCCAAGAAATGGGATTTCTGGGTCTAATGGTAGTTTTGTTTTTTGCCCTTTAAGGAATTGCCATGCTACTTTCCACAATGGTTAAACTAATTTATACTTTCATCAACTGTGTATAAGTGTTCCCTTTTCTCCAGCATCTGTTATTCTCCAGCATCTGTTATTCCAGCATCTGTAAGTTCACCAGCATCTGTTATTTTCTGACTTTTAATAATAGCCATTTTGACTGGTGTGAGATGGTATCTCACTGTGATTTTGATTTGCATTTCTCTAATGATCAGTGACTTGAGTTTTTTTTTTCAAATGTTTGTTTACCGCATGTATGTCTTCTTTTGAAATGTGTCAGTTCACGTCCTCTGCCCACTTTTTAATGGGGTTATTTGTTTTCTCTTGTATATTTGTTTTCTCTTGTATATTTGTTTAAATTCCTTATAGATGCTGGATGTTAGACCTTTTCCAGATGCATGGTTTGCAAATATTTTCTCCCATTCTGTAGGTTGTCTGTTTACTCTGTTGATCGTTTCTTTTGCTGTGCAGAAGCTCTTTAGTTTAATTAGATCCCTCTTGTCAATTCTTGCTTTTGTTGTGATTGTTTTTGGTGTCTTTGTTATAAAATCTCTGCCTGTTCCTATGACCAGGATGGTATTGCCTAGGTTGTCTTCCAGGGTTTTTACAGTTTTGGGTTTTACATATAAGTCTTTAATCTATCTTGAGTAGATTTTTGTATATGGTGTAAGGAAGAGGGCTGGTTTCAATCTTCTGCATATGGCTAGTGAGTTATCCCAGCATCATTTATTTAATAGGGAATCCTTTCCCCATTGCTTGTTTTTGTCAAGTTTGTCAAAGAGATGGTCATAGGTGAGCGGTCTTATTTTTAGGCTATTCTGTTCCACTGGTCTATATCCCTGTTTTTGTACCAGTACCATGATGTTTTGGTTACTGTAGCCCTGTAGTATAGTTTGATGTTGGGTAATATGATACCTTCAGCTTTGTTCTTTTTGCTTAGGATTACCTTGGCTATTCATGCTCTTTTTTGGTTCCTTAAGAATTTTTAGTTTTTTTTTAGTTCTGTGAAGAATGTTATTGGTAATGATAGGAATAGCATTGAACCTGTAAATTGCTGTGGGCAATATGGCCATTTTAATGATATTGATTCTTCCTAGCCATGAGCATGCGATGTTTTCTATTTGTTTATGTGTTTTCTGATTTCTTTGAACAGTATTTTGTAATTCTCATTGTAGAGGTCTTTCACCTCCCTGGTTAGCTGTATTCCTAGGTATTTTAGTCATTTTGTGGCAATTGTGAGTGGGATTGCCTGCCTGATTTGGCTCTCAGCTTGGCTGTTGTTGGTATATAAAAATGCTAGTGATTTTTGTACATTGATTGTTATACTAATTAGATCCTCCACCCCAGCCTAATTATTCTTCAAGATTATCCTCACTACTTCCATATGTATTTGTAAACCAAGCTTGTCCAAATATATACATAACCACATGCATACAAAAGGCAGTCTTTCAAATAATGCTTTGTCATTTTCTCTATGAAGGCCTTGTGCATCTTGTTAGATATATTGCTTTATATTTTTAATGCTATTATAAATAATATTGTTTAAAATCTCATTTTAGAACACCTTGTTGTTGGTGTTAAAAAATGCAAGTGATATTTACATATAGATTTTTGTATCAGACAAACTTGATAAACTGTTACTAGTTCTAATTATTTATTTGAGCGTTCATTGAAACTTTCCACATGGATAGTTATATTAACTGCAATTAATGTGAATTTTTTTCTAAGTTTCCACATTTCCTAGGACTGACTAGAACCTCTGATAATAAGGAAAATGTATAATATAATTTACCATGTAGTATTATTTTTTTTAAATGTTAAAGTAATTGTGATTGTAACATCCATTTTATTTATTATTGTATTTGATTAGCTCATATTTTGTTTGGATTTTGCATCTGTGTTCAACAGTAAGATTGGCATGTAATATTCTTTTTTCATATTGTCCTTGCAAAGTTGGAATATCAAGGTAATGCTAACCTCATAAAATGAAATGGAAGGTATTCCTCTTTTTCAATATTCTGGAATAGTTTGTGTAATTAGGATTATTTTTTCTTGAATGTTTGGTAATTTTTGTTAGTGAAGCCATCCAAATATTGGCTTCACTAACAAATATTACCAAACATTCAAAATTGGTGAAAAATAAAATTTCACCAGTTTTATTTGTGAAATTTAATTTTTTTCATGGGTATAGAATCATTTAACTTTTCTGTTTCTTCTTGGGTCCATTTTGGTAATATACATTAAAAAAGGAATTTGTCAATTTTTTCTTTTCTCATATGAATATTTATTACTGCTTTCTATATTTGGCAAGTAGACTTAAAAAATTCAGTTTAAAATATTTTTCTAATTTTCATTTTGATTTGTTCTTTGACCTATAAATAATTTAGAAGTGTTTCTTAATTTCCAAACATGAGGATGTCATCTCATTATGATTGTATTATTGATTTCTAACTTAATTGCCTGATTAGCAGAGAACATGAGATGTTCTTTATGGTTCATTTAATTTGGGTAATTATCATAAATGCTTTATATATGCTTTGGCAGTTTGTGTATTTCAGTGAATTTTTCTACTGAATTATCTTAGTTCTCAAATTTATGGGCATAAACTCTATAGCATTCCTTTATTGTTCTTTAGGTAGAAGACTATGGCTGCTTTTAATGCTTTCTTTTCAATCTTTAGTGTTCTGGAATTTGACTAGGTTGTCTTAATCTATGGACATTTTAAAACTTATTTTAACTGGGATTTATAGAGCATTCTGAGTCTTCACATTGCTGTCTTTTATTAGTATTGGAAAATTCTCAGCTATTCTTTTTTTTTTTTTTACAAATACAATATCACTCTGTTGCCCAGGCTGGAGTGCAGTGGTACAGTCATGACCCACTGCAGCCTCTACCTCCTCCTAAGCTCGGGTGATCCTCTCACCTCAGCACCCCTAGTAGCTGGGACTACAGACATGCGCCACCACACCTGGCTAATTTTATTAATTCTTTAATATTGTTTTCTCCTTATTTTCTCTCAACTCCTTACTGTCCTTCAGGAATACTGCTTGAATTTATGTTAACATATACCATAGTCTATATTACATAACTCTTAACTTCTCTTTTGAAATTTCTGTGTATTTATTTCTATATGTTGTATTCTGGATAATTTCTTCTGATCTCTCTTCCAGCTTGCTAATGCTCTTTTCAACTCTGTCAAATCAACTTTTCAGATAGGCTTAGTCATTTTTGTAGTCTCTTCCCTTTTACTCATATTACAATCCCTTTATAGCCTCTTCTTCATAATCGTTTTACTCTCCTGCTCATATTTTTGAGGTTATCTTTTATTTCTTTAAACATGTAAAGTATTTTCTATTGTGTGTCCAATAATTTTAATATCTATATATTGTGTGTCTAATTTTCAGTTCTTTATTTTTCTGCTTCCTTTAATGGAAGCTTGTTTTCTGGCATTTGGGGAGTTTTTAATATGAGCTCCTATTTTGAAAAGTTTATCTTTGGCAATTTTTTGCACAAGGATCCAAATGGTTTTCATCAGAGAGAATTGATTTCCTCAGGTTCCTGGGCTACTACAAACTTCGAACACTTTAAAGTAAAAATTCACCTTGAGGATTTTTGGATATCCTAGGTAGCGTGAAGGTATACAAAATCTATAATAGCTTTTGGCTAAGAATACTCGACAGGGACTTTTTCTCCTTCTCACCATCCCACAGTTTGAGAGAGACAGTTTTTCTCACATTTCACAGGGATGGGGGCAGGTTTATTTTTAGTCTACTCCTTACCTGAGCATGAACCTCTTGTAAGCATTCATGGGGGTCTCCTATTAGCCTTCTGACCCTCTGTGTGCAGATCTGTGCTTCTTCTTCCTCCAATCCTTCGCGATAGGAAAACCAATGCTCAGTTTCACCTGAGTTGACAAATCCCTCAGAGCAAAAGCCAGCCTAAGTGCTCGACTTACTCTTCAAGACTCTTGTTTTAAATTAAGTTTTTTGCTTTTTTTTTTTTTTTTTTTTTGCCTCAGAGAATGTCTTGTTTTCTGGATAGCTCATCAACTATTCTAAAAAGATGCTGAAAGGTCTTTCATTCAGGATTTTTAGTTGTTTCCAGCAGTAGAATTGGTCAAGGTCTCTAGCCCACCATTGAGAAGTGGATATCATCTTTACTCCTCTAACTTCAGGCTTTAATTCTTGTTAAAATGCAAATGCCCATGCTTAAAAGCATGTTAAGGCAGTATTTCTTTTATTTCCTTATTTATTGTTATTATTTTTTGACACAGCGTCTCACTCTATCACCCAGGTTGGGGTGCAGTGGTACAATTTTGGATCACTGTAGCCTCAACCTCCCAGACTCAATTGATCCTCCCACTTCAGTATCCTGAGTAGCTGGGACCACAGGCACACACCATCATGCCCTGCTCATTTTTGTATTTTTCTTAGAAATAAGGCTTTGCCATGTTGCCCAGGACTCCTTGGCTCAAGTGATCCATGCACGCCAGGCTTCCAAAGTGCTGGGATTACAGGTGTGAGCCACCACGCCCGGCCCAACGCAGTATGTTTCACAGTGCCATCTTAGACCATCTCCTTGAAAATCATCTGGCATCCTTGCTAAAATGCTGATCACAGGTCATATCTCAAACTTCTTGAATGTAAATCTTGGGATGGAAGAAGAGAGAATTATTACTCAGTGTTTCAATGGAGAACTACTTTGTTATGTTGCTATCTGTCTTATGCTTTTGTACAAATTAGTTTCAGATCTTTTTCTGAAACAAATTATCCCAACAAAAAAGCTTAGGAATATTTGGTATTTGGAGGAAAAAGTCTTCCCAAAATTGGCATTAAAAAAGTGGCTTTTCTCTGTAAAGAATCTAGCATTTGCTGATTCCGTGTCCCTGACCACTACAGTGTGAGTACTGTCTCCTGTTTTCACCTGTATCTATAGGTTATTTAGTCTCAAAGCCAGGAGTCAACTTGTTTTACTGAATTTTCTTCAGATTGCCCAAGGAATTGTAAAGGAGGCTCATTTTTCTGTCATACCTATGGAGAAACCATGGATCCTCAAAAAATGCTTACTTTCTTCTAGAAGGAAAAATAAACCTTTAAACTTTCATGTAAAAGTATGTTTGAACATAACTCCAATTATTCTCTTAGGAGAAGTTCTTTGAAATGGATTTACTAAGTCAAAAGCCATGCATATTTTAAGACTACCTGTCCCTTAATAAAAATAGCTTTATTATCCTGATTATTTAAAAAAGCAGCACATGTTCAAGGTCAGATATGTGAAAATACTTTAGAAACATTTTAGAATAAATTAAAATTACCCCAAATCTACCACCCAAAGAAAACCATGGTCAAACACGTTCATACATTATATGTCTTGTCAGGCCTTTTTCTCATGCATAAATACTTTTTTATGTTCCAAAAAACAGAATTATTTTGTACATGCTCTTTTGTAGTCTGATTTGTTATTAACATTTATATCGTGGCTCTTTCTATATCTGTGTGTAATGTAATGTCTATGTGTAAATGTGAATTTTAGAAAACTGAACAGTATTTTGTTGGTGGTATACACTGTGTGCTCAGCATCTAGCAGAACATCTGATACTATTAATAGTAGGTTCTTTGTTTATTCATTTAACACATATTTCTGACCCCTCCTGCTGTGCCTGTAACTCCCCGCAGTTAGTTAACCCCTGTCTTTGTAGAAACGGCAGGCATTAGGCATTTATGTTTTATACCATGTGTTCCCTCCTATCCTCAGTCATTGTCTGTTGGATGAAGGGTAAGAAGAGGCCCCAAAGCAGCCACTCCACAGGCTGGCTAATGACCTAACGAGTGGTCTCATAAGCAAAGGCTGAGCTAGCTAATACAATTCAATTTCTTAAGAATTTGAATTCAGAAATGCTTAAGAGGGAGTTGGCAGCAAGAGCAGAACTGAAAAGTCATGTAACAATGCAAGACTGGAGAGGTTATAACGAACCAAATTTAGGGGAATATTCACCAAAAAAGCAGAAACTGGGAAGTAAGGACAAGACATGGAGGGGGAAGGAGATAACTGGTGGGGTGCAGAAAGAGGCAGTCGGTGGAGGGGAGCTGAGTCAGTTCATGCTTGAGCACTAAGCAAAATCCACACTCTCAGGCTGCTGGTCTCTCCCTTGGGGAACCTCCCCCTTACATTGGGGGCAGCCCACTTGTAACCATTGCTTTATTATTAGATTTCTGTTATATTCGATTTCCCTAACTCCACTTATCATTACAATTGCATGCATCAATCTATGCACCCATGGTTTGATAATTTGAATGAGTCTCTGTTCTCTGAAGCCTAAAGAATATAAATAGCACAATTGTTTTGATTTAGAACCAGGAGTTAATTAAGAGGGTGGATTTTTGGTTTTAAGTTTATAATTGGTTTGTGTGTATGTATGGAAATTTTTTGTTTAAATATCTTATTTCTAATTTCATAACAATATGATTAGGAAGGGTAACCTGTACAATTTGTGCTTTTTGGAATATGAGGTTTCCTTTGTGGCTGAGAATAGTATGCATTTTTACACATGCTAAAAGGAAAGCATGCTCAATTTGAAGGTATAACATTTTAAATTAACTTTATTAAATATATCATTGAAATACTATAAATCTTTATTTTTGGCTTCTTAATCTATCAGGATCTAAAAAGTAGTCTGTTAAAGTCTTCACTATTGTACTGTCTCTATCTTATTTCCTTTGCTTCCAGTTGGCACGTTATATAGTTTGATGTAATTTATTCCTTAAGTCTTTTTTCTACTTAACATCTATTGCTTTCACACTTTTTGTCGGAGGCTAACATGGCCACTCTGCTTTCTTTTTAAATATATATTTTTGATATATCTTTAGTCATCCTTGTATTTTTAACTGTTCTGCATTACATTTTTTGTTCAAGTGTGTCTCTTGGTGAAAGTATAGCGATTCTGTGGATAATTTTGTTTGGACTGTCATTCGAGAAAAATGACGTGATGAATCTCAATCATTTTAGAAGATTTATTTGCCACAAAGTTAATGATGCGCCCAGGAGACAGGTCTATGCCTTTCTCTGAAGATGATTTTGAGAGCTCCAAATATAAAGAGGAAAGGGTGGGATATTGAGAAGTACACAATTTTCATGTAAGAGAGGGGGAGGGAAAAACAGTCATTCATGCTTTTGTCTGGCTCAGTGAATCTGCATTTTTTTACATAAGATAACACGGACAGGCCGGGCGCGGTGGCTCACGCCTGTAATCCCAGCACTTTGGGAGGCCGAGGCGGGTGGATCACGAGGTCAGGAGATCAAGACCATCCTGGCTAACATGGTGCAACCCCATCTCTAATAAAAATACAAAAAAATTAGCCGGGTGTGGTGGTGGGCACCTGTAGTCCCAGCTACTCAGGAGGCTGAGGCAGGAGAATGACATGAACCGGGGAGGCGCAGTTTGCAGTGAGCTGAGATCGCACCACTGCACTCCAGTCTGGGCGACTGAGCAAGATTCTGTCTAAAAAAATAAAATAAAATAAAATAAAGATAACACAGACAAAAATGGGACAGAGTAACAATCAGATATGCATTTGTGTCTGGTGGGCTGGGGTGACTGCACCTGTAAAGATAAACTGTTGATTTACCTTGCCATAGTTAAATTTTTTTTTTTTTTTTTTTGAGATGGAGTCTCTCTCTGTCGCCAGGCTGGAGCGCAGTGGCGTGATCTCAACTCACTGCAACCTCTGCCTCCTGGGTTCAAGCAATTCTCCTGGCTCAGCCTCCCGAGTAGCAGGGACTACAGGCACACACTACCACACTCAGCTAATTTTTCTATTTTTTAATATACTTTTAAGTTCTAGGGTACATGTGCACAACGTGCAGGTTTGTTACATAGGTATGCATGTGCCATGTTGGTTTGCTGCACTCATCAACTCGTCATTTACATTAGGTATTTCTCCTAATGCTATCCCTCCCCCTGCTCCCAAACCCACGGCAGGCCCAAGGGTGTGATGTTCCCCACCCTGTGTCCAAGTGTTCTCATTGTTCAGTTCCCACCTATGAGTGAGAACATGCAGCGTTTGGTTTTCTGTCCTTGTGATAGTTTGCTCAGAATGATGGTTTCCATCTTCATCCGTGTCCCTGCAAAGGACATGAACTCATCCTTTTTTATGGCTGCATAGTATTCCATGGTGTATATGTGCCACATTTTCTTAATCCAGTCTATCATTGATGGACATTTGGGTTGGTTCCAAGTCTTTACTATGTGAATAGTGCTGCAATAAACATATGTGTGCATGTGTCTTTATAGCAGCATGATTTATAATCCTTTGTGTACATACCCAGTAATAGGATTGCTGGGTCAAATGGTATTTCTAGTTCTAGATCCTTGAGGAATCGCCACACTGTCTTCCACAATGGTTGAACTAGTTTACACTCCTACCAACAGTGTTAAAACATTCCTATTTCTCCACATCCTCTCCAGCATCTGTTGTACCCTGACTTTTTAATGATCGCCATTCTAACTGGTGTGAGATGGTATCTCACTGTGGTTTTGATTTGCATTTCTCTGATGACCAGTAATGATGAGCATTTTTTCATGTGTTTTTTGGCTGCATAAATGTCTTCTTTTGAGAAGTGTCTGTTCATATCCTTTGCCCACTTTTTGATGGTTTTTGTTTTCTGGTAAATTTGTTTAAGCCCTTTGTAGATTCTGGATATTTGTCCTTTGTCAGATGGGTAGAATGCAAAAATTTTCTCCCATTCTGTAGGTTGCCTGTTCACTCTGATGGTAGTTTCTTTTGCCAGGCAGAAGCTCTTTAGTTTAATTAGATCCCATTTGTCTATTTTGGCTTTTGTTGCCATTGCTTTTGGTGTTTTAGACATGAAGTCCTTGCTCATGCCTATGTCCTGAATGGTATTGCCTAGGTTTTCTTCTGGGATTTTTATGATTTTAGGTCTAACATTTAAGTCTTTAATCCATCTTGAATTAATTTTTGTATAAGGTGTAAGGAAGGGATCCAGTTTCAGCTTTCCACATATGGCTAGCCAGTTTTCCCAGCACCATTTATTAAATAGGGAATCCTTTTCCCATTTCTTGTGTTTGTCAGGTTTGTCAAAGATCAGATGGTTGTAGATGTGTGGTGTTATTTCTGAGGCCTCTGTTCTTTTCCATTGGTCTATATCTCTGTTTTGGTACCAGTACCACGCTGTTTTGGTTACTGTAGCCTTGTAGTATAGTTTGAAGTCAGGTAGTGTGATGCCTTCAGCTTTGTTCTTTTGGCTTAGGATTGTCTTGGCAATGCAGGCTCTTTTTTGGTTTCATATGAACTTTAAAGTAGTTTTTTTCCAATTCTGTGAAGAAAGTCATTGGTAGTTTGATGGGGGTGGCATTGAATCTATAAATTACCTTGGGCATTATGGCCATTTTCCCGATATTGATTCTTCCTATCCATGAGCATGGAATGTTCTTCCATTTGTGTCCTCTTTTATTGTGTTGAGCAGTGGTTTGTAGTTCTCCTTGAAGAGATCCTTCACATCCCTTGTAAGTTGGATTCCTAGGTATTTTATTCTCTTTGTAGCAATTGTGAATGGGAGTTCACTCATGATTTGGCTCTCTGTTTGTCTGTTATTGGTGTATAGGAATGCTTGTGATTTCTGCACTCTGATTTTGTATCTTGAGATTTTGCTGAAGTTGCTTATCAGCTTAAGGAGATTTTGGGCTGAGATGATGGGGTTTTCTAAATATACAATCATGTCATCTGCAAACAGGGACAATTTGACTTCCTCTTTTCCTACTTGAATACCCTTTATTTCTTTCTCTTGCCTGACTGCCCTGGCCAGAACTTCCAACACTATGTTGAATAGGAGTGGTGAGAGAGGGCATCCCTGTCTTGTGCCAGTTTTCAAAGGGAATGCTTCCAGTTTCTGCCCATTCATTCAGTATGATATTGGCTGTGGGTTTGTAATAAATAGCTCTTATTATTTTGAGGTAGGTTCCATCAATGCCTATTTTATTGAGAATTTTTAACATGAAGGCTGTTGAATTTTGTCAAAGGCCTTTTCTGCATCTATTGAGATAATTGTGGTTTTTGTCGCTGGTTCTGTTTATATGATGGATTATGTTTATTGATTTGCATATGTTGAACCAGCCTTGCATCCCAGGGATGAAGCTGACTTGATTGTGGTGGATAAGCTTTTTGATGTGCTGCTGGATTCAGTTGGCCAGTGTTTTATTGAGGATTTTTGCATTGATGTTCATCAGGGATATTGGTCTAAAATTCTCTTTTTTTGTTGTGTCTCTGCCAGGCTTTGGTATCAGGATGATGCTGGCCTCATAAAATGAGTTAGGGAGGATTCCCTCTTTTTCTATTGATTGGGATAGTTTCAGAAGGAATGGTACCAGCTCCTCTTTGTACCTCTGGTAGAATTTGGCTGTGAATCCATCTGGTCCTGGACATTTTTTGGTTGGTAGGCTATTAATTATTGCCCCAATTTCAGAGCCTGTTATTGGTCTATTCAGAGATTCAACTTCTTCCTGGTTTAGTCTTGGGAGAGTGTACGTGTCTAGGAATTTATCCATTTCTTCTAGATTTTCCAGTTTATTTGCGTAGAGGTGTTATAGTATTCTCTGATGGTAGTTTGTATTTCTGTGGGATTGATGGTGATATCCCCTTTATCATTTTTTATTGCATCTATTTGATTCTTCTCTCTTTTCTTCTTTACTAGTCTTGCTAGTAATCTATCAATTTTGTTGATCTTTTCAAAAAACCAGCTCCTGGATTCATTGATTTTTTGAAGGGTTTTTTGTGTCTCTATCTCCTTCAGTTCTGCTCTGATCTTAGTTATTTCTTGCCTTCTGCTAGCTTTTGAATTTGTTTGCTCTTGCTTCTCTAGTTCTTTTAATTGTGATGTTAGGGTGTCAATTTTAGATCTTTCCTGCTTTCTTTTGTGGGCATTTAGTGCTATAAATTTCCCTCTACACACTGCTTTAAATGTGTACCAGAAATGCTGGTATGTTGTGTCTTTGTTCTTATTGGTTTCAAAGAACATCTTTATTTCTGCCTTCATTTCGTTATTTACCCAGTAGTCATTCGGGAGCAGGTTGTTCAGTTTCCATGTAGTTGTGCGGTTTTGAGTGAGCTTCTTAATCCTGAGTTCTAGTTTGATTGCACTGTGGTCTGAGAGACAGTTTGTTGTGATTCCTGTTCTTTTACATTTGCTGAGGAGTGCTTTACTTCCAACTATGTGGTCAATTTTGGAATAAGTGCGATGTGGTGCTGAGAAGAATGTATATTCTGTTGATTTGGGGTGGAGAGTTCTGTAGATGTCTATTAGGTCTGCTTGTCGCAGAGCTGAGTTCAAGTAGTGGATATCCTTGTTAACCTTCTGTCTTGTTGATCTGTCTAATACTGACAGTGGGGTGTTAAAGTCTCCCGTTATTATAGTGTGGGAGTCTAAGTCTCTTTGTAGGTCTCTAAGGACTTGCTTTATGAATCTGGGTGCTCCTGTATTGGGTGCATATATATTTAGGATAGTTAGCTCTTCTTGTTGAATTGATCCCTTTACCATTATGTAATGGCCTTCTTTGTCTCTTTTGATCTTTGTTGGTTCAAAGTCTGTTTTATCAGAGACTAGTATTGCAACCCCTGCTTTTTTTTTGCTTTCCATTTGCTTGGTAGATCTTCCTCCATCCCTTTATTTTGAGCCTATATGTGTCTCTGCACGTGAGATGGGTCTCCTGAATACAGCACTCTGATAGGTCTTGACTGTACCCAATTTGCCAGTCTGTGTCTTTTAATTGAGGCATTTAGCCCATTTACATTTAAGGTTAATATGGTTATGTGTGAATTTGATCCTGTCATTATGATGTTAGCTGGTTATTTTGCCTGTTAGTTGATGCAGTTTCTTCCTAGCATCAGTGGTCTTTACAATTTGGCATGTTTTTGCAGTGGCTGGTACCGGTTGTTCCTTTCCATGTTTAGTGCTTCCTCAGGAGCTCTTTTAGGGCAGGCGTGGTGGTGACAAAATCTCTCAGCATTTGCTTGTCTGTAAAGGATTTTAGTTCTCCTTCACTTATGAAGCTTAGTTTGGCTGGATATGCAGTTCTGGGTTGAAAATTCTTTTCTTTAAGAATGTTGAATATTGGCCCCCACTCTCTTCTGGCTTGTAGAGTTTCTGCCGAGAGATCCGCTGTTAATCTGATGGGCTTCCCTTTGTGGGTAACCCAACCTTTCTCTCTGGCTGCCCTTAACATTTTTTCCTTCATTTCACCTGGGTGAATCTGACAATTATGTGTCTTGGGGTTGCTCTTCTCAAGGAGTATCTTTGTGGTGTTCTCTGTATTTCCTGAATTTGAATGTTGGCCTGTCTTGCTAGGTAGGGGAAGTTCTCCTGGATAACATCCTGAAGAGTGTTTTCCAACTTGGTTCCATTCTCCCTGTCGCTTTCAGGTAAACCAATCAAACCTAGATTTGGTCTTTTCACATAGTCCCATATTTCTTGGAGGCTTTGTTCATTTTTTTTTACTCTTTTTTCTCTAACCTTGTCTTCTCACTTTATTTCATTAATTTGATCTTCAGTCACTGATACCCTTTCTTCCACTTGATTGAATCAGCTGTTGAAGCTTGTGCATGTGTCATGTAGTTCTTGTGCCACGGTTTTCGGCTCCATCAGGTCATTTAAGGTCTTCTCTACACTGTTTATTCTAGTTAGCCATTCATCTAATCTTTTTTCAAGGTTTTTAGCTTCCTTGTGATGGGTTCAAACATCCTCCTTTAGCTCGGAGAAGTTTGTTATTACCAGCCTTCTGAAGCCTACTCCTGTCAGCTTGTCAAAATCATTCTCCATCCAGCTTTGTTCCATTGCTGGTGAGGAGCTGCAATCCTTTGGAGGAGAAGAGGCTCTCTGGTTTTTAGAATTTTCAGCTTTTCTGCTCTGGTTTCTCCCCATCTTTGTGGTTTTATCTACCTTTGGTCTTTGATGTTGGTGACCATCATCATGGGGTTTTGGTGTGGATGTCCTTTT
Organism: Homo sapiens; assembly: GCF_000001405.40. Taxonomy (NCBI): domain Eukaryota; kingdom Metazoa; phylum Chordata; class Mammalia; order Primates; family Hominidae; genus Homo; species Homo sapiens. Next base: position 51,418,356 of record NC_000014.9, read on the forward strand.
TGCTGATGTTGATGCTGTTCCTTTCCGTTTGTTAGTTTTCCTTCCAGCACTCAGGTCCCTCAGCTGCAGGTCTGTTGGAGTTTCCTGGAAGTCTACTCCAGACCCTATTTGCCTGGGTATCACCAGTAGAGGCTGCAGAACAGCAAATATTGCAGAACAGCAAGTATTGCTGCCTGATCCTTCCTCTGGAAGCTTCATCCCAGAGGGGCACCTGCCTGTATGAGGTGTCAGTCGGCCCCTACTGGGAGGTCTCTCCCAGTTAGGCTACACGGGGGTCACGGACCCACTTGAGGAAGCAGTCTGTCCATTCTCTGAGCTCAAACACTGTGCTGGGAGAACCACTGCTCTCTTCAGAGCTGTCAGACAGGGACGTTTAAGTCTGGAGAAGCTTCTGTTGCCTTTTATTCAGCTATGCCCTGCTCCCAGCGGCAGAGACTACAGAGGCAGCTGGCCTTGCTGAGCTGTGGTGGGGTCCACCCAGTTTGAGCTTCCATGGCCACTTTGTTTACCTACTTAAGCCTCAGCAATGGCGGATGCCCCTCCCCCTGCCAGGCTGCTGCCTTGCAGGTTGATCTCAGACTGCTGCGCTAGAAGTAAGCAAGGCTCTGTGGGCTTGGGATCCACCAAGCCAGGCACGGGATATAATCTCCTGGTGTGCCATTCACTAAAACCATTGGAAAAGCACAGTATTTGGGTGGGAGTGTCCTGTTTTTCCAGGTACCATCTCTCATGGCTTCCCTTGGCTAGGAAAGGGAGATCCCCCAACTCCTTACGCTTCCTGTGTGAGGTGATGCCCCGCCCTGCTTCAGATCACCCTCTGTGGGCTGTGCCCACTGTCCAACCAGTCCCCGTGAGACGAACCAGGTACCTCAGTTGGAAATGCACAAATCACCAGTCTTCTGTGTCAGTCACACTGGGAGCTGCAGACTGGAGCTGTTCCTATTTGGCCATCTTGGACTAATTTTTGTATTTTTAATAGAGATGGGGTTTCACCATCTTGGCCAGGATGGTCTCAATTTCTTGACCTCGTGATCTGCCTGCCTGTAATTCCAAAGTGCTGGGATTACAGGCATTAGCCACCATGCCCAGCTGCCATGGTCAAATTTTAACAGAAACACCTTAAAAGATCTTACAGGTCACTAGGAATTTCCTTGTGGGCAAAATATGGGGGAGGCATGTAGCTTTTCCTCTTGTAACAATCTTCTTTAGGAACCAAATGAGGGAGGCAGGTTTGTGTGATCCAGTTCCCAGCTTGACTTTTCCACTTGGCTTAATGAGTTTGGGGTCCCAAGATTTAATTTCCTTTCAGAAGACCTATCTGAAAGTCTCTGAAATTAGTAGAATGAGTTCAGACACTGTCTAGCCATCTCCAAGCTTATTTGATTTTCTTTCAAAGAATACCCACAAAGGTCTACAATCTCTTGTGTTGTTAGGTGTGGCCATGTGAGTTCCTTCTCTTGTTAGGTGTACTCATGTGACTTCCTTCCCTCATTTGGTATAGTCACGTGACTTCCTGCCCTTGCTAGGTACAGTCATGTGACTTCCTGCCCTTGTTAGGTGTGGTCATGGGACTTCCTGCCCTCGTTAGGTGTGGTCATGGGACTTCCTGCCCTCGTTAGGTGTGGTCATGTGACTTCCTGCCCTCGTTAGGTGTAGTCATGTGACTTCCTGCGCTTTTTAGGTGCGACTGAGTTCTGGCTAATAAAATATCGTGAAAGTGAAGCACATTCACTTCCCAGGCATGTGCTCTTTGGTCTGCATGTCAAGGCCCAAGGCAACCTTGTCACAGATAAAGTAACAGATCCTTTATCTCTCAGAGTCCCTGAATAACTGCATGGAACAAAGACTGTATATGAGAGAGAAATATACTTCTATTATGTAAAGTCACTCTACTACTATTGTCACAGCAGCTAATATGAACTAATGCAAGACGTGGTTAAAAAATTTGGGCACTATAACAACAAAAACTAAAACATACAGTACTGTCTTCATAGTTGGAGAGCAGGCAGCCAGAAAACTGATATTGAGGGTTAGAGGGATGGAGACTTATGACTAGTAATGGCAAAACATTTGGGAAAATGTCAGTGATAACTTTTAAGTTAGACAAAATGCTTATTGGGCTTATAGTTCTAAGGAAAGAAATGGAATAAAAGAATGTTAGTACACTTGGCCCTCCACATCTGTGAGTTCCTCATCCATGGATTCAACCAACCACATATCAAAAATACTTGGAAAAAAATGGATGCTTGCATTTGTACTGAACATGAACAGACTTTTTCCTTATCATTCCCTAAACAATACAGTGAAACAGCTATTTACATAGCATTTACATTGTATTAGGTATCATAGTAATCTAGATATGATTTAAAGTATAAAGGGTGATGTGTGTAGGTTATATGCAAATACGGTACCATTTTATTTTATTTTATTATTGTTTTGAATGGAGTCTCGCTCTGTCACCCAGACTGGAGTGCAGTGGCACAATCTCCACTCACTGCAGCCTCTGCCTCCCGGTTCAAGTGATTCTTCTGCCTCAGCCTCCCGATTAGCTGGGACTACAGGTGTGCCCCACCACACCTAGCTAATTTTTTTGTGTGTTTTTAGTAGAGACGGGTTTCACCATGTTGGCCAGGCTGGTCTTGAACTCCTGAGCTCAAGTGATCCACCCCCTCAGTCTCCCAAAGTAATGGGATTACAGACGTGAGCCACTGTGCCGGCTGTTTTTATATTCAAGACTTGAGCATCCATAGATTTTGGTATCCATGACAGTCTTGGAACCAATCCCCTACAGATACTGAGGGACAACTGTACTGTATGTGTGTTGACAGCAGCTACATTTTGCAAGGCTTTAGGAGACAGCACTTAAGCAAAAACTGACCAGCTCAAAAGCAGAAATGAAAGAAAACAGGGTTCAGGAATCTGAGGATTGAGAAGTAGGAAAAGCTGACTGCCACTGGATTGAAAGCAGCAGGAAAATAAGTTGAAAAAAGATTTTGAGAAGTTAAAGCCCTTCAAGACTCAGTCCTAAGGCCAAGACTTCATTAAGGGTGTGGTGTTCTGTCCCAAGCCTCTGCAAATCACCGCCATTGAGTTAAAAAAAGAGTGGAAAAGAGTTGAGTGAGAACAAAATAAATTAGGCTTGACAATTGTGTCTAGGAAAGAAATCTGGGTGTGGTTCTGGATATAAGGAACTTCCTGGAGGCAAATCAATTAGAAGCTATTAAGAATTGTATAGCAAAAGAACCGTAAGAGCCTGAGTGCTATAGGGAACCTCCTCTCTGATCTTAAAATAGAGCACTATAATTGAAGTGACACATCTGTGTCATGATAGAGCAAGCTGGGCAGAATGGCCAAAGACTAGGGCCATGGTGAACCCCAGCTGGTCTATTTCCAGGCAGTCTCTGCCCTGAGTTTGGTAAAGCTGCTGCACAGGAGACCAGGTTTTAAACATCGTTGGCCCACACATCAGGAAGAGTCCCACAGCATGAGGAAGGCAGCCCAGGCCTGCAGACTTTCCCCTTGCTCTGGTGGCACTTGGCCCCACACCATCTGTGTAAAGCTTCTGGGTCATGCTGCGGATCTGCCATAGGAAGTAGGGTTCAGGGGAGCTAGCCTCATCCATCTCACAGCTGTTTCTCACCTCCAGCCCTTGGCCCTCCAAACTTAGGAGAGTTACTAAGGTTCCCTGAGGCTCACTTCCCTTTTTTATTTCTTTTCTTAAAACCTTTTTTATAACAGCTTTATTGAGATGTAATTTATATACCATAATACAATTTACCCATTTAAAATATATATCATCATCATAAAGCCGAAATTGTTCCCTGAATTAATTCAGGGTGTATTGACATAGTTCCGGTTGTTATTTCACAAAATGGCCTTTGAAAAGACTTTCCCCCTTACTTACCATTATCATCATCATCAACAGTAGCAACAGTAATGCTTTATTGAGCACTTATTATGTAATGGGCCAAGAATGGCAAATGGTATTTAGGAAATGATATTTATGTATTTTAAGTTTTCTTTGCTATAATTAGGAAAAAAATTAAACTAATTTATTGAAAATTCCTTAATAAACAAGTACATGACTGATAAATAAACCAATAAATCAATACAATATTGATTACAAATTGAATGATTACAAATAAAAAATTATATGAAGGAAATTAACAGGGTAAAGTAAAAGAGGACAAGAGGGAGGAAACTACTTAATTAAAAAGATCTGGGAATAATTATACAAGGAGAAATTTCCATTTAATCATTTATTGCAATAAAATTGATTAGTAAGGTTTTAAAAAAATTTATATTGAACTCTTTTCATATTTTGGAAACATTTCAATGATGACCTGAAGTCAAGGAGGCAAATCAGTTTTCAATCCATTTGCATTCCCGGAGAAAAGACTTTTTTATGGTGCACAGGTGGGTCAACACCCTTTGGGTAAGGAGGTTGTGCCCTGGGATAGGATGAAGTTGTTAGTGCTGTTCACAAATATTGCCCTCTAGAAACATGGTAGGATTGTACTTCACTGCCCTTTTGAAGTTAGGCATGGTCACATGGTTTGCCTTGACCAATGAGATGTGAGCAGAAGTGATGTATGTCACTCTGGGAGGAAGCCTCAAGAGCCAGTATGCTATTCGCATCTTTCCTTTTCCACCACCACATGAACATGGAAGTCTTCCCCAGCCTGGCTTCCTAAGTGGTACGGCAAGCTGACTTCTGCCAGCCTGCTTTGGACTGTAGTGTGAATGAGCTAGAAACCTTTGTTGTGCTAGGCCACTGAGATTCTGTAGTTGCGTAGCTTATTCTGTCTGTTTCAGCACATAAGTCTCAGGATATGGTCACTTTATAAGATCAAAATAAACCAGTCCTTTCTAGGATTCATTTCCTTCCCCACATCTCACAAGTCTCCAAGCTTCTAGTTCTCACGGCAGAGCCTCCCTGGCCATTTCCTTACATGGGGGCACCCGTCTGTCACTGTCTGAAGGATCCACGCACTGCAGCCTTCCAGGCCTGAAAGTCCCCTTGTCTTGGAAAGGGGCTTCTTCTCAGCTTGCGTGTAGCTACTTCTTCATGTAGACTCTAAGTCTTAGGCTCTTTTGCATGGTGGTGTTACTATGACCAGTAGCATTTGCCTTGGGACAGGAACTGAGCTCCTGAGATGGCTCACCCCTTCTTTTTTCACTTTAGAGCAACTTTCTGTCTTCTCCTTCTCACCCTTTAATGGACACTGGCCCAGGTGGTTAAACTCCCCTGTCCCATACTCTTCTAGACAAGCTGTCCTGCTCCCATGTGCCAGGACTCTCCGGAAGGTTCTGCAGCTTGTCCCTGTCATCTCACTGAACCAGAGCGTGATTCTGACCACACTCCTATTTCTTTTGTATCAGCAGAATTTTACCAGTTTCATCTATTTATCTGACATTTTTGTCCCCCCTTTTCATCCTTACTCCACACTTCTTAGGGCTTTAGTAATAAGGTTCCTTACATCTGGAGAGCTGGGCTGTTACTGTAAGTGGCTATGTATCTAGCAGTCTCCTGGGGCTTGATATAGGAAAATTTAGGAAGTAAAATGTATAATTCTTGAATACAAAATGTCTACAACCTTGAGAAAGAACTTGTGTATGTGAAATAATGTGTGAATGAAAGAGTATTGCATTTGAGCATTGTATATACAACAGTAAATTGTATGTCATATGGTTTAGGCAACTGAAAAATTGGGCAGTAATTGATTAGGCTCAAACTGCATAGTGATCATTTTATTAGCAAGGTACATAAGCCTTGATGAGGTGTTGAAGAAAAAGACTGCTGCATTTTCTTTCTCATCCTCTCGGGTGTGAAAGAACAATAGTTAAAGGGGAAGTAGAAGGTAAAAGCCACCGATGAGATCAGCAGAAATGTGGAAATGGGACACTTTTGCTTCATTGGATGACAGAACCTGTACTGAGATGACCACCCAAGTTCACAAGTGGATACAGACAAACCAAGCATTTACTGAAACTGTTTTCTTGAGATTCTATAAGAATTATCAAGAGCACAAGTGAAAACCATGGCAAAAGCAAATCCTTTAAATTCATATCGTTGATCTTCATTGTGAAGGTAGAGAGTGCCTTTTAAAGCTACAGAGACTACAGAAATTAAAGGCTGTGAATCAGGACGCTTCCGCTGAAAGGCATTTAAATACAACCATTTTTGTTAGCCTCCTGTGGATACCCAAATATATCCCAGAAAATGTCCTCTCTTCTAAGGAGATGTGGCTTTTGGTACATCCCCCTCTTCAGGGAGTCCCACAGCATCACTGCAGCTAAACTCCTCCCTGTGGCTTTGTTGTTGTCTGAAACAGCGTTCCAAAGAGGAATTTCTGTCTCTCATTCTTGCAGATGTAAAAAAGTTGGTGTGTATTGTATGGCTATTTAGCAACAATCAACAAAGCTTATGGGAAAAGAAAAGGTCTCCAAGAAGGGGAAAGAAGTGTGAGAAAAAGCAGCTGTTATCACACTTTTATCTTTTCTGAGCCATTAATTTAGTTGTAGATTTCTCCAGATCAACTCCCTTCTCTAACTCTGCTCTAGTCACTCACAAGAGGACAAAAGGTCAGCAGTTCCTGTGAACACATGGTGCATTTTGACTTGGGCAGGACTAGCTTTCATACAAAACAGCTGAGACAGGGAATTCCGGGTCATGGTTCTTTACCACCAGGGCCATTGCATCCACTTCAGCTCGGGCAGCATTTGCCCCCAGCCCTTTCCTCCTTTTGTCTCCCCAGGCTCCATCCTCTGCCCTCACTGGCACCAAGCAATGCTGCCCATGCTGTTGGGCAATGGACGGGACTTTGGCTGGGCTGGATGCTGCCACCCAATCTCATTCCCTGCCCTGGTCTTGGCTCCCTCCCTGATTATCCTCGTCCTTGAGCCCCTGAAGGGCTCTTTATTCTCCACCACCTCGGTTCACAAGCTGGACCTGTGACCCCCTGAGGATTCCCAGGACTGACCCTGCACGCCCCAGGATTCTATTTGTATGTCCATATATCCTGTGTCTTGTGTGTCCATACATCTTCCATCCCTCTCCTTGGAAAACCCTGCCAAATGACCACCTCCATGCAGGTGATCCTCTCTTCTGAGCTTGTCAGCAACTGCTTGATATCTTCTTCTGGGCGCCCACTGGCTCCTCATCTGTAATATGTCTCAAACTCACCTTCTCTTTTCCAGTTCTCATATTCTGTTCTATCACTTCCCCCTGTTCAGGTCTCAGGGTCTTTTCCACACAGCCTCTTCTTCCTAAAATGTGTCCCCTTTCCCTGTCTCAGCCACATTCTGTGTATGGCTGCAGTCTCCTCATCCCTCTAGGATCAGCAGAATGTTGCCTGCACAGATAACCTACCCCAGACCACCCTCTCTGAGTAGGTCTCTCCTCTTGTCCTCTCCTGTCACTCTGTGAACTTCCATCATGACACTTCCAACTACACTTGTAATTGTTTCATCTTTTCTTGTCTCTAGTCTGATTTCCTGACTATCCTCTATGCTCCGCCTGGCAGGGATGAAGTCTGTTTTTTTCAGCACTGAATACTCTTGAGTGTGATGCCTGGCACATAGCAAAAGCACAGTGATTATGTGCTGAATGAGTGGATGGATCTTCCTGGCCACCCTGCCCTGAACTTTATATATTTTTTCCTCTTTCATGCTCTCCAAATCCAGTCTCATAATTGTTAACAATCTTGTTCAACATGGGCCCTCATTTTTGGATTCTTGTAATGGTTTCCTAACAAATATCCCATTTTATTGATTCCCCCTGTTGTCTCTGTCACCATTACTGCTTGGTGACTTTTTCTTGAAGTGTTTGTCATAATCGTTAGTTATATTCAAAAACCTTCTACTTCTCTTGGAACTTAGCCTGGCAATCAAGATATCCTGATTGTGTTTTCCATTCCATCCCCTCCAGATCCTCCACCTAGTCACGTGGTGTCTCAGCCTCACCATTTGCACTCTCTGACTGTGCCCGCGTCTGTGTGTCCTTCCCATCCACCTGCAAGCCCCACTCCCCACTAGAATTAGACCCCGCTCTCTCAGAAGTCTCTACTTTTGTCTGTGTTCACTTACAACACATGACTTTCTACCTTGTACTATAGTTTTTTTAATATACCCTCTATTTTCCTAAGTGGATGGCAAACTTCTCAACAGAGAAGACTATATGTATTTTTGCACTTTATTTACTCAATGCCTAGAAAATTTGGACTTAATAAATATTTGCTGAATGAATACACAAGTAATGTATAACCTTGAATGCAGATCAGCTACACTAAGTAGGATAAGAGATGCCAGGTACCGTGAGATGGGGGGAGTGGAACAGAGAGTGCAGAGTTTAAGACCCTTCTCGTTCTCTTCTCAGAGAGGGCTCACCTAGTGTGGAGAACTTTCTCTTGAACTCCAAGCTTCTCTGCTACCTTCCTTATTAGACCTTGAAGTGGCAGTGAGGACCCTGGCTCGCAGGCTGTTGTGAGGAATGGGATGGGGCCTGATCCCTGGCTTCACCTCCTATTGTTTCACCCCACTGCATTAGCTTAGAGCTGACAGAGCAGAATTTGCCTGAGCCCAAAATGACCACAAGAAAATAGATCTGGATTGGAATTAGCCTACTGGAAAATGGAACAGTTACCAATTTTTCTTTAACTTTCTTTTCTCCCCTCCTCATCAGATATGAGAGTCTAAGTCCTATTGAAATGGTAAAGTTAAAATAATTGCTTTCTGAGACCTAGTAGGTATATTATTTTTTTCCTTGAGGCTCAGGACCTTTTATTAGCAGAACTTATAGCAAGGTGGAAAATCGGTTTATCTCATGGGCTAGTTCCAACTGTGGGGAAGTTCCCTAGAGCACATTTTCCTCAAATTATTTATCCTCTTGTATACAAGTGTCATGACCTGTTACTGTTGTCTGCCATGCATGCAGGAGGAGGGAGTGGAGCAATACATTATTTATTTGGCATATGCCAGCCACTTTGCTGATCACCGTGCATATGGGTCCAAAAGAAAGAGGTACAATTTGGCTTCACATAGCTCAGGCATTTGAGGAAGGCACACAATTAAATTATGAATGTATGAAGAACCTTATGGGAGGAGAAGCACATAGAACTTTGGGAATATGTGATTGAAAAGAAATGGGAAAACTTAACCCCTGAAGTAGTGCTAGTATTGTCATCCCCATTTTACTTATGCAAACATTGAGACTTAGAGAAGAAAACAAATTTGTCATGGGTCACGTGTTGGCTATAAGTTGCAGAATTAGGATTTTTACCTAAGACAGCCTTACTTCAAACATGCTGTTCCCGTGTTTTCCACTTCGTATAGAGATGTGAACATAAGTGAGCATGCAGTGGTATACTTGTTAGCTTGTGCTGTCTTGTGAAAGGTAATTGTACATTTTCAGGAAGTTTGCAAGCTTTCTGATGTTGCGCTGAACTTGAAAGCAGCCATGGTGGGAGTATCTACACCACAGAAATTGGCACCCACTATACATCAAAGATTTTTCTTCCCCAAAGACCTGGTTGTTAAACATTGACCAGCAAACAACGGATGTACAATACTACCACATTCTTTAAAAATTCACAAAATATAACTACATTTTTACAAAGAGGTACATCCAGTGGATGTGAACTTTTTGTGGCACGGGAATCGTTTTGGGAGGTGGAGGCTTGTTAAAAGGAGTTTGGGTTCAGTAAGTCTGGGCTGTGGGAAGAATCTACATTTTAAAAAAGACTCAAAGTGAAATGAGAACACACTTTAGGACATACTCAAACTTTTCAAGTGAGTATTTTCCTTTTTCTTTGAACACTAAAGGTGCCAGGTGAACTTCCTAGGTCAGTGATTCCAACCCTGACTATGCATTAGAATCACCTGGGGAGCCAATACAAACTATCAGTGCCCAGGCTGCCCCCCACCCGACCCAATTAAATCAGGGCTTGAATGAAGGAATTGGTGTCACGTGCCCAACTATTTCAGAATTGCCATGTACAAGTGACTTCTGTGATTCCCGTTGTGCCCCTCCCACTTTTGAACTTGAGTGTCTACTGCAATGATCTCAGTGTGGTCATTATATGCTGCGTATATGGAGCAGACAACTCCAGTCTCCAGGTTACAAGTCTTCAGATGAAGAGGAACTGTATTTAAAGAAACATACCTGATAGCTTCATATGCACCAAGACATGATTTAGAAAATGCGATCCTGGACCTCCAGTCTGAGCCTGTTGCTGTAATGAGATGAGAATCTTGGGGGTTGTGGGAGAGGGTGAGTGAACTTTGAATGTGGCAGGAATATAAATAATTAGGGGCTAGAGGATGGGCTACAGCAGATTAAAGATGGCTACAAATTCTTTGATACCTCTCCCACTAGGAGGTGGGATTTATTTCCAATCCTTGTGGGTCTGGGCTGCCTGACTGCTTTTGCCAATAGAGAATGGCAGAAGTAACACTAAGCCTGGTCCTTAAAAAGAATGGCAGTTTCTATCAGTTTCTTGAGCCCCAAGCTACCTTTGCCATATGTGAAGACTATGAAGATATTCCCTGAGGCTACATGGAGAGAGAGAGGGGGAGAGAGAGAGAAGGGGAGAGACAGAGGGGGAGAGAGAGGGTGAGAGACAGAGGGGAGAGAGAGGGTGGGAGAGAGAGGGGAGAGAGAGGGTGGGAGAGAGAGGGGAGAGAAAAGAAAAGGGAAGAGAAGAGGAGAAGAGAAAAGAGAAGAGAACAGGTGAGCTCAAATTCCCATTTGTTCCTATCAAGGCACCAAGCATGTGAATAAAGCATGTGTGTGAAGTCATCTTTGATTCTCCAAACCAGTTCAGCTGCCAGCTAAATGCCACCGACTAATCCCAATTGACACCACAAGGAGCAGAAGAATCACCTGGTTAAGACTTGCTCCAATTCCTCTTCCTCAAAATTGTGAGCTCTCATGAAATGGCTGTTGTTTTCAGCTACTAAATTTTGTTGTGGTTTGTTATGCAGCAGTAGATAATCAGAACTCTCCCCCAGGTGATTCTAATGTGCAACCCAGCCGTTCAAAAACAGTTTCACCTGGGTAGTCATGAAGATTTTTTTTTGTTTGTTTGTTTCCCTCTAGCCCTTTATCCACACATTACCAAACCATTTTCTTCTCTAATTCTGCAATTCCCTCATTGAACTTTGTCGAGCACAGGTATGATGGCTCCCTAAGTAAACTACTTTTATGTGGCTAAGGACATCTCATGCGTTTGGACAGAATGATCCGTTTCCCCCATTTAACATTCAATTAAGTGTCGTGGGCTTTTAAAAGAGACCAAGCACTGGACAGGAGTGAGGAAAACTTGACAAAGTCCCAGCTTTGACATTACTACCTCTATGATCTTGGGCAAGTCATGTATATTTTCCCCATCTTATTTTTAATATTTATAAAATAAGGAAGTTAGATTACTTGTCTCTCAGTTCCCTTTCACTTGTGGGACTTTGAGACATTGTAAGGATGTTGAATAGTAACTATCAATGGGGAGAAATTCTTTTCACAGAAAACACACAACTCATCAAT